>NC_000017.11:81141721-81442131 GCF_000001405.40 Homo sapiens | reverse complement strand
TGCCCGTCGGCTGGCACGGGCAGCACCAGCTTGTGCCGCTCCTTGCCACCGTCCTCCTCTGCCGCTGGCCGCTCCTTGCCCTCAGCGGCCTTGCCCGCCTTCTCTCTGCCCAGCTCTTTGCCCACGAGGAAGCGGTCGAAGTCCTTGGGGCCCTTCTGCAGGGAGCCTGCCTCACCCCGGTCTCGATCCCGGCTGCAGGAGCCCATGGGGTGGGCAGGGGCGGCCCGGGCCACGCTGGGGAAGTTGTGGTTGGCCGGCAGCAGCGTGGGCTGGGGCGGCAGGTTGCGCAGGTAGAAGTTATCTGTGTGGGAAAGAGCCAAGGTCAATGGGAGGCCTTAGGGGTGAGGCTGGAGAAAGACTCCCTGAGACAGGTGCTCCAGGTGCCTCCCGGACACCAGCTGGCACTGACTCCAGGTTACAGCCTAGGGAAGGTTTTTGCTCTTTTTTTTTTTTTTTTTTTTTTGAGACGGAGTCTCGCTCTGCCCTCTGTCGCCCAGGCTGCAGTGCTGTGGCGTGACCTCGGCTCACTGCAAGCTCCACCTCCCGGGTTCACGCCATTCTCCTGTCTCAGCCTCCCGAGTAGCTGGGACTACAGGAGCCCGCCACCAGGCCCAGCTAACTTTTTGTATTTTTAGTAGAGACGGGGTTTCACCATGTTAGCCAGGATGGTCTCGATCTCCTGACCTCGTGATCCACCCGCCTTGGCCTCCCAAAGTACTGGGATTACAGGCGTGAGCCACAGCGCCGGGCTGGTTTTTGCTTTTGTTTTTATAAAATTGTAGTGAAATATGGGTAACATAAAATTTCCCATTTTTGGTGCACAGTTCAGGGGCACTGGGCACACTCCCCCTGCCGTGCAGCCGTCACGAGCATCCATGGCCAGAACCTCTCACCTCCCCGAACCGCAGTTCTGTCCCCGTGAAACACTCACCCTCTGCCCCCATGTTCAGCTCCCCACACCTCAGAGATGGGAGATGCAAACCCGAGGCCAGTCTCTCCCCTGCCTGGCCCAGTGCCAGTGGGGATTTTCGGGGGACGCGGGGCAGGCAGTGGATTTTCGGGGGACGCGGGGCAGGCAGTGAGTGTTACAGAGCATCTCTGCTGGGTCTTTACAAACAGGCACCAAGACCTTGGAAACCAGGGACAGGTGGCAGGCGCAGCTCCTGGCGCCCCCAGAGGAGAGGCGAGGAAGGACGGGTGGGTCGCGGAGGAAGGGCTCACCCACCTGCTGGACACCCTGGGAGCTCCCAGCCCCTCGGCCTCTCATCTGGGTGTCTCAGGCTGCTGGGGCTAGGGTAATATGTTGAAATGGAGAAAGGCCAGTGGCTCCGGGGGCAGAGAGCAGCAGCTGTGCTCACCCTGCCTGGTGGGGGGTGAGTGTCTGGGGTCCCTGAAACGGTTGCCCAGCCTGGGCCCTCGGTCTGGGCCCTCCCTTCCCGGCTAGGGTCTGCCCCAAGCTCTCCACACTCCCGGCTGCCCTGGGGTTACCCATCGCCCCACAGAGGGGGCCAGGCCACCGCCTCTGGGGACCCTGGGGGTGCTGTCCCTCTCCACACCCAGCTGGGTGGGTGGGCAGCAGGGTGGTGCCAAGAGCAGAGGGAGCTGACAAGGGGAGAAACAAAAGAAACATTTGGAACTTGTAAAATTGTCCTCAGGCATGTAAATTCCTTGTCAATTTCCTGCTAATTAGAAACAAGGGGGAAGGGGAGCGGGAAGGGGCTAGCCCCAGCGAAACCTAATTAGCTCCATTTCCAAAACCAAATACTGTTCTTGGACACAGCTCCACCAAAATATTGTGAAAGCCGAGAGGCCTGGCCGGCCCACTGCCCAGAGGGAGTCCCCTGTGCTGGTGGAGGGGTTGGGTTTCTGGGGTTGGGACCCGCCACCTGCCCGCCCCTGACAAACACTGTCAAAATAACTGCACGCGCTGGGGCTGACGCGGTTCTAGGGGAACGGGGCCTGCGGGGCTGTCCTCTGGGCAGCAGAGCCCGTCCACAGGAGCTGGGGTGTGGGGTGAGGAGACCGGTTTGGGTGCCTGTCCTGGGTGAGAGCTGAATCCCCTGGGTGGGGCTGGTGGTGAGTTCCTGGCCCCCATGCCTGCTCCCCTGCAGCTGGCTGACAAGGGCAAGGCCAAGGCCCTCCTGAGCCTTAGCAAATCTCGGGCTCCTGCAGGCGAGGAAGTGCAGGCCACACAGAGGTCCTGGAGTGAGTATGAGGTGGGGAGAAGGGGCTGAGGGGCAGCCAAGAGAGGGTGGGCAGACTGGCCTCGGGTCCCTACCCCACAGCTCACACTCAGAGTTGGGGTCATCATGGCCACTCATGAGCACAGGCTCACTGGGGTCCCCTCCCTCTGTTCCCTTCAGGGTGTCTAGTCCGCCTCCCAGGCCCTGTGGGGGCCTTTCTGGGCCTCTCCTCTGCCCCCACCCTGAGCTCCAGCCCTAAACGCCAGGGCTCCTGGGCTCCCGGGCTCCCAGGAGCTGTGCGGAAACCATCTGTCCCCACCTCCCTTCTCATCCCCCACAGCCTGGGCGTCCCTCTCCACAGTCGGGACAACCTCCCAGTCCACCCCTCCCCACTGACCCCACCCCGTGTGTCCAGACACCTCTCGGATCCCCTTGGGGAGACGCCCCAGCCCCTCTGCACTGAAGCAGAACTCACCCCACCGTCCAACTGCTGCTCCCCAGGTGCACCCTCCCATAGCCCAGGCCAGAAACCGGGGGCCACCTAGACCCCTCTATCCCTCCCTGCCCCCAATCTCCCTCCTAGATATCACCGATGCCGGCCCCTGTGGGGCCCCACACCTGTATCGCTTCTCACTGGAACCTGGTAACTAACCGATGGCTTCCTGCTCCAGCCTCCTGGTGTCACCCCAAGGAGAACTTTTTAAAATGCAAATGAGATGTCGCCCTACCAGAGGAAACCCAACTTGGAGATAAGGACCCACACCCATCCCACCTCCAGCCAGGCCCTCTCCGGTACCCTGAGGGGACTCGCTGGCACCAGGACTCGGCTCTGCTGGGCCTGAGCTTCCTCTTCCCCAAGGCCCCACCGGCTCTGACTTCTCAGCAAAGACAAAGTCTGCATCCCTTCTTCAGGGATGCCTGCTGCCAATGGGGTGAGCAGCCCCTCTGTCCACCAGGACACGGGGCTGGGGGGCTGGGGGCTGGGGGCTGGGCCTCGTGCAGCCCAGGTCTAGCCGAGGCCACCGGGTGTGTAAGCCAGGAAGTGCGGGCTTCTGTGGGCTTCCTCCAGCCCCCACAGGATGCATCCTCCTCCTGAGCCACCCCACCATCCCCGGGCTGCTGGGGGCTGCAGGGCAAGGCCAGGTCCTGAGGAAGCCGGTGGGGCTAGGGTGATGAGGAAGGTGGGCACCAGCTCAGCTGCTCCCACCTGAGCAGTGAGAGGTCTTGAGACAGCGTGACCTGGGAACTGAACCTGCGCCTGGGGGTGGTCCTGGGCCCCTGGGTTTAAATCCTGAGGGGCAGGCCCACCCTCTCCTCTAGCCCCCACCCTGGCCTCGATGACACCTGGTGGGAGGGCTAACCTAGGCTGGCCTTTCCCTTGTGCCCCAGAAGCTCCTGCGCCCCCTCCCCACCTCCAGCATGCCTGCTCCCCACGCCGGTCCCATGCTGCACTTGCCTTTTTGGGTTCCATAGAAACGGTGCTGCCCATAGAGAACGTTGCTGTTTCCATGGTGATCCAAGTGGCTCACGGGTAGGAAGGTGGATGCCAGACTCCCCGAAAATCTGGGGTACCCCGGAGCTAGAGAAGCAAGAGACCCAGTTGCAGAGGCAACTCCCAGCCCCCTGGCCCACACTCGCCCTGACCCCAGGGAGGCAAGAAGCCGGCAGGCAGCCCAGGAGCGATGTCCCGCAGAGCCCAGCACGCAGCCGCCGGGGGGAAATCAACCCATCAATACATCATATTAACTCTGACTCCACTAATGCCATCCCTCCGGTGCGGCACAAATTGAATTGCTGATGGGCTGGGGAGAGGGGAGGACGGACGAGGGGGCCTCTGTTCCCTCCTAGCAGCACTCAGGATCGCGGAAGCTCCCAGGCTGGGCAACAAAAGGGACTCTGGGGAGGTTTTGTGGGAGGAGGGGGCACGGTGGACAGACTCTGCGCCAAGGCCCTGGCCAAAGGAGAACCAGGCCCGGACTTGGCCTCCCCAAGGCAGGCCCCAGGGCCCAGTGGACAGCCCAGGCCAGGGGCCAGTGCTGCTGGGGTGTGGCCAGCCTCCCCCGACCCTGGCTGGAGGTCACAGGTGTGTCCATCCGACGCCGAGTTCCCACCATGGCCAGGCCTCTTCCGGCTCTGAGATCTGCACAGGGTGGGGAAGGGACGGGGGCAAAGAGTTCCTTGCACAGGCCCCAGCCCCAAAACCCCAGGCGGTGACTCCGAGTCATGCCAGACAGGCCCCTCTCTTGGCTAAGGGGTCTGTCTGTCCCTCAAGGCAGCCACATTTCTGAGCGGCCTGCCCCTGCCCAGCACAGGAAAGCCAGCCACACCCAGCCACCCACGCGGCTGGCCCTGGGCCTTGGGACAGCTCTGGCTGTGTGGGGCACACTTGCCCCCACCCAAGGGATGAAGCACAGCTGGCAGGTCAGGACAGGGCTGAGCATGGCCTGGGAGGCCTGCAGGCACCAGAACCCAGCCCAGGGGCTGCAGAGAGCATGTCTGCTGGACACCAGGGACACCAGCCACAAGGAGTGTGGCTTCTGGTTCCCCAGCAAGACCCCAGGCCACTGGCAGAGCTCTGAGACTCAGACCCGCCCAGCCCCAGCCCCAGCCCTCCGTGCAGTGCAGGTGGTGCCAGTGCCGGCCGGCCTGCCTTAGCAGCTGCCTGAACGTGAGGGCCGAGCGGCTGGCTGTGGTTGGGGGTCTGGCAGCCTTCTGTAGGCCTGAGGAGAAGACGTTTGAGGCAACCCACAGCTTCAACCTGCCGGAATGAACGCAGCTGGGCGGGGCAGGGCGGGGGGCCCTCACCCTCTAAAACTCCTGCTCTGAATCTTCCCTGGAAAACAGGCCCCCTAGTCCAACTGGGGCACCCCACACCGCAATCCCAGTGGGTCCCCCAGCAGTGGCAGGCACTGTTCGATCCTCTCTGGCTCAGTGGATCCCAGGGAAATCTGTGGAGCTTGAGCCCCAGGAGATGCTCCAGGAAACCCAAGCTCTGGGTCACCAGCTCCAAGAATGCACCCCACACACGTCCCATTTGGAGTCGTGTAGGGCGTGAGCACAGGGAAGGCCCTGGGAAGTCCTGCGACACGGAGGCCTGCTTGACAGGGTGAAGCCCCATCTCCCTGTGAGGCCGCACATCCCAGGCCAAGTCTGGGAACCTGGGGAGGGCGCCCTGGCCCTGGTGCAGCCCTGCAGCTGCCCTCCAGCTGAGGACACGGGGCTGAGGCTCGAGCCTGGCCGACTGGCCTGGTCTGTGTGGGAGCTGCATCTGGAGCAGCTGTTTACCAGATTAAACTCCAATCCTGGAAGATTCGACCAAAGCTGAGAGGGACGGGGTGGGAGCGACCTGGGGCGGGGGTAGGGGAGTGGCAGGGCAAGGGGCAGGGCCTTGGGGGGTACTGTTAAACCTCCACAGCTGTCCCCCTTTAATTGGCTGCTGTTAAATGTTTTACGAGGCCTCATTTTGGTAAACAGAAGTCTGTAAATTCCTCCTTCCCAGACACCGTTTCCCAGGCACGGAGCCCCGGTCCCCCCTCCAGAGGTCCAGGCCTCCAGCCCATCCGCTCTCTGCGGGGAGCAGGCAGTCAGCTGGCAGAGGAGTGGGCTCCTTCCCGCCGGTCCCCTCTGGGGGCAGCTGCGGGTGGGCAGCTATGCGTGTCCCTCAGCTGCTGGGCCTTGGCTGGTGGCCCCTGGGCTGGTGAGCAGGGCAGCACTGGCCAGGGCCCGAAGACCAAAGGCCTGGCTGGTGCCCCCATCCTTGCCTGCTTGGGTCCCCACCTCTGAGGACCCAGAGGGGAAGTTAGGGAGCCAGGGAAGGAGGAGGGAGTGGGGAGATGGGATGGAGGGGCGGGGAGCAGAGAGGGAGGGGCTGGGTGCCGGAGAGGCCCAGTCGGCAGGGTGGGGTCATCTTTGGGCAGGGGGCAGAGAAAGGAAGGGAAAAGGTCCTCCCAGCCCAGCGACAGAAAGCCCCTTTCTTTTTCCCAATAAGACCATACTCTCAAAACTGAGAAAGAAAATTTAAAAATGATTTTTATGAATCAGAGCAGCTGTTCTGAGGCCAGAAGCCAGAAGGCAGGGCTGCTGTGGCTGGGCCGGGGACACACAGGCATCCTGGAAGGGGCTGCCACTGAGGAGTGGGGGAAGGCAGGGCTGCTGCGGCCGGGCCGGGGACACACAGGCATCCTGGAAGGGGTTGCCACTGAGGAGTGGGGGTGGTGGTCCTGGGGAGGGCTCCAGGGGGACAGTAGAGGCCCCAGATGGCAGGGAGGGGACATTCCGGGGCCAGAGACCAAGAGGGCTCAGCCAGCAGGGTCTGGGGCCATATGAACCCAGAGCCAGAGGTCCTCAACTGCAAGCTCCTGCTAGAACGTCGGGGCTCCAGAACCTCCCCTTCCCAGACCCCTTTGAGACGGGAGCTTTTATGATCACCCCAACAGACAAGGGCAAGCCCTGGGCTAAGCGAACCGCCAGAGAGGTGGTCAGGACACAGGCTGCTGGTGCCCTCGGAGCCTGGTGGAGCGTGGGGAAGAGCCCTGGGGGCAGTGGGGGTCGCACCGAGGTCCCCACATCCTGCCCCTGCTACTGCGGTGGGCAGGAGACTCCAAACTCAGTCCTGTGATGGGACAGACTGCAGGAGACAGAGGCTCAAAGCCACAGGCACCTGATGGGTTAGTAAAGCCAGGGGGCCACGCGTGGGCTGGGCGGGGGACACAATGGCCACACCCCCAGACCCCTCCCAACCACCCCCAGGCCTGAGCTCACCACGTCTGGGGAGGTCAAGGGTTGCAGGTAGGAGGCCTGTGGTGTGGGCAGGAGGAGAGAGAGTGGGCAGTCAGTGGGGGTCGGGGGTGCCCCTGGGGCAGGGCTGAAGGACAGAGGAGTGGGAGGGCACCGTGCAGAGAAATGGGGGCTGGGGACGGCCAGGGGTGAGGGGACCCTTCCTTTCCTCCTGCCCACCTGGAGAAGGGAGGCCTGGTGGCTTCTCACCCCTGGGGAGGGAGGAGGAGCCCCCACCCAGGGTGCACCAGCCCTGGCTGCCTGACGGGCACCCCCACTCCAGGTACCTCATCCCCCTCATCCCTCCTGCGTTCTGACACAGCACATTTTCCCAACAGCCCCGCACGTCGAGGCCCTGCCCTCTCCAGGCCAGCCCTGCGCCTTCCTCCTCTTGCCAGATCTGGGGAGGTGGCCACAACCCACCCCCCAGGCTGCCCTTCCAGGGAGCATCCCTGCCGTGGAAAACCAGGGGCTGCTCCTGGGTCTCTCAGGATGCTGAACTTGGGGTATCTTCACGGCCAGGTCTAGGAGGGAGGGACGCCAGCCAGCAGAAGGACCAAGATCACCTGGGGGGTCAGGGGACTTCCCACTGCAGGGTCACCCAGGAAGCCCCACTTGGGGCCACAGAGCTCAGGGCCAGGATGCTGCAGGCTCAGCAAACTTCTGGGGGTGCTGAAGCACACCTCGAGCGCCCTGCCCCAGCCCGCACGCCTTTGAGGACAAAACCTTCTACAGCGGACACCCCACCATCCTGACAAACGGCAGTGCCTCCTCCCTGGGGGAAGGTCTGCCACGCTGGCCTCCCACGGCTGAGCCTCGACCTGTCTCCCACTGCAGTACCACCTCGGCTCCCACATGCGCCTGGCTGGGCGGGCAGTGGGTCATGCAGTCAGCTGGGCGTGGCCCCGAGCCTGGAATGTGCACGTGGGCAGCCAGCCTGGGAGGCCCTGGGGAACGTGGGAGGCTGTGGGCACTGTCTCAAATACCCACTGTCCAGCGAGGGCCCATCCTCCTGGCTCAGAAGCAGACACCCCTCCCCCACCTCCTGCCAACTCTGCCAGATCCCCTGTTACTCCCCCCACAGTGACCCCAGGGGAGTCCCGGGAGACCCCTGGCCTGGCAAGTGGTCCCTGCTCCTCTTGAGGTTCTGCACATCGTCCCTGTCACGCAGGACGTCCCTGCCGTGCAGCCACACGCACGAGGCTCAGCCTGGCCTCCACCCGCCCGCAACTCAGCACTGGCTCTTCACGGGACACCCCCGTCACTCAGGGTGTCAGTGGGTTTCAGGTGCAGTGCACGGGTCTACCCGATGACCGCCAGGCCCCGAGTGCTGGGCTGACACAGATTCTGAAACCCTGTCCGCATGCGGCACACAAAGTGCTGTAGTTGACGGATGATGGCTGCCCTGAGCACACGGGGACCTCGGTGGACTGACGACACCTGCCCGGGGCACAGGAGGGGCCTCGGTGGACTGATGACACCTGCCCGGGGCACACAGGGGCCTCGGTGGACTGATGACTCCTGCCCTGGGCACAGGAGGGGCCTTGGTGGACTGATGACACCTGCCCTGAGCACACGGGGACCTCGGTGGACTGATGACACCTGCCCTAAGCACAGGAGGGGCCTCGGTGGACTGATGACACCTGCCCTGGGCACACAGGGACCTCGGTGGACTGATGACTCCTGCCCTGGGCACAGGAGGGGCCTCGGTGGACTGATGACTCCAGCCCTGGGCACAGGAGGGGCCTCAGCAGTGACTGCAGCTATGGGCAGTTCCCACTCCCACTCTAGGGCCGGAAGGGCCTACAGCCTTGCAGCGGCCCCTTCCCTAGTCCTGTCTGCTCTCTGCCATACACCCCTGCTCCCACACACGGCCCCTCACCCCAGGTGGGCAGGCCCCCGGGTGTCCAGGCTGTGTTTCAAAGTGCAGCTCCCGGGACATGAGTGGTTGCGGGGCGGCACAGCAAGAGATTCGTTCTTGGAGCTGGAGTGCCCAATCCTTGGGGCCCCCTGAGGCTTCAGAAGCTCAGCCTCTTCCCCATCCACAGGCCTGCAGGGAACTGGCCCAAGTGGTGACCCACAGCTGCCTCAGGGGCGGGCCGGGCCAGCTCCATCTGTTCCCAGGCTGAGCAAGGTAGCTAAGAGCGGGAGCAGGTGCCAGGTTCCCATGGGAGCCTCCAGAATGAACGCAGTGGGCAGCCTGCCCAGGATCCAGGCACCAACCCCACAGGGAGGAGCGCAGCCTTCCTGGGGATGGGGGGAAGGGTGGGCCTGGGGATGGGGGGGGAGGTTGGGCCTGGGGATGGGGGGAAGGGTGGGCCTGGGGATGGGGGGGGAGGGTGGGCCTGGGGATGGGGCGGAGGGTGGGCCTGGGGATGTGGGGGGAGGGTGGGCCTGGGGATGGGAGGGAGGGTGGGTCTGGGGCTCGGGGGGAGGGTGGGTCTGGGGATGGCGGGGAGGGTGGGCCTGGGGATGCGGGGGAGGGTGGGCCCGGGGATGGGAGGGATGGGGTCTGGGGCTCAGGGGAACAGGTGGGCCCGGGAGGGTGGGTCCAGGGCTGGGGACGGAGGTTGGGTCCAGGGCTGGAGGGGAGGGTGGGCCCGGCGATGGGAGGGAGGGTGGGCCTGGTGATGGGTGGGAGGGTGGGTCCGAGGCTGGGGCCGCCCTCAAGCCACAGGGGGCAATGGACAGTTCTCGGAGCGTGGAGCTAGAAGCAACCACACGACCCCCAAAACCTTCGCCGGCACCCTGGACATCAGCTCTGGCTACCAGGGAACTCCCTTCCGCCTGTCCACCAGGACCTTCCTCACGTTCCCCAGGCAGCGTCCTTGACACATAGGTCATTGTACCGGGGCCACAGGCATGACACCAGCCAGCCCCACACACAGGCACACAGGAGACGGTGCACCTGCCGGGGCGGCTGCACCATCGGTCAGATCCAGGGATGTCAGCCTAGGAAGGCCGCACCCCATCCCCAGTGACCAAGGCCACTGGCCCCAGCAGTGGACAGCCGCTGCAGGACACGGGAGGGAAGTTGCTCTTTGTGTCTGTATCACATGGGGTCTGGACAGCTGTTCTCATGGGTGTGGCAGATAGAGAAACTGAGGCTGGGCATATGAACTCGAAGCTAAGACAGCTCTGGGTCTGTGACGACCCCTGCCCTGCCCACCTGCCCTGCACATAGCAGGGGCCCATGCCGCATCTGCCACAGTCCTGCCCTGTCCTGCGGTGCCTGGGTGTGCGCAGGGGCTCGGGTGCAGCCTCCTGGGTCCCAGAGCAGCCTCTAGCCCAAGTCCCTGGCTAAGTCCCTGGCTCCTGGAGAGCAGGAGCTTGCGGGGCAGAGGGTACACCTACTCCAAAGCACGGCAGGTCAGAGGGCAGGGAGGGGATGAGGGGACAGGCTCTCAGTCACACACAATCCTCAGCCTCAGTTTCCTCAGCTGTAAAATGGGCGCAAGCACCACTGTGCTGTGCAGCATTGCCAGGGGGAGGCAGGTGCCATCCCAGGGCCAGGCTCATAACAGAAGTGCAGTCATCCTGCCCAACCTCAAGCCAGGGCTGGTCCTGGGAACCCTGAAGCTGCAGGGACCAGGCCCTTTATCCAAACCAGGGGTGGCCCTCTCCCCAACCTCCCTGGGGCTCAGGTTCTGCCACCTGGGATGTCCCTATCCTGGCTTCCCCAAGTCTGTGTCTCCCCTAGCCACCTCCATACAGCCCTCTGCCAGGTGTGGACCTGGGTGCTGGTCACCATGGCCACGGGATGAAACCCCTGCACTCAACAGTGACTGGCAGCACTCAGCCAGGCCGTGAACATGAGGCTATGCATAAAGTCTCAGCGGGCTGGGGGTTGGGAACTGCCAGGGCCTGAGGGCAGACTCCAGTGGGGACAGGAGGCTGGGACCCTGGCAGGGTGGCCGGCCAGGGCAGGCCACGGTGAGGGGCCGAGGGTATGGGAGGGCTGGCTCCCGAAAGCCATAGGACACCTCCGGAGGGGGGATCATAGGCCTGGATGGGGCAGCCGCCCTCTGGCTGAGAGAAGCTGGCGGGAGGTAGCCGGCCCAGCAGAGCCCCTCCACCCCCACGCTGGGATCCCCACGCTGTCCCCTCCACCCCCACGCCGGGACCCCCACGCTGTCCCCTCCACCCCCACGCCGAGACCCCCACGCTGTCCCCTCCACCCCCACGCCGGGACCCCCACGCTGTCCCTCGCATCCCAGCGGAGCCAGCTTGTCCCCACTGGCCCAACTCTCCCTCGCACATGGGCAGGGACAGCAGGTCTAGGCAGGGCAAGGGCCACACCCCCCACATAGATGTGGTAGAAACGTCAGTGCTGGGGTGGTCAGCGGGCCTGTGGGAGACAGACCAAGAAGCTGTTTTAGCCACCGAGGAAACCGAGGCCGGGAGAGGAAGGAGGAGCTGAAGGGGTCTGGGAGGAAGCAGCAGGTCCCTGGCAGGCATCACAGGAAGGATGGAGCTGGGGCCCCAGTACCTCTGAGGACACTCGGGGTGGGTGGGCGCTGGTGGGACCTCTGTCCCTTAAACAGATGTGGTCCCAGCTCCTGCTCACTCCCAGCAGCACCAGCGAGTCCTGAGACCTCAGAGGGGACGAAGGGGACAGAGGAGCAGCTGGCAGGATGCAGGAAGCTGCGGGGCTCCGTTGGCAGGGAGTGCTCGGCATGCGTAGCCCCGGACCCCCAGGAGCTGGCCAGGCCCAGTGAGAAGTGGCCGCTGGTGGGGCGTGGTTCTGACCAAGAGGCCGGCCAGGCGGAGAGCCAGCGCGTGTGTGTGCCTGCCGCCCCCATGGCTCCCCCCAGGTGGCACAAGAGACCACGAGTGGCCTCAGTGGGGATCTCAGCAGCCCCTGCCCCCACCCCTTCCCAGCTGAGCCCCCCAGGAACAGAATCCTCTTTCATTGGCCCTGTGGGTGGTCCTGGCCAGGCAGCTGGGGGGCGCGGTGGGGAGGGAGGGGACCAGGCCTGCTGACAATAGGGCCAGCTGTGTGTGCCCCCACCCCTGCTCTCATCCTCATCCACCCAGGACAGGCTGCCCAGCAGGAGCTCACCTCTGCCCCTGGCCAGTTCCGCCTCCCGCCCCCACCCCAAGCCCCAGAGAGGCCCACCGCTGGTGGGAGCGCGAGCCTCGGGTAAGCTGCGGGCCGGGAGGAGCTGAACAGACAGGCTCTGCCCAGGCCAGATGTTCCGGGCGGCTCCTCCAGCTCCGGGCTGCCTCTGCTGCACCCCCAGCTGCTCCCCCGGGGAAGCAGGAAGCCCTGGCCCGCTCGAGGGGCTGCCCTGCAGATGGGGAGAGAGGAGGCCCCGCTTGGCATGGGGGGTTCCTGGGGCTACCCCAACCTGGGTTCCTGGTGGCCTGCCCCACCCTGGCCTACCTACCCTCAACGAAAGCCCTGGGCTGGGGAGGGGGTGGCAAGCTGGCTTGGCCAGGCACCTGCCTCCTGCCCATCCTGGGCCACTAGGAGGAAACGTGGGCAAGGCCAACCGCCCAGGCAGCCCGCTGTGCCTGCTGGCCCCCACTCTCCGGCCGAGTCGCGTGCCCCCCACCCACCTCACTCCCCTTCCCCCATGAACACACACGGCAGAGAAACAGGCCCGGCGCACGGGGAGCCAGCTGGCACCCTGTCAAACTAGCAGCCAGGCATGCTGCCCGGGCAGCCAGCCAGCCTCTCACCCTGGCCCGCCGGCCCTGGCCTCTGCCGCTCAGCTCACAGCGCGGCAGCTCCATGTGGTCTGTCGGGGAGCACGGCTGCGTGGCAGGGAACCCCCGCAGGGAGGGGAGGGGATCCCGGGGGGTGGGACAACTGAACTGAAGGCAGAGCAGGGGACAGCAAGCTGGAGCACGGGCCTCGCAGGTGTGTGGCCTTGGAGGCTCTGCCACCCTCGGGGGGCACCCACACCCATCCTCAGCCCCGGGTGGGCCTTGCATTCTGGGGCCCAGGCGGGCGGCTCAGAGGCCACGCCCTGCACCCCCTTGTCCCGCCTCCACCCGTGCTGGTCCACCCAGCCCACTGTCCCGCACACGTGCCCACCCCCACCTGACACGGACAGCGGGAGATGCGTCTCGCCCAGCCAGGGTGCCAGGTGCCCAGCAGGGTGGACAGGTGAACCTCCTCGGTGTGACACAGCCAGGGCCACTGTGGGCACTGTCCTCTCCTCCGGCTCAGGCCACCCCCGCCTGGAGGAGCTACTTCCCTGGGACGCAGATAGAAGGGGCTCAGAGGCCCAGACGCCAGGGGCTCACGTCGACACTTGTGGCAGGACATTGGCTTCCCACCCAGCCAGGGGGACTCCCAAGGGCTCGGGAGCAGATGGAACCCACCGATGCCGGGCCCCATGTGAGGGGCTGAGAAGTGGTGGGGGTCCCCGGGGTGGGATGTGGGCAGCTCCGCCCAGGCAGCCGTTGGCACAAGGGGAAGTGAGTGTCTAGAGGCCGTTGTGGGTGCTGTCTGCCTGTGGGCCACCACACACCCACCCTCTGAGCAGCCCCCAGAGGGGCGGGACGGGGGCTCCAAGGCAGGTGGTGCTACCCACAAACGGCCCTCCTTGCTGCTGGGGTCCCCCAGGGTGGGTGGAGGGAGTGGGGTAGGAGCTCTCTCCTGGTGCAGAGAGCATTGGGGATGGGCTGGTGCCACTTCTGGGCCCTGACTAGGGGCCACCACTGCCAGGAGGGGAAACCAAGTCAGTGGTCCTAGGTGGATCTGTGCACCTGTGGCTGGGCCAGGACCAGGCAGCGGCCGTTGCGTCTGTTGTGGGGGGTTCACCACGGCTGCCGCAGGCCTCCCCTTCCTGCTCCCCCGGTGCCAGGCCACCCTCCTCCCTCCCACAGACATCCTGGGAGCCAGATGCTGTGGCTGGCCGGGGCGTTTGCCCACAGACACAAAAGGCTGAGGCGGGGTGGGGCATATGAGCCAGGAAGGCGGGGCCCCCACAGCCAGCCCAGGAGCCATGGCCAGCCTGGTCTCCCCTCCAGGAGGCCGCTAGTAGTGCAGGGGTGGGAGGAAGGGGCAGGGGAGTCTGGGCAGGGGAGTCTGGACCGAGGACCCCATGCTGCCCACCGCATCCCAAGGTAGCGGCCTCCCCTGCACCCAGGAAGAGGCCACTCCTTATCGCCTGCCCAACATGTGCGCCCTGAGCCGAAAGCCCAGATTATTTCAGCAACTGTCCCTCACTCGTCACCTGTTCTGTTTGGAAAACAGCCCCTTTCTTGTTGCACAAAGAGAGGTTTCTCTGCTTCCAGCAGTGCCGGGTGCTAATCTCCCTGCCTGGAACGGGGCGGTGGCGTGGTGTGTGGGTCCGCGGCGCTCTGTAAACACGACGCCCGCCGCTCAGCAGTCATTGAGTTACGGCAGTGCTGGGTGCCAGGAGCGGAGAGCCCTGTGTGCCCGCTGCCAACTGCAATTACCTCTCTGCGTGCCAGCCGCGGGGGGCGGGGGGAGCTTAACCCTTCCCACGCTGTAGGGTTGGGGTGGCCGAGGGAATACCAGCAACTGTGGGCCCAAGGACATGGGGGCCCAGGGCCGCCTCCTAGGCTGCAGGGCAAGGGGTCTGAGCAAGCACGGGGATCCAGGCAGGGGTGCCCTGCCACGGAAAGGCCAGGGGGGCCTCCAGGAGTCTCCTGCTGGCCAGGCAGCCTGAGAGTAGCCAGTATTCGCGAGGCACCTACTGTGTGTCCAGGGCTGTGTCCCACGGGGAGGCAGGTGGCCTGGGAGGAACTCTTTGTCCTGGGACAGGCCCCTGGGTGGCAGCCTGTGTGCGCTGACAGCTCTCCCCGCCCCGGCCCCCTCCTCCAGCTGGCACATTTGGAGCCCGCCTCCTAGCGTCTGGGGAGGTGGGGCACGGCCACTGTGAGGGTGAGCCCAGCCCGGCCGGCCCAGCTGTGCTCCACATTTTCTCAGCTCCCCAGAGCCCCTCCTGGCCCCCCTGTTTCCCCTTGCTGCCCATCTGGAGCACACATCTGGCCAGGACCACTGCCGAACAGGCTGCCCTTGTTTCCAACCAATCACCACTTCCCCCGGGGCTTCCTCGGCAGGGAGGCAGCCTCACCCGAGCCTGCTTGTCACCGTCCACCGGCCAGGTTCCCACGGCCACGATGGGAGCCCCTCACCTGCCCCTGGCCCGGGCACCAGGGTCAGTCTCTTGGCCACCAGGGTGTCGCTGGGAGCCCAGTCCGCCAACTTACCTTCGTGGGAGTGGGAGAACCAGATCTGGGAGGTGGTGGGGTGGGAGCCACGGTAGGCCTGCTCAGGGGGGGAGGAGCTGGGGCCGCTGGGGTGCGTGGAGGCTGCCGAGCCCAGGCTGCTGGTGAGGAAACTGCCCATGAACGAGGAGGCCGGAGAACTTCCCATCAGGCGGCTGCTGGCTGTGGACACAGGGCAAGAGTGACTCTGGGGGCAGCTCCCAGGGTGTGGCCTGAGGCAGGGCAGGGGCAACACCACAGCCCTTCTCCACAGGGGACTCTCAGGCCCCAATCTCCCCCAGAGCCTTTGACTTTCAATATCCAAGAAACCGATGATGGGAAAGGTTACCCCCATATGCCTTTGACTGCCACACTCAGAGTCCTGAGTCTTTTGGTGCCCCAGGTGTCCTGGTACTGACACTCTCCTGCTGTTGCAAACCCAAGAACGACATCTTTGTCACAAGCACATCACCACCACCACCACCACGAGCCATATCACCCACCACTATCACCCCCAACCACATCACCCACATCACCCCCAACCACATCACCCACCACTATCACCCCCAACCACATCACCCACGACTATCACCACCAACCACATCACCCACCACTATCACCCCCAACCACATCACCCACGACTATCACCACCAACCACATCACCCACCACTATCACCCCCAACCACATCACCCACCACAATCACCCCCAACCACATCACCCACGACTATTACCACCAACCACATCACCCACCACTATCACCACCAACCACATCATCACCAACCACATCACCACCAACCACATTACCCACCACTATCACCCCCAACCACATCACCCACCACTATCACCACCAACCACTATCACCACCAACCACATCACCCACCACTATCACCACCAACCACATCACCACCAACCACATCACCCACCACCACCACCACGAGCCACATCACCACCAACCACATCACCCACCATCACCCCCAACCACATCATCACCAACCACACCCACCACTATCACCACCAACCACATCACCACCAACCACATCACCAATCACATCATGCACCAACCACATCACCAATGACATCACCCACCAACCACATCACCACCAACCACATCACCCACCACCACCACCAACCACATCATCACCAAATCACCAACCACATTACCCACCACCACCACGACCCACCATCACCCTCAACCACATCATCACCAACCACATCACCACCAACCACATCACACCAACCACATCACCACCAACCACATCACCCACCACTATCACCACCAACCACATCGCCACCAACCACATCACCCACCATCACCACCAACCACATCACCACCAACCACATAACCACCAACCACATCACCCACCACTATCACCCCCAACCACATCACCCACCACTATCACCCCCAACCACATCACCACCAACCACATCACCCACCAACCACATCACACCAACCACATCACCCACCACTATCACCCCCAACCACATCACCCACCAACCACATCACACCAACCACATCACCCACCACTATCACCCCCAACCACATCACCACCAACCACATCACCCACCAACCACATCACCCACCACTATCACCACCAACCACACCACCAACCACATCACCCACCACTATCACCACCAACCACATCACCCACCACTATCACCCCCAACCACATCACCCACCACTATCACCCCCAACTACACACCCACCACTATCACCCCCAACCACATCATCACCACTATCACCCCCAACCACATCACCACCAACCACATCACCCACCATCATCACCAACCACATCACCCACCACTATCACCACCAACCACAACACCCACCATCACCCCCAACCACATCACCCACCACTATCACCCCCAACCACATCACCCACCACTATCACCACCAACCACATCACCCACCAACCACATCACCACCAACCACATCACCCACCACTATCACCCCCAACCACATCATCACCAACCACATCACCCATCACTATCACCACCAACCACATCACACCAACCACATCATGCCAACCACATCACCCACCACTATCAGCACCAACCACATCACACCAACCACATCACCACCAACCACATTACTACCACATCACCTACCATCATCATCACCACCAACCACATCACCTGTCACCAACCACATCATCATCACCAACCATATCACCCAGCACTATCACCACAAACCACATCACCCACCACCACCAACCACATCAACACCACCCCAACTACATCACCATCACCACCACCACACAACACCAACCACATTATCATCACCAACCACATCACCTCCACCACCATGCCCCCAACCACATCACCACTACCATTACCACCAACCACATCATCCACCACCATTACCAACCACATTCAACAACAACCACACCACCACCACCATCACCAACCACAACAACCATATCATCATCAATCACCAATCATCATCAATAACCACATCACTCGCCACCACCACCATCACTGTCACCACCACTACCACCCAGGTGGGTGCTGGGTACTGTGCCCAATCAACTTTCAGGGTCTGTGGATGGGCCTCCTCTTCACAGGGAGAGCACCCTGACTCTCCCAGCCCACAGCTGTGGGCAGCTCCAAGGCCTCTCACACACTGGCGAACTTGCCAAAAAGGTCAAGGTGATACATGAGGCACCAGGGTCAGCGGGGCCCCAGCCATAGGCCCTGTGTCAGCTCCACGGGCCCCACAGTCTCGGCCCCTCCAGGCAGCACTGGGAGGAGCTGTTCTCTCTCCTGAGTGGGGTCTTCATCCCTCTACCCAGGCCCAATAAACTGACTTGTCAGACAGGAGTGCCCCAGTCTCAGGCGAGCAGAGGGAGAAACTGAGCCAGGGGGAAGACTGAGGGCGGGGGACAGAGGAAGGAAGGGTGGCGCTGAGGACGGATCTGCTTCTAAAATCCCTTCAGGATTCCTGGGGCTGGGCCCCGACTGGGCTGGCACAGAGCTGCGGATGGCGCTCACCTCTGGGTCAGGTGGAGGCCGCGAGAGGCTCCTTCCTGGGCACCGCCAGGATACCCCGCACTTCTCCTGGCAGCCTGAGTGTGGGAAATGGTGAGCCCCCAGCGCCCCAGGCCCCGCCCAGCCCAGCTCTCCCGGACCATCGGCCCGCCTGCATGCTTGCCTGTGGCCCCTCAGCTGTGCCCACCTCTGCCCAAGTCCAGTGGCCAAGGCCAGCCCGAGGGAGCCTCCCAGAGTTGCCATGACTATCGGCTCCTGCACACGGAGGACACAGCACACACAGATTTCTGCACACGGTGGCCCTGCTGCTCCGTGGGTGGTCTGAGGCTGTCACTGAGCGGCCCCCACTCCAGCCAGGCACCCTGGCACCTTGTCGTCTCCATCCCACGGGCAGCAAGCCTGGCCTGGGACCATTCCAGGAACCTGGGGCGGGGGGCCTGCCCCCTCGGGAAAGAGGGGTATGAGGCTGAGCGTGGGGATAGTGGGGTCTGCGGGGGCCCAGCCCGAGGTGAGTCAGGACAGCCATTCCCCTGCCCGGGAGGCAGGGGGAATTTGTGAATTTCTGATGCCTCATCCAGCCTGGCTTGGCCCTGGGAACTTCCCAGACATGAGGTGACTCAGCAGAGGCGGTGGGGCAAGGGGGGCGGCGGGGGCTGCCCTGCACGGCCCTGGCAGGCTCCTGCTGTGCTGAGCCAGTTCCCAGCCCAGGGCCCCCAAGGCCCCTTCCCCTCTCGTGTGCGAACGCAGCCATGTGGACTCAAGGGGCCTCTCCCAGTCATGGCAGCAGAGGAGGGGTCTGTGAGTGCTGGTGGGGGACGTGGGCTGTGAGCTGGCCTCTGCGGCGGGTGGGCGGGTGGAGAGGAAGAGCCGGCCCAAGGGACTGTGGAGCAGGGCCAGGCCCAGGCCCAGGGCAGGGGGTGAAGGTGCCCGCGAGCCAGGGGCTTCCCGGACCACAAGGCTGGGACTGCCATGGGCCGGGGCCAGACCACAGGCCCGGCAGCCAGGGAGGGGACTCTGGGTTGGGAAGGGAAGTGCTGGCTTCCCCTGCTTGGGGACACTGGGGCATGCCTGTGGGGTGAGTGTGGGCTCCCCTCGGAGTTGGAAGCTTGCCGCTGCCTCGCCCAGGCCCGCCTCGAGTCCCCCAGGCCTTCCCACCCCCACACCCTCCTGGGGAAGTCCCTCCCGCCTTTTCCTCCTCGGGATGGTGGGAAGCAACTAAGTCCAAAAGTTGGGTCTGGAGAAGGGATTTCTCCAGGATCCTGGCCTGAGAACCCTGTACCTTGAGCTCTCCCACACCACATCAGGTGGGGGCAGGACACTCCCCGGTGTCCCACGGGGCCCTCAGTGGGCAACCAGCCTGTCTCCGGACTTGGGGGACCCTGCTGTGCTGCCTTATCTGAGCCCACTGAGGAAGGGTCCCCGGCCCCACAGTCTGGGGAATGAGAGGGAAGGGGATGGGGGCTCTAGCCTAGCCCCTCCCTGCACCTGACCAGCCTCACCAAGCTGGGGGTCCCAAAGTGCTGTCTGTGCCCAGAGTCAGGCAGGGCTGCTGATCTGGGGATCTCTTTCACTTCTTTTTCCCTTTCATTCTGGAAACGGGCCACCTGGATTGCTGTCTCCTTGTCATACAAACATTATGTCTTTGTATTTTCACCATAATAAGCTCAGGTAATAAAGCACAAGAGAGACCAGACACGGTGGCTCACGCCTGTAATCCCAGCACTTTGGGAGGCCAAGGTGGTGGATCACTTGAGGTGAGGAGTTCAAGACCACCCTGGCCAACAAGGTGAAACCCTGTCTCTACTAAAAATACAGAAATTATCCGGGCATGGTGGTGCGCACCTGTAATCCCAGCTATTTGGGAGGCTGAGGCGGGAGAATTGCTTGAATCTGGGAGGCAGGGGTTGCAGTGAGCAGAGATTGTTCCACTGCCCTCCCGCCTGGATGACAAAGTGCGACTCCGCCTCCAAGAAAAAAAAAAATCACGAGAGGAAGCGGAGTCACCCGAGACCCCGGCCCTGAGGCCCTCGCATGAGCGTTCTGGGACCACTTCTGGGCACAGCTGCAAATACCCTTCTCCAGTATCACATGGGGTCGCATGCTGCACCCCAATTCCGTGCCCAGGCATCCTGCGTACTGAGCCTACCATGAGAGACCCTACCATCCCCCCCAAGGGACTGGGGTGGCCTCTTGCTTCTGGAAATCCTGGCTCTGGCGGCAGCTGCTGCCAGGGCGTCTCACTGGCTGCTCAGCAGGCCAGCACCTCGGAGACGGGACCAGGCAGGGGAAGAGCCTCTGCCCGGCATCCCCCTTGCCCCGTGAGCAGGGGCCCTGCACACGGCTGGGGGCTCTCAGATGCTTACTCTAAAGGCGTGGATTTCTCCCCCACTGTCCTGGCCTTGGCTTGAAACTTGGAAGCAGATTCTGCAGGCCCTGCCAGGTGGTCACTACTGTGGTGACCCCTGCGAGTGTGGGGGACGGGACTGCCGGCCACCTGAGGCCCTCCCTATCCCACTCAGCTCCCGAGGAGCCCGGGAAACCCCAGGACAGAGCATCACGCCTCTACTGTCACCCCCGCCTCCCGGTGTTTGGGGATGGCACCGTGACTGGCCAGCAGAGCCGTGGGCAGACCAGGCTGCCACCTCCCCAGCCCCCCCGCCGACCAGTGGCCAACCCCAGACAGAGCCTGTGCCTCAGCTGCCTGGGAGCCGAGTGTAGCCTGGGCTCCAGCCAGGGCCAGACCGTGTGGGCCAAGGCCAGCCGGGAACCGGGCTGAGGGCTCTTTCCTCTTGGCAAAGGAAGTGCTGTGGTTACCAGCCCAGGCGGAGGCAGCTGGGGGCCAGGGAGGGGGTCTTGACCTAGACCTCCTCAGACCAAGTGCCCCATCCTGGCACTGCCTGCAGTGGCACCTCCCCTACCTGGGGCTTCAGACTCATGTGACGTAGTGCCATCATGCTCCCAAGGTCGGTCGTGGGCCCGCCATGGGGCTGGTAAGAGATGGAGCATGACCAAGTCTAAGTTGCTGGTCCAGGCCCATAGCCCCAAGTGCTCCGCTGGGGGCTGAACACGGCCTGTCCCCACCCGCGTGCATGGTCAGGGCACCCTGGCCCCACACAGAGCCTGCCTGGGGCCGCTCTGCCAGGCTTCCCATCAGCTCTCATCACAGGAGGCAGCATGAGTTTAGGATGTTCCTGGGGAAGGGACAGTAAGCGGGATGCGGTGTCAGCGGGGCCACCGAGGACTGCACACTGGCCTCCAGTTGGCTGCCCCCACTGCCCAGCCGGCCCAGGCCGGGTTTGCAGCTCTAGATCCAGACCGGGCTCTGGCCCCAGCTCCAGGGCCACCTCAGCTCTGCCCAAGATGCTGTAGAGGCCTGGCTTGGGCGGCCGGCTAGCTGAGGAAATGGTTTCGGGAGACAGCAACACCAGGAGGGCTGTGGCCACCCCCAGGTGGCTCAGGTCCTCGGGCACAGCCCCATCCCTGGGAGGCCAGTCTGACCCGGAGCCCAAGGTCCAGCCAACTAGACCAGGAGGCAGGCTGTGCCTGGACCTGCTGTCCCAGGGTGGCCCAGCAGCGGGAAGACTGGGGAACAGCTGCACAACAGCTGGGCTGGAGTCTCGGTGCCCAGTGAGCCTGGCCCCGGCCCAGGGGTGCTGTGTGGGGAGGCCGGCACACAGTAGGTGAGAGCTGGCCACATGGGCTTACAGCAGAGGTGGCCCTAAGTGGCCAGGACAGCCGATGGGAACTAGCCTGCCTCCTGCCAACCTGTCTTCCAGGCTCCTTGCCATGGATGGCTAAGAAGGGCAACACATGCTGGGCAGCCTGAGGGGTACAGAGCATGCTGGGGCCCTGGAGCCCAGGACTCCCCGGAGAGCCACTCCCTCTGTAAGGGTCGGTCCAGCAGCCGTGCCAGCAGCCCCCATCCAGGGTCCCGAGGACCCACACAGCAGAGGCTGGGCCTGGGCAATCGGATGGCCAGGTGCCCACTGTGCCCCACCCCACTCTCCTGCCAGGCTGACCCTGCTCCGCCCTGTGGCACCAGACTGAAGGCAGACGGAACAAGAGGACGGCAGGGCCCGGGAGCCGGGAGAGGCGGGCGCGGAGCCGGCAGAGCGAGCATTTGTTTTGAGTTAAGTGAGCCGCCGAGACAGCATCCTCCTTTTCTGGAAACTGTGAAATGGGTTGTAAAAAAAAAAAAAAAAAAAAACGCCTCGTTGAGATGGCGGCAGCTCCAGAGAAGCAGCGAGGCCCTTCCCAGGCTCCCGGCTCCCGCTGCTTCCGGAAGCCCAGCTGCCGGGCTGCTGGCATGGGCCTCCCCGGCTCCGAGTCTGGCGGCTGCACCCGCCGCCTGCGTCAGCTCCCACCCCCGACCCACACCCACTCAGGCTCCCCTCTTCCCTCGGCACTGGCTTCCGCTCCACACCTTCCCCGCTCCCCACAGGGCCCGCCCAGGCGGGGGACACCAGGAGTGGCTGGGAACGGAGTGATGGGCGGTCCCAAGCACACTTCCCACGAGCCAGGCTCCCAAGGGAGCTGTGCAGGACGGGAGGGGAGGCAGGAAGGAGGAGCAGCCCCCCTGCTGGCCCTGCCCCACATTCCTCATTCCGGGAAAGCGCGGGGAGGAAGCCGCCCTGCACAGGTTCCTGCGTGGATGCAGAGGGGAGGTGCAGCCTGCTTGGAGGCAGGGGTGTAGCATCTGACCATTTGGCTGCCCAGAAAGAGGAATGAGGGACGGGGTGGGGAGACCAGGCTCTGCCTGGGGTGAGAGGCCACTCTGGGACCTCCGCCCGCACCAGGAGACCAGAAGCTGCTGTGGCAGGGGCTAGAGGCCCAGCCACATGCCACCCCAGTGTGCAGATGTGGCTGGGAGACAGGCAGGTGCATGCTGGGTGTGCAGGTGTTTGCAGGCTCAACCCCCAGATACAACCCAGTGATGCTTCCCCCACCCTGGCTGCAATCACTAGTGGTCCAGACTCGAGATGTGGGGTGCACCTCACACTTGCACACACTCACACTTGCACACACTCACACTTGCACAGAGGCAGGGGAGGGACTGTGTGTGACTCACGGGGTGTGTCTGTGCAAACCTGTCTCTGGGCATATGCACGTGACTATGGGTGTACACACAAGGTCTGACTGTGCTACATGTCTGGGATGAGTGGCTACACACACACACACACACACACGTACACACACACACGCACACACGTACACACACACGTACACACACGTACACACACACACGTCTGTGGGTGTGCGCACCTTGGCAGACTCTGTTCTCGGGCATGGGAGCCACACAGCTGGGCAAGTCCTCAAAGATGCTGCTTCCCAGGGCTCAGGCCTCCACCAGACTTATCCACTTACTGACCTGAACCTTGGCAAGGGCTCTTGGCCTCCGCTGTGCAAAAGGTGGCATTGAAGCGGCACCGGGATGAACAGCTGCCCTGGGTCGGGGCATGTCCCGGCCCACTGGTGGTAGAGGGGGGCCTCAGATCTCCATCAAGTTGCAGCTCCAGCCCCCCAGCCCACTGCTGCATGGGAACCAGACCCTGACCCGGCACAGCTGCTCAGTTCTGAGCTGCGTCTCCTGGGGCAGTGAGACCCCAGACCCTAAAGTGGCCCTTGGGAGTCTTGTAGATTCTGGCGGGCAGCCAACAGGTCACGTGGCCAGGCCCAGCTCCCCTCTGTGGTGGAGAAGCAGGACCCAATGTTTCTCGGGCTGTCCTGGAACCCTCTCCAATCTGAAGCCCTCTCCAGGGCCCGCAAACTGTCCAGATTCGGGGCGGCGCTCTGTCCCGACTGCACACCTGCTGCCACCAGATGTCCGTCTGTCCAGCACTGCTCCCTCCACACCTGGTGGACACGGGGCCCGCCCTGCTTACTGTTGCCTCTTCTGCCCCCACAGCCTGGAAGTGTCTGAGGGTGCCTTGGCCCCCTGGGGCCACCAAACCTCCCCACCACCTGTGGCTCCACGAAGGCAGCTGGACAAGTGGAGACTGAGGCGGGCACAGGGAGAAAGGAGTAACAGAGAAAAACGAGGTGCGAAAGGATGGGAAGCAGTGTGGGGGCAGCGAGGGAGGGGCTGCAGGGAAGGCCAAGAGCATGCAGCCATGGGCTCAGCCCGGGACCTGCAGCAGCCTGTGGGAGGGGCGCCCGCCCAGGAACAGGAGCACGTCACCCGGGAAGCCCCTTGGCTGGCTCAGGAGAACCTTCCAGAAGCCTGCGCTGGCCCAGAGGCAGCGTCTCTCAGGCCTTAATAGGAAAACTCTGTGGTTGCTGTGTACCCAACCCAATCAGCGTGGAAACGGCCCGGAGGTGATGATGACAGGATGGGCTCAGCCACCGACAGCCCAGAACTAATAAAAGAAAAGGAAAATCGGATATAAGTCTGGTTCTTATTAAAAGGGTAAATTTAGCCCTTTGGCTAGGGCGGGGGGGGGGTGGCCGACGCTCCCCATGGCGTCCCTCCTCGGTCTCCCTCCCCTGAGAGCTCTGTGCCAAGTGACTCAGAGCAGCCATGGTGGGGACTGAGGGTGGGGCACAGGCAGGCTCCCTCTCTGCTTCTCCAATTCTTCACACCTTCTCCCATGTCTCTCACCCGCTCTCCTGGGCAGGCGGGTGGCCAGGACCTCCCCTTGCCCCTAAGACACTCTGGAGGGCTGTGGGGCGGTCGGCCAGGGGCGTGGGAATGCAACCAGGGTGGTCAGCGCCACTCCCTCGGCGCCGCCCCCCGCAGCTGGATGAGTCTCCTCGCCCCAAACTGAACGCTTCCCATCCCACCATCTTGAGACAGCCAGCTGCGGGGAGACGGACACCCCGGTGAAGATGTCAGGGGCACACGCACGCACACCCCAGCCCAGGAATCCACCCTGGCCCTCGGGTCCCTGCAGAGCAAGGGAGGCCACGTGGACACCCACCTGCCCTCCTACACTCCGGCCTCTCAACCGGAGCCCCCACCCCCTGCCCTGACCCTGGACATGTCCAGTCTAGCTGTGGACATGCAGGGGACAACACGGCAACGGATGGGGGTGCAAGGCCTCCCTGGGCACAGCAGCCATAGGATGAGCCCCGACAGAGCCGGGCTGTAGGGAGACTCTAGTGCTCTTGGCCCTGTGTCCACATAGCCATGTGGCCCTGCTGGCCAGCCTCTCCCATCCTCCAAGTGGACCAGCCACAGGCTGCGAGCGTGCTCCTAACTCCTGCCACCTGGCCCAAACAGGCGACGTCAATGACACAGGCTCCATGCCAGAGCAGCTGAAGAAAGGTGGGCGGAGGCAGGTGCAGGCTCGGGATGGCCAGGGGGGCAGGCTCTCACCCTCCTGTGTGCTCACCCATCCTTGTGGACATGTACATGTGCATACACCCATCCTCATGGACACACACACGTACATACGCGCATACACCATCCTCACGGACACACACACACGCACATACACCCATCCTCATGTACACACAAACACGCACACACCCATCCTCATGGACACACACGCACACATGCACACACCCATCCTCATGGACACACACACACACACACACCCTCAATGGACACACACACACGCACATACACCCACCCTCATGGACACACATACACGTACACACGCGCATACACCCATCCTCATGGACACACGCATAGACCCACCCTCATGGACACACACACACCCATCCTCATGGACACACACGCATACACCCACCCTCATGGACACACACATATGCACATACACCCACCCTCATGGACACACACACGTACACACACGCATACACCCACCCTCATGGACACACATACACGTACACACGCGCATACACCCACCCTCATGGACACATGCACACACGCACATACACCCATCCTCATGGACACACGCATAGACCCACCCTCATGGACACACACACACCCATCCTCATGGACACACACGCACACACGCACATACACCCATCCTCATGGACACACACGCACACATGCGCATACACCCATCCTCATGGACACACACACACGCGCATACACCCATCCTCATGGACACACGCACACGCACACATTGTTTCCCAGCCTGGCCTGCCTGGAGGTGTGAGGCCCATGGTCTCCCTGGCAGGGTGGGGCGCTCTGCCCACAGCCATCCTGGGCCGTCCTCGATGGTTCTGTGGGTAGTTGCAGCCCCCAGAGCTGGGGTCCCCGCACCCAGGTGAGAGAAACTATGGTCTGTGTCAGTCAGCTTAAGCAGGGCTGGGGGGTAGGTCAGGGAGCAGGGACAGCTTCGCACGCTGTGATCACCACATCCAGCATGGAGGTGGCTATGTTGGCCGGGAGAGCTCCACCTCCCACCGAGGGGACTCAGGTCACTCCTGCCCCTGGTGCTAAGAAGGACCAGGTGCCAAGAGCCCGACTCCCAAAACGAGGTTGGCTCAGGCTGTAGTATCCCAGGAAGGGGCTGGGGCCAGCACAGGTCACTGCAGGCTGAAAGGGCAGGGACCGGCCCCCACTAAAGTGCCATTTTCTGTTATTTCCCAGCCAACTGCTTTTGGTACAGCTGGCTCCAACCACATGGGGCCTCGCGCTCGCGTTACCCTTCCAGGGGGACGTATGCCCCCTGCCAAACTCTGTGTCTCAAGGCGTGGTTCACACCCAGCCACCTTCAAAAAGCCCAGCCTGCCCTCCTTCACAACGAAGGTCCCCCTTGGAACTCCCCTCCAGGCAGCACCCTGCTGCGACCCCAAGAGGCTGAGCACACCTGTCCCCTGCTGTGTGGCACCGAGCCAGGCATGGGCAAACCCAGGGTCCAGGAAGATGGGTGGAGGAGAGGAAGGAACCAGGAAGCTGCCAGCGGACGGGTCTCAGAGGGTGGGGGTCACACGGCCAGGTGCCCTCCTCCAGCTCCCTCGCCCGGGCCCGTCCCCAGCCCCCCGCGCAGCATCTGGTGGCCCTGGAAGAGGGGCCGGGGCGGGAAGGGCAGAGCTCCAATGGGAACCAGGGGGCAAACGTGCAGAGTGCACGGCTGCTGGCGAGGACAGTACGCCGGGGCGGGTAACAGCTGCTGGCGAGGATAGTACACCGTGGCGGGTAATGGCCAGTCGGGTGGGGATGCGACAGGCCGGGGTGGGAGACGGAGACCACACCGGGATCCAGGGAACACACAGGACTTCTCAGCGCAGCGTGGCAGCGATCAGGGGAGTGGGCACGGCTGGGCCCAGGGGGTGCCTGCCGCCTCCGCCCCCAGCCTCACCCCGTCCCGGGGCCTTGGGGTTGGGGACACGTGGTGAGGCTGTGACGAACCCCGGGGAACCTCGGTCCCTCCTGCCCCCGACGGCCACACCAGGCCCTCCCGACGGCCAGCGCTCCTGCCGCACGGACCCACGTCCTCACGACACACACGTTCATCTTATTCATCTTACTTTTCACCTCAGCCTCTGAGGTAAAAACTCGGCGTTCCTAGGAACTCTGCAGGGGAGCGGGCGAGGTGGGTGGCTCAGGCAGGGACCTCTGGGATGGGGTAGATGGGGCTGGCCGAGGGGGTTTGGGGCCCAGACGGGAGGTCCGAGGGAGAAAAGGCCCTGGTGAGGTCCGGCAGCTCCTAGTGCCCTCAGCACCCAACCCCACAGCCCGAGCTCCGCCTCTGTGGGGTCCGGGCCGTGATGCTGGCCGCCTGCATGCCCTGCCGGCCTCACGGACCACTGGGAGAACCAGCGCCCTCCTGAGCCTCTGCTGCCCAGACAAGACCTGCCCCAGAGGCCAGGGCGCCAGGCATTGGCCCTCGCTGAAGGAGGTGCCCCCACACCGTTGCCCCTGCCCCAGCACAGGTCCTGCCATGGGAGGAGCCGCTCTGCTGCCAAGGCGGACATCGAGGGGGCCACGGCTGGTCCTGGGCAGGTGGCTTGGGCTGCTGTGCGGGGGCTCCTTGGCACGGGTCAGGGCTCAGAAGGCACCCCCACAGCTTCAGAGGAGAGTCTAGAGACACGCTCAGACCACATGGATCCAGCAGGCCAGGTCCAGGGCCAGCTCCCCATCCCAAGGGCACCCAGGTGGGCTGCCAGCGTCAGCTCAAGGTGGGCTGGGGGAGCCCCCGGGGTGGCTGACGCACCTGCGGACCCCACCCAGGCAGGCAGCTGATGCAGAAACGGAAGGAGAAAGCGCTGCCCAGACCAGAGGACACAGCCGCCCCAGCACCCCATAGCGAGCCCTGCGCCCCATCCAGAGAAGGACACCTTAACCCGGCTGGTACACGAACAGTTGCTGAGTGCCCATGACAGGCCAGGGTCACGCACCCGCGCCCTGAGCCCAGCCTGGAGTGCAGGGAAGCCACAGGTGGTCCGAGCGGGCTGCCTCCCGCATGGGCCCTGGGACCTTGCTGCAGCCCCCGCGGCCTTGTGGCTGCTTCGGGGTCTGCTCACTCCACCAAGGCAGGACGTCTGGGAACGGACCTCCCACAGGTGCTGAGACGATACTGCACCTGCGTGGACAGCACTGCCCTGGCTGGGGTGGGGACGGTCCACGGGTATCCAGGGGCCCGCTGCTGCGGAGGGGACAGCCCAGAGTGGAGGCGGTGGTGTGGTGTGGGGGGAAGACAGAAGGGGGAGGAAGAGGGGTGAGGGACGAACAGGGCCAGCCTCGCCTCAGATGTCCAGGACCAGGCTGGCACGGGGGTGCAGAGGCTGAGAAGGAGCGAGGCTTCCAGTGAGCCCGGGGCTTACGCTTGGCCAAGTCACAGGGAAGGAGGCCGAGGGCATGGGGCAGAGGAAAGGCACAAACCCCCGAGGGCAGGTCTCCCCCAGCCAGCAGCGAGCGCCCGGGGGGGGCATGGTCAGCACAGGGGAGGCAGCCACAGCCACGGGTGGGGTCCCGACGGCCCACTCTGGGGTTGGGGAGCGTATGGCTGCTGTGGGGGGCCTCAGAGAAGGCCCTGATAACCCTGGACCCTGGTGTTCACCTTTATGTAATTGGCGCTTGGTGTGGGCGGGACCTGGACTCGTTTCTAGAAAGAGGATGTGGAGGAAGTGACACCCACCCACTGCCCCCGCAAGGTGAGGCCGCACCCGCACCGAGCTTCCGTCCTGCGCTCTCTCACTCTCTCCTTCCAGCCAGCAGCCGGCAACACTCCCACACCCACGACAGCCGGAGGGTGGCCTCTGGAGGGGACTCCCCACAGCTGGGTCTGGATATGTCCGAGGCCCCAGCCAACACCTGGCCCTGAGTCAGATTCCCGACTCACAGAAGCTGTGAAATAATCAATGTTCGCTGTTTTAAGCTACCCAGTTGTGAGATCATGTGGGAGAGAGCCCCAGCTACTCATGCAGGGAAGAGACAGAGCCACAGGGTGGGGCGGGGGGCGCGGACGGGGAAAGAGCCCCCGGGAAGGTACGGGAAGGGCCAGGAGGGAGAGTCGGTGACTCCAGACAGACCTGCCTCGTGCACGAGTCAGCAACGCAGGCTGAAGCGTGGTGGCTGCTCCCTGCCCTGGCCGACGGGCCCCAAGGGGTCTCTGACCCCCAGCCGCCTCCCACCTGAGGCCCTCCAGACTTAGGCACTTTGGATTTCTGCTAAGTATTTACCATCAAACTCTCAACTTGTTAGAAGGATGGCATGGCCTCACATACACTTTTTGAATTTTCTTTGATTTTATCTGTATTTACACACACTAAGGGCTTTTTAAGAGTTAGCCCAAAAATGCATTACAATTTAAGTTAATTTTGGTATTCAATTAAAATAAATTAAAAGTTTATTTTTAGGACACCCAAAGGGATATGAAAACTCTCAGAGAGGGGACTGGCTTCCAGGAAAACTGCCCACAAGGCGACCTGCTGGCCTGGAGTGACCAGGGCCCACGGCAGGGCTGGCCGGATGGGGTAGCTGTCCCACTACGGAGATCCGGAGGATCCTGGGGGACCACAGAGCTGGGCTCTTTCCTGCCACTCCACAGCCAGCTCACCGGCCAGGGACGGGGGACCTGCCATCAGGCCTCCTGGGGGTCACCAGCTGAAGCCAGAAACCAGGAGGCCACGGGGCCCTGGTCCTGCCCTAATCGTGGCCACACTTGAGTCCCTGTGCGCCTGTGTGTCTCGCTGAATGCAAATGCTTCCTGTGGCAAAGCTACCCTCGGATGCAGGGATACGATGGTAAGCGCTGAGCTGGAGGGAAGAGTGACCAGGGTGTGGAGGGGCAGGGGCCGGGGCGGTGAGGGGCTTGTCGGGAACGACCTTGCTGAGGCGTGCAGGTGTGGGTAGAGGCAAAGGCCCAGAGACCCAGGGAGGCTGGGTTGGGGCCCCCAGAGCTCAAGGACTATGCTGAGGCCTCCCTGGCAGGGTGGGCTGGGCAGAGTGGAAGGGGAGCTGCCTGGAGGGCCTCAGGTCTGGAATGCCCCAAACCTGACCACCCCACACCCTCTTCGGGTGGCCAGCAGCTCACCCGTCTTCGTGGGTGCTGGGTAGAGAGGCCTCTCAAGGAAGGAAGGAAGGAAGGAAGGAAGGAAGGAAGGAAGGAAGGAAGGAAGGAAGGAAGGCAGGCAGGCAGGCAGGCAGGCAGGCAGGCAGGCAGGCAGGGGTGGGGCTGGCTGACGACCTCAAGGACCCTGTTCCCCCCCAACCCCACCCTCCCTGATCAATTTGAATGCAGTGGAGGATGGAGCCAGCAGTGCTCCCACCCACAGGGCACCGGTGCCTCCCGTCTCTCCAGCCTCACTCTCAGGGGCCTGGGCTGACGGCACGTCCAGCTCCTGCTGCCTGTCTGGGGTCAGGGTTTGGGAGCTGCCGAGAAGGGGAGCTGCTCAACTGGGGGTGGCGAGTCCTCCTGGGGCCCCACTGGGCATGCCCAGGTGGCGCAGACCCTCGGCCTCAGCCTGGGGCAGAGACAGGACACAGGCACCTGCAGGCACGTGATGAATGGACTCACGCAGAGGACGGCTGCGGGACTGAGAACAAGGGAGCGTGACCCCAGAGAGAGGGACCCCTCAGGCCCGAGGGGAGGCGCACGGGGGCCCCAGGCCTTCACACAGACATATGGACAACAAAGACCCAGGTGCGGCTCCGAAGCCCTCCTTTCATGGGAGGGACCTAGAGAGGTCTGAGACCCGCCCTGGGGGAGCAGAGTGTTTGATGAGCGGCCATCCCCACCCCTGGACTCCGGGGAAGCATAGCCTGCTTCATTGTCCCCCAACCCCAGGCAGAGAGCCCCCACCCCCGCCCCGAGACTGGGGGGATACGGGGACATCTTTGCTCTTCCAGCTCTGTGGTCCCATCCCACATGATCTGCTGGTGTCTCCCCTGGGCCAGTCCCCCTCTGCCACTGGGAAGCTCTCTGAAGTCCCAGAGCCCAGTAGACCCGGAAGGCCACGAAGGCCCCCCAGCACCTGGGCCCCACCTGGGGGTCCAGAGCGTCTGCACTGCCCGTGGTGCCAGGACCCGTGGTGCCAGGACCCGTGGTGCCTCGACCCGTGGTGCCTCAGAGCAGGTCCACATCTGCCCATCCCAGTCACATCCAACGCCCCAGGACATGCTGGAGGGTGGGCGTCCACCTTCACACCAAAACCATGCAAGCCCCTGCACAGGTAGGGGTAAGTGGGGCAGCTGGACCCCCGTGCCAGGGCACAGGAGCCAAGGGCCCAGGTTTCCTAGTTCTACGGCCAGACTAAGGCCTCAAGGCCACAGAATCCCTCGATGGACACAGAGGAGAGGGCCTGGGCCTGAGGCATGAGGTGGGCCCTCAGGAGTCTCGCTGCCTGCTGCCCAGGGGGGAGGCCCCACCAAGGGTCCCAGGTACAGCCGCCTCCTCCCCAGGCCTCTGAGTCTCCGCCAGGGAAGGGGCGTGCACAGGCCATGTGCCTCCGGCAGCTCGTGCAGGCTCCTAGGACCCCCACAGGTGACACGGACGGCCACAGTGCTCCTGGGAGGGCACCGGGGCCACAACTGCATCCCCCAGTCCCACTCAACCCTCCAGCAGGGCAGGGCAACTGCCCATTTTAGAGGTAGGAGGCCTAGACTCAGGGAGGGAAGAGCAGGGGCCACCGATCCCCACCTTAGGCCGGGGCAGCTGCAGCCAAGGTGGCTTGGCAGGGCCCCATTACACACGCTCCCCTCAGCTCGGGCAGGCGCTGAGGCCAGGTGCTCTCCCGGGCCTGAAGACTGGAAGGCAAAACCCACAATGTGAAGGGCCTGAGGCAGCGCTGTTGCCTGGTGACATGAGTCCCAGGGCCATGGTCTCCCCCTCGCTGGCACAGCCCAGCCTGCTGGGGAGGTGCTTGCAGGGCCGGCCTGTGGATGGAGACGTCGCAGAGGGTGAGGCAGCTGATTCACACCCGGCCTTCTCCCTGGGCCCGATTTCCCTCTGGTCAGTGGCAAGGGGAGCAGGCCCTTGGGCGGGGAGAGGCAGCCCTCCCCAGGTGTCCCTCCTCACCCACTAGTGCTCTATGACCCAGATGAAGCCACTGGCTCTTGCTCCCAATCCTAGCTGCACCCCCGCGACCCCGCGTGGACAATCAGGGAGTCGCCTCACAGCCCCAGCCAGGGCCACGAGGTGAAAAGGAACTGGCCCCCACCCTGAGCCCGCTCCTGGCCCTCCAGAACCCTCCTTCACAGCTGTGGGCTGCCTCCCTCCATTCACACGCACTTCCCCCCTTCCCCAGGCCACTCAGCCGGCGCAGCTCCAGCCTTCGGGGGACAGGAGCCCCACCCCCACTTCTGTCTCCCACCACCTCGTGTGGCGCTAATCAGGAGAGGACAGCGCCATCTGCCAATCCCCTGGGCTCTGACACCCTTTAAGGTGTAGCGCACACAGCCTCAGGAGCCGCCATGACAACTGAAGATGCTACACGAAGGCCAGGGGATGCTGCCATGTCCCCCAGGCAGGTGCCCACGCAGCCTGTGGCCCCACGCCATGGTCCAGTGTGGGGGGAACACCTTGATTTTTAATAAAGAGACCAGAGACCCTGGCTGGGTCTCTCACCACTGCCACCTCCTAACTTAGTTTTCCCAGAGTTAATCGTTCATCTTTTCCGGTGTGGGGGTGAAATCCTAGGGGAAAAGCAGAGCTCTTCACACCCACACACGCGTGCCTGTGCGCGTCACCTGAGCGTGGATGGGCACTTATGCACTGGGGCAGGAGACGGAGGCCAGTGTGGCTCAGCCCAGCTCTGGGGATAGGAAGGGACAGAAGGACATTTCCACCCCCAGACTCAGGAGCCTGCAGTCTCCCAGGAAAGGTGGCTGATATCAGGGGAAAGGCACTGGCCCCAAACAAGCCAGCCAGGGGGGCTGGGCAGGGGCTGCTGCCAGGCTCTGTGGGACAGACCCAGGTGGGTGGTCAGGGCTGGGAGGTCATAGAAGGGGACAAGAAGGGCTGCAGGCCAAGAACAGCTCAGCTGGTGTGGGGCATGGAGGAAAGGAGAGGTGGGCATGGAGCAGTCGGGGACCCCTCTCCACTTAGGCAGAGTCACACGGGGGCTCTGAGAGGATGTGACGCCGGGATCAGAACTCCAGGGTGGCAGGGGCAGGCACTGGGGATTGTAGAAGCTGCCCAAGTAAAGGGCCAGGCAGGGGTAGGCCCCAGGAGGGGCAGGGCACGGTGGGCAGAGACGGTACTGAGGGCAGCTGAGAGGTGGGGGTGCAGGGTGGGAGCCTGGGGGGTGGGAGGCAGGTGGGGCCTGGGGTAGCCGAGCATCTAGGAACCTCTAGGACCCCAGGCGCAGAGGCCTGGGGTGGAGGTGGCCACACAGGACAGGAAGCAGTGCCCCATGCAGGCAGCGGCTTCCAGGACAACCAGACAGCCTCAGGGCAGGCCCGGGACCAGACCTGGCCCCGAGGCATTCGCCACGCACTGGAATTGATCTTGACGGGAATGTCCTCCTCCTGCCGAGCAAGAGCTCAGGAAAGGGCAAGGCCAAGTTCAGCTGGAGCCCGAGGACACGGTCCACAGCCACACAGGGGCAGCAGGAGGAAGGGGGCCGGGGAAGGCGCTGAAGGGAGGCTGAGCCACAGAGGGTCATGTGGATCTGGGGCTCTGCTCCCTCCTGCAGGTGGCCAGGAACCAGGAGCCAGGAGACGGAGGATGGAGCAGTTGGGGAGGACGTAGGGGGCAGACAGGTGCCCGTGCCAGTCACTAAGCAACCTGGCTTTCCCAGGGGCCACTGGAGTGGGACTCCTTGTGGGCCAGTTGTGAACAGTGTGAGTGTGTGTGTGCAGGTGAACACCTGCCTCATGGTGTGAGCACACAGGAGCAGGTGTATGTTGCCACATCTGTGAGTGTGAGCAGCTGTGAGCTTGGTCAGTGAACCTGTGGCTAGACCCCGCTGGGATATCCTTACTGGGGTCTGCAGAGTGGGCCTCACCCAAGAGGGGGCCACAGCTCTACGTCCACAGAGCCAGGAAACCCCTGCCAGGCGGCAATGTCTGTTCATGCCTGAGAGGGGACCTGCCCCACAGCGCAGCCCCTTCTCCCACCCACCATGGCACCCCCATCCTGGGCTCAGGTCTCTTGGGTCTCCGGTCTGGGCATCCCCCATCTCTTCTTCCCTGGATCTGCTCACTCTCACCCATGCCATGTGTTAAGAACAGGAGGCGCCCCTGGTTGCAGAAGTCTCAGGGGAAGAAAGCAAAGCTTCAACTGTGCTCCAAGGACCGGAGAGAGAGGGAGTCGCACTGAGACCCGACTTCCCTTGAAGACGCCAGCAGGCTGGTTTCTTTCTTACTTAATATGGCTAAGGCTTCTCTTTTTTGGTGGGGTACCCCAAGAAGGCACTGCCCCCCAATGTCACCCTCCGCTTCAGGGAGCCCAGCCTGCTGCTCAGAGGACCCTATTGGAAGCACACCCATCCCCCATTTCTGGAAATTTCCACTGGAAAACCATGTCCCTGCACTGAGCTGGGGCAAGGGGCTGCTCTGCCGTTCCTCACAGTTGCAAGTGACAGTGGGTCTCCCACAGACCCCGGAGAGGGGCAGCACTTCCGGCCAGCCTCAGAGTCCCCGCATCTCAAGACACTGGACTTTTTCTTGGGGGATCCTAGGGGAGAGAAGGGAAGGCAGGAACCCAGCCCACCTGTTTGTCCCTCCCTTCCTCGCCACAGCAGGTCAGAATGAAAAAAACCCACTTCCTGGCTGATCCGATCGGGAACCTAATCGTGTGGACAGCTGCAGCATGCCAGCCCGGCTGGCTCCCAGCTTGGGCGCTGGACGCCTCCCCACCAGACCCGAGGCTCGCTGCAAACCCCGCGCCGACCTCATAACCAGGACCTGGGCGCCGCCTGCCCCCAGCGCCTGCCACCACATCCCCTCAGCGCACACCTAGCGCCCACCATCCCTGGATTCTCCCGCGGCAGCTGCTCTGGGGCCACGGGAGGCAGTAATATTATAGATTACAACAAACAGGGGCAGCCCACTGACAAATAGGCCTGCGTGAGCGAAACGGTATATTATCCCATAAAAACGTCAGCGGGCGGAGCCCGAGCGGAGTGCGGTCCCACGCCCGAGGCCCTTCCAGGCCCCATCCTTTGCAGAAGGGCCTGGGCTGCGGGTGATTTTCCAGACACTGCACGCTGGCTCTGATGTTTTTTTTGCTTGTTACACTGTGTCTTCGGTGAGGGGAAATGAGGTCCCAGAGGTTAATGGGGACCGGGGAACCCCAGGGAAGCCGTTCCCAGGTGGGCGGGGAGCGGGGGCTGGGAGGGGGAATGCAGAGCAAGTAACCCACCTACCCAACAGACAGGGGCGTGCTCTGAGTCCAAGCCCATTCACAGCACGTCTGCGAGGTGGGGGACACAAGGGGAGGCCATCTCCCCTCAAGGAGGCTGTCCAGGAGCCAAGGGTTTCGGACCCTCCCCTGGACAGGCCAGGACGAGCCTGCCTCCCTCCTCAGGGGAACAAGGCAGTGCCTGTCTTGAGGGAGGGCTTCTTTTTGGAAACCTCTCATTCAGGATGAACCCATTAAGAAGGCAGGCAGCTTCTGTTGTTTGAGGGTGTCAGGAGGGCAAGGGGGCACCCCAAAGGCTGGGCGGTATTTTCTCGAGGGACTCCCTAGGCAGAGGCTGGCCCTGCTGCTACCCAGGAGGAGTCCCTGTATCGCTTCCACAGCAGCTGATGGGCAACCAGGCCCCTCTGAGAAGACCACTCCAAAAGAGGGCATATGCCATGTACTGAGCTCAGGGGGTTGGGGGAGACTCTCCGGTGGGGCGTTGGCCAGGACAATCACAGTAGCTGCCTCACAGGATCCAGAGGGCAGAGGACAGAGGACAGGTCCCATTTGTTATGGGCCTATATTCAGGTATTTATGGTAGGGAGGAAGCCAGACCGGGGGGCCCAGAAGCCTCTTCCAGAAGGAAGGGCAGGGGGGCACGATGGAGCAAGGCTTTCTTCCACCAGGAAAGTATTTATTCCCAGCGGCACTGGCTGAACTCTATCTGTGCTTGGGAATTCCCAGCCCAGGGACATGGACAGTCTCGGGCTCAGACCCTGGAGCTAGATCAGGGTATTCTGGGAAATATAGTCCTTTGGGAGTTAGAAGGCCCTGCCAGGATTGGGGGCGGGGGAGGCAGATTGAGTTAAGAAACAGCCAAGGAAGAGGAGGGAGTAAAGGGAGTTACCCTTACTCCAACCCCAGGGTGGATGTTTAAAACTCCTGGGAAGTGGCTATATATAAACATCTGCTGCCTCAAAAGACACCAGAGGCCGGGCACGGTGGCTCACACCTGTAATCCTAGCACTTTGGGAGGCCAAGGTGGGCAGATTGCTTGAGCTCAGGAGCTCAAGACCAGCATGGGAAACATGGTGAAACCCCGTCTCTACTAAAAATACAAAAAATTAGGGCGTGGTGGTACATGCCTGTAATCCCAGCTACTTGGGAGACTGAGGCACGACAATGGCTTGAACCAGGGAGGCAGAGGTTGCAGTGAGGCAGTGAGCCAAGATTGTGCCACTGCACTCCAGCCTGGCAGACAGAGCCAGACTGTCTCAAAAAACAAAAACAAAACAAAAACAAAAACAAAACACACCAGACGATGCTACTATTCTAGCTTCAGATCATATCCACAGTGGCTTTTCTGGTCAAGTAGTTCTGGGGACTCTTATTTTCGTGGGGAGACCTAAAAAGTCCGCAGAGAGGAGGCACCCCAACCAAACCACCCAGGATGAAAGCAGCATTCAGTGATTCCCCACGACTGTTCTCCGGTCCCTGCCTCCAGACACACAGAGAGAAGGAGAACAAAGGTGCCCGCCAGGGGACAGAGGTGCTACCTGCCACGCCTCAGCCTCCAGGAGAGACTGCAGCTGTCCCAAGCGCTCGCACATTATTTATGCTCACAGCCAGCTCTGATGACATATGTAAGTTGACAGCGAACATCCTATCAACTTGCTGGAGTGTATCCTGATTGTTAAAACACTCTTAAAGGTGTACAATCATTTATCAAATTAAAATAGCCGTGCCTTGCCAGTTCTTTTTCTGCCTTCCTGGATGGAACCCCCAATAGTCTCCATCCTCCTCCAGCCTCCTGGGTAATCTGCCCTTGCACCCAGGCCCTGCTTCTCAGGGGACAATGACCCTGCTGCCAGGAGCCCCAGCCTCGGCATCCCCTCCCCACTCTGGCCCAGGCCAGGGCAAGACCACTAATCGCCAAGAAGTGACAAACGCCAGAAGCCCCACCAATTAAATTTAAACTCATGCAAAGCTCAGTGGCTAGTAAATTATTATTTTTATTAGCTTGAACCAAGTTCCCGTAAGAGAGAAAGTCAACTTGCTCCCATGAATGGCTCTTGTATAATTTATTTAACTCTGTGCTCTTTGCCAAAGCCTGGAATATTTTTAGCTCGTTCTGTTGTTGGATTTGGCTTTTTTATGTGTGTTTCTGAGGGGTATTTTTAGCCTCATCCATGTTATTCTAACAGCCTCCTATGCATTTTGTCCTGTCTGTGGGGGCTGTTGAACCCTGTCTCACAGGGAGATGAGAGAAGATTTCTAAGAATAACCGGGGAACGTTTGGGGGGACGCGCGTTTTCCAGGGGAGATGTGCTATTTGCACAACGCCGTTCTCTGCCTGGCTCACTAATTTGCCTTATTACTCACGTGACCTGGATATTCCTACAGAAAGCGCGGCGGCTCCGTACCGGGATAATCAGACGTGGTGGCAGCACGAGCCCCACTGGGGGAAACCCACATTCCAAACAGGGCTTCGGCGGGGCGGGCGTGGCGGGCCACCGCCGCCGGTCCACGCGGCCCCACATTCCCGGATTCCCGTAGCTCCTTTGGGCTCGCGGCAACTTTGATGTCTAACTCTGTCACTTATGGAGCGGGACGGGTGACGTCTTCGGAAAGTAACTCTTTTCACACCTACTTAATGTTGCTAACTGTTGCAGAAACACTCCATCGTGTCATGGAGTTAATGAGGTATTTAAGAAAATGTATTTTTTTCTTTACAAAAAAATATCACATGATGAGGGAGAGGAGCCTGTGATGGGGTCTTTTCACACTAGGAAATTATCTTTTTTTTTCCTCTGCCAAGTTGGGGGTATTTTTTGGTTGTGTTTTTTGGTATTTTCTTTTTCTTTTTTTTTTTTTGAGATTGGCGGTAGGAAGCACTTTTTCAGCAGGAAAGAAGTAGTTTGCAGTTCTCCCACCAGAAGGAGCCTTCGCCTTTCTCCCACAATAACCCCAGGCTCAGAGCACCTGGTTTCCCAGGCTTCAGCAATTTACACCCCAAAGAAGACAAGAGAAGGGGCGGGAGGGGAATCTGAGCAGATTATTGAAACCAAGATGAGAAATAGTGCCTTGGTGGAGCCCTGGCCCCTGGAGAGGGGAGGCGTACAGACCAGGACAGGAGCGGGCCCAGCCAGAAGCCAGGACGGGGGGCTGTCTATGTGGGCCTCTCCCCAGGCCGGGGCTGCCTCGGATCACACACACACTCCCAGCAGAGGCGCCAGCCCCAGTGGCTCCAGGCAGTAGCACTGATGAAAAATCTTGGGTTGGTTCTTGTTGATTTCTCTTTTCTCCCCCCTAGATTTCACAGCTTTGCCTCCGGACCATCTGTATTAGAGACAAAATCTAACACTGAACTAAAAATAATGATTCCAAACATTTTAATTGCACCTTTTGGTGACAAGGTTACTGGAACAGCACTTTACCATAAAACCTGCGGCCCGAGTCTAAAGCTCCCAGCACTTTCATTTTTAGAAAAACAATGGAAGAAGCCTGGGAGCCCCATGTCCCCACCCATCAGGGCCCCTCAGACTGACATTCTGAAAGTGTTGGGTGGGGTTGGGGAAAGGCAGCCCCGGCAGCCAGCAGGAACAGCCTCAGTCCAGCCGGGGTGGCAGTGCCAGGCCAGACAGGCACAGGAAGAGCAGCCCAGCAAAAAGAGGCAGCCTCATGGAGGCCAGGGCCTCCATCCCCGATGGTTGGATTCTACTCCCAGACAGGCGGGAAGAATCCGGGTCAATTTTCCTTTCCAAGGGGCAGTCAGCAGAGGGAGGGGCGGGCTGGCTGCAGCTGTGGCCTGCGGACTGAAGCCATCCAGGAAAATGGGAAGCAAGGCAGCCAAACCAGCCATGTGGAAGTCCGCACACAAGACGCAAAAAAATTGTTTAACGTAATTATGCTTTTTTCTCTCTAAACTAGATCATATATAGACACAGACCAAAGCAAAGTGATCTGGGGTATAATTCTTTTTTTAAAAAAATACATGCAGCTAAATTTTAAAAACCAATACAATATTCTGGCTCTTAACAATTTCAAAAGGCTTTCTTTCAGCTACAGATGCTTCTAGCTGGATGTCTGCATGACCAAGTTGCCCATCACAAATGGGTTGAACATCTCCGAGCACAAGCGTTCTCTTCGGTCCGCAGGGGGGAGGAAATGGGGCCTCCAGGGACGGGGACACATGACCCTTCAGACCCTGAAAGAGGCAGCCCCGAGGGGCCTCCAGCGCCCTCTAGAGCACCCTGCGCTTGGGGAGGCTGGGAGGACCTGGGATCAAGAAGAAGCAGGGAGGACACAGGCCAGGCCAGAGCCCAGAGCCGTTTCTCACAGCCCTCCGGGGCCTACACGCCAAGAACCACGTGGCCAAACTTAGAATGAGCAAGACAAAGGGCTAGGCCACCCGACCAGGCGCCCACCTACCCGGGTGCTGCCTAGACCTGGAAGTAAGGGCAGAAGGGGGAGAATGCAGCTGGCCTGGACCTGGCCAGGATGTGAGCTGGGGCATGGGGTCAGGGAGAGTGCTGACCTGACCTGATGGGGAATTTGGCCTTGCCTCCCGGAGGGGACAGCCCCAGCCTGCCTGTGCACCAACATGCAAGCCTCAGTGTCAGGGGCCCCTGTCTCTGTCGTGCTGTTACTTGCCAGGCTGGAGGGCACGGTACAGTGGAGGTGGGGTGCACACAATCCCCCTACCCCCAGTGGGGGCCACCAGCCTTCAGCCAGAAGAGGGGCTGGTGGGGAGGCTGGCGAGCTGTCCCTTCTGCCAGGGCGGCCCCAGCCTCAGCGCCCCGTGCACCTGAGCCGGGTGGGCAGCAGCTCCCATGCAGGGGCAGGAAGACAAGCTTGATAACCACAGGGACAGCAGAAGAGATATTTTTAAATCACCCATCGCTCAGGCAAGTGCTTTTTCTCCTTCTCTTTCCAGTTACAAATCTAGAGGAGAAAAAAGAAAGGGAGAAAAAGAAGGAAGGGCAACAGAGAGAAAAGGGCAGCCTCGCCAAAGGCCCAGGCAGGGAGGGAAGCGGGTGTGGGCCAACCCGGGAAGTGCTGGGGAGACCCCTCCACTGGGCGGCTCCCCCATTCCAATCTCCTGGCGCTGCAAATGCTGGAAGCCCGTTAGCAATTAAGCAATTTCAAGTTTGTTTTTTTCTAGAAAATGTACGTTTTTCTTTGAGTGCCCTCCCTTTTTCCGACGTTTTCCTTTCTAGCCCCGTCTCTGCCATCCGTTTTAATCCACACACTAATTGTAATCCCATTAAAGCAGATATAATTTTATTAGTATTCACAGTTCATCAAGCTACCAATAATAACTGTTACTGCCAATTTTGTTTTTAAAAGCGACAAACATTTCTGATGTTTAGAACAAACTGTAAACAAAAGCCACCCATGTACCAGGGTGACCCGGCGGGTCCCTAGCGCAGCCCTGCGCGCTTCCCCCGAATCTACCCGCGCCGCCTGGTGACCTCTAGGGCTTCAGGCGTGGTAGCTGCCCCTACCCTGACCTCCCTCGACACTCATATCAAAGCCACCGGGAAGAGGGCTGCCCTGGAGGCCTGGGCCCGCTCTGCCAAGGACTGATCCTCTCGGGCAGGGAGTCAGAGGGGACCGCCCGAGAGGATCCGTCCCTGCGAGGCCCAGCACGGCGCCCCACGCTCTCCTCTTGGAGCAAATCCGCCTCGCTCTCCTCTTGGAGCAAATCCGCCGCACTCTCGCCTGCACCGAAATCCTGAGCGCCGCCCCGCGCCACCCCCAGCCCGCGCCCGCGCTGCCCTCCTCCCCGGGCCGCAGGCTGAGAGGCTGGGCCGCACTCTGGCCACGCTTTGTCCGGCTTTAGCGGGATACCAGAGGCACTCGTTAAGGCAAATGCATCCCTGCAAACCCATTCTCGCCCTGACACTTTAAGGCTTTATATAGAAACAGGATTTGCTCGTCTTACACCAGCAGTCCCTATTAACGCTCGCCCGGCGCACACACCACTCTAATCCGCGAGGCCGCGGCGTACCCTGGTCCCCTCCCCCCGCCACAACAGCCGTTTTGTTTCCGCAGAAAGCGCCTCGTTGTCCCAGCCCCGGAACGTCTTAGGGAGGTGAATGCAGAATGCAGAAAAGAGGTTTCCGTGGAATTTAGATCTGCAGGAGGGGGCGGGGGAGGGTGGCGAGGCGCGGAAAGGCTTTAATTTCAGCCGGCTCCGGGGCTGCCCCTCCGAGACCCCCGGGGGAGGGTGGCCAGGGAAGGGCCTCTCTAAGCCGCGGCGACGCAGCTTGGGGGGCTGGCGGGACGCGCGGCCCCGCTCAGCGCCCAGGCAGCCACCGCGGCCGGGGCCGGGAAATGAAACCAAAGCTTCTCTGCTCCCGGGAGCGGAGGGGTGGGCGCCCTGTTCCGCTCTCGAACGCTCCCGTCCCGCGCCCGCCCCGGCCGAGCACTGACCTGTGTGCGAAGCCATGGGCAACGGCGACGGGAAGTACTTTCCCGGCTGGAAGTGTGCGGGGGGCTGCGCGGCGGGCCCAGCCGGGGCGAGACGCGCGGCGGCAGCGGCGCTGCGGTGGCCCAGGCTCCCGCGCTCCGACAGCAGATGCGGCGGCGGCGCAAAGTCGCGGCCATCCATGCCGGGCCCCGGCCCCGGTCCGCCGCCGCTTCCTCGGAGCAGCGCGGCCGGGGCCCGGGGGCGGCTCGGCGCGCGGGCGGCGCAGAGGCGGCGGCGTCCGGGGTCACAGGCGGTGGTGGCGGCGGGGCCGGTCAGCACGCGGGAGGACTGGGCTTCTCGGCGGGCGGCCGCGCACCGAGCCAGCGGCCGCTGTGCGGGTCCATGGTCTGTGGAGGCAAAAGCAGAGGAGACACGGGTGACTGGGGGGCTCGGCTCGCCCGGGGGTCCCCGCCCCGCCCGCTCACCCACTCCCCCCACCCCCCACCCCCGCCGGCCCGAGCGAGCGGCGGCCAGGCCGGGTGGCGGGGCCGGGGCGCTCGGTGTCTCCCCGCCGCACGCGCGCGCAGCCCAGCACCCGGGGCCCCGCGCGCGCACGCACCGTCCCGGCCACGCTTGGCCCGGGGCAGCCGGGGGAACCCAGCCGCACTGCTCGCCGCCTCCCGTTCTCGTCCCCGCGGGTCCCTGCAGCTAGGGCGCCGCGGCGAAGAGGCTGCTGGCTCTGCTGGGTGATAAAAACCCAAATCTGCGAAGCCATCACGCACACTCGCACACACACACACACACACACACACTCACACGCACACCCTCTCCCCTCCCCCGCTGCCCAAAGGTGTCTCGGAGGAAAAGGCCTGGGGTCCACACTAGCTCTCCCCCTCTCCCCACCTCATGCCGAGGTCCAGCTTTTACTGCATTCCGCTTAACCGAATAACCATGCTAATTAAGCGAGTAATTTTATTGATTGTAACTCAAGAGTTTTTTTTTTTTTTAATAACCTTCCTTTTCTCCCCACTCCCATCCCCCTCATGCATCTTTCGGCCCATTCTTCTGAATCCACCGTGGTCCCCCCTCCCCAGCCCCAGCGGGACCAGCTCCTGTCCCCAGCATCGCGCTAGGACCCCAGGCCGGCTCCTCAGAGCCCCGGAGGCCCGCAACCGCCACCGGCATCACCTGGGCCGCCACGCCGCAGTGCCCGGCCTGCTGTCCCGGAGCCGGGAGCTTCCTGTTGAGGCTGTAACAATCACCCCGCCCCCCAATCAAATTCGCCCAGGATCTTCCTCTGCGGATTGGGGGCTTGGGGGTGTGTGTGGGGGGGGTGCTTTCAGAGTCAGAATGCTCTCTCTCAACGGCCCAAATCGGCCCTGGGATTTCTTCCTTCAGCGCCTGCCGGGGACCGCGAGCAGAGGCCGGTCTCCGCTCCGGGCAGTACCGGGCGGCCTGGGTACGCGGGGTCTGCGGCGCCCAGCTCGGCCCTCTAGCCGGGGAAGGTGGGCCCGGCCCAGCACAACCTTCTGCCAGCAGACCCTGCCCGGACCTCGGCCACCTAAAATAACCCTCACCTCCATTTTCTTCCACCCCCACCCAACGCGGAGCATCCACTCAGGCGAAATTGGGGACAATTTTAGACTCTGGGTGCGGAGGGTCGGAGCCAGTGATAGAAGCTGCGTGCACCACCGTGCTCCCAGGCGTCCCTCCGAAGGCGCTCCCTGGACGCACTTCACATATTACTCCTCATCTTCTAAATACGTATTGTTTTAATGTTTATCACCTCCAACAAAAGGGAGATGGATAGGCTTGATATTCCTAATTAGGAACTTTGCGGAAAACCTTGTGTTTTTGTAGCCATTCCACCATGACAACAAAGCGATTAAGATGTTTTCCATCTACTGAATACCTTTTTAAATTGCGATATTTTATGGTCCGGGTTCTAAAACGTCTTATTTGCAGACTATTTTGTGTTTGATTTAATCTATAACCGAAAACATAATGTATTAAGTGAATACATATTTGCTCAGCTGATAAGCTTTTTTAATATTTATTCGGAGAGCTTTTGCATTGTAAATAAATGGGTCTACACAAAGAGTTCTCTTTGTCTGGCAACTACATACAAAGGCGTTTGGGGCTCCCTTCCCTCTGGGGATCGCCAGCTCTCTCCCCGGGTCTAACAAATAGCTCGGCTCCCAAGCCCCGATCCCGGCCTGCAAAGCGAGCGCCCGGCCGCCAGGGCCCGGAGAGTGCTCTGGCGAGGGGGCTGCGAGCGCAGGGGTCAGGGGAGGGGCTGCCCGGGCTGGACTAGGGACGTGGGGGCCCCCAGCCCCGGCCGGCGCCTCCCGAGCCCCGGAGGGCGCCGGGCGGGACAAAGGGAAAGAAGGAAAGGGAGGGAGGTCAGAAACCTGCAGCTTCAAAGGCGCCGAAGGCCGGAGAGGGGCCGGGGGCTGCGCACGCGGGGGTGCCAGGCTTCCTGGCGGCCTCCAGGGAGTCGTGTGTGCTGTGCTTTTGTTTTGTGGTTGTTTTTTTTTTTTTTTTTCTCTCCAATAAGAAATTTCAAAGTTGAGAAAGCGCGAGCTGCCGGCGATTCTCGGGACGCGGGCTCGGCTACGAAGCAACAATTTTAATCTCCCACCCCCTGCGGGCGGATCGCAGGCCCGATTGTTCCTTTCTCACCAGCCTGCTCGACTTTTTAAGCAAACAGGAGGTGGATTACTGTCGCCTGCCTGCGCCGCCACGGCTCTGACCGGATTGGAGAGAGCTTTTCTTTGTGTTCTCTCCTCCCGGGGAGAGGCCGCGCCGCGCCTCCGCGTCTGCCCGCGCCGGGCTTCGGGGGCCTGGGGAGCCTGAGGCGGCCAGGAAGTGGGGCGAGGAAGGGCGGCCACACGGCCCGAGCTGGGAGTCCCACAGTCCCGCAGCGGCGACGCCGCCACCCGCCGAGTGCCGAGGCCCGGGGCCCACTCCCAGCCCAGCTCCAGGAGAGGCCGCGCCGGAGGACCGCGAGGACGGCGCCGCAGCGCCAGGTCGGGCTGAGGTAAGGGAGGAAATGGAGCGAAAAGTGGCGGCGGGCAGAGGGCCCCGGGCGGGCGGAGAATCGCTGACGAGGGCATTTCGGAAGGAACTGAACCTAGGAGCACAGGGCTCCCTCCCGGGAAGGCAGGGCGTGACCCTGGAGCCGCCGGTCCCTCTTGCCGCGGCCCCAGGCGTGGCTGGCGCGCTCCAGGATCTGGAGCTTCTACAAGTTTGCTTTGTTTCCTGCTTTTGCATCTAAAAACCCGCTCTCTCCTCGCCCGCCTGCCGGAGACCAGGACTCTGGCCCGTCTGCCTCCCTCCGGCGTCGTCTCCGGGAGCGCGGGCGCGGTGGGGCCTGCAGGCCGGGCTGGGACCAGGCGCGCCTTGGGGCGCGAGTGGCTCGGCCGTCGCCGCAGAACCCGCTCCCTGCGAAACAGCCGCACCCGCTCCCTGGGAGAGTCATGAGAACTGGGGTCGCGCCTGACCCCCGCGCCCGAAGAAAACCAGCCCGCGGACCCCGCCACACGGGCCGTGACCCGAGCCCCGCGCGCCGTCCCGAACGCGCGCGGTGAAAACGCCCCGCTGCGCCGGCCTTGCTCGGTCCCCCTCCTCCACCCCCACTTCTCCGGAAAAAAAAAATTCTGAATTGGGAACGAAGACCCGAAAAACTCGCCATGACCATTCCCCTCCCCGGCCCCTAGCTTCGGCCCGGAAGGCCCCTCAGGGCAGCGGCCGTGGGTACCACGACCCGGCCAGTTCCCCTCGCCGCGGACCGACCGGGCAGGGCCAACCCAGGACTGTTCCGGGGAGGGGAGCAGGGTAGGGGAGCGAATGTTGGGGTTCGTTCGTGGGTCACCCAGAACTGGGCGCACGCTGGCGGCGCCCGGACTTCGCCTACTGTCCGCCCGGTGCCACCCGCGCGGCTCGCGCCAGACGCAGCCTGGCGGTCCCTGTCCTGTCTTCGAGTATTTGTTTTTAATGCTGGGTGTCGATCGAGACAACAAGCGCTCAGAGCAAAGCAAGGATGCATTACGGGGGTAATTTTAAACCGATCGATAAGATTTTTCAGAGAAAAAAAAATCGCTCATAGTCCATATTTTTTAAGAAAAAAAAAAGCCTCAACATTTTAACGGATTTTGTTAAAAGGGAAGATATATACTTCTTAACATCACAATCCTGAATTTCTTTTGCTAAAAAAAATGTAAAACCCCAAAGCCAGAATAAAAAATAAAATAATAATAAAAATACAAAAACAAAAAAAAAATGAAAGCAATTTCAGTTACTTACTGGAGGCTGTTTCCTGGATACAACTGAATGCAATACAATTAAATCAGTAAATGTGACTTTGTTTTGTATTCCTATTGGTATTTTCAATGTGCTGACTGTTGCACTGTAAATGCACCGCTTCCACAACAACGACTCTAGCGAGCCCATCCAGAGCGGCTCTCAAACCTGCAGCCTGGCGCGGCGAGCCACGGGCCCTGCATACTAATAAGCTCGTGCCACTCAGCCCGGAACAGCCAGCGCGCTGATTGGCCGCGCAGCCCTCCACGGCCGGGAGCTCGTGCCACTCATTCGGCGTAAACAGGCCTCCCAATAGGCTGGCGCCGGGCCAGGGAACTGCCAATCAGGAAGCAGCGGGGCTACTACCAAGCCCGATGGCGCCTAATTCAAGCCCGGCGACTGCGCAGCTCCTCTGCGCAGATCATTGCTGCTGAATGGGAATGTGGTGGCGCAGGGCGGGAGAGGGAGCTGGAGCGAGCGAGTGCGCGTGTCCCGGCGGAGGGGGAGGCGTAGACACAGACACAGACACACACACACACATATATGTTTAATCCAGCAGGTCTAACGTTTGGCTTCTGCCGCACAGAAGGCCAAGGGAAGAAACACCACCACCCCTTAAAAGTAGCTGCTTTTTCTCCCTGGAATCTGTCTGGCAGGTGGCAGGTAGGCCAGACCTCCAAGCCCAGAGGCCTCCCCAGGTTGCCTGGCCCATCTACCGCTCTGAAGCTGCTGCCTGCCCGGACCCGAGCTCGCGGATGCACGCACGCACGCCCGCTGCTTGGGCAGCAAAAGCTTTGAATAGCCCGTCCGGCTCTCTCCTCCCCATGACCTGGGGATCAGACCCTGGGAAGTGAGTTCTGAGTCTCCAGCCGTCTACATTACTGGCTCTCAATTTTATCTCCCTCTGCCACACTTTGCAACAGAGCAGCTACTAAAATGAAAATCAGGGATTTATTGAGAAGACAAGGATTGCCCTTTCTTCATCTACACCTAGATTTAGAAAATATTTTCAGTTTGGTAATGGGGGAAGCGGGTATGGTGTGGTAAACCATGTATAGTATTTCTCAATGCTGCTCCCTGTCTGCCTATCTGCTAAATCCTCACTCCAACTAAAGCAAGCCACTGAACAATTTTTATCGTAATCAGATGCAAACCACTTCTAAAATATTCCGCAAACAAATATTTCTGTTAGAATTTGGTTTCCCACCCAAATGCTATTTATTCTCAGGGAGTCGAGGTGATGTCTTAGTGGCGATGGATACATTTATTTTTGCTCCTCTTTCTCCATGTGAATCTCTGCCTCCCCCTCTGGGGGAAAAAAGGATATTTAAACTAGGAGCCAACTGACAGATTCACACGCATTCGAAATTCTCCACCGTCTCATTCCGGCAGGGACACGAAAGAGTTAAACTCAAAGCCTGTTGTCTCTCTGTTTCCCCGCCCCCACTCCCGCTCCCGCGGGACCGCTGGGATTGGTTGGCACTCCGCCAGTGGACTGTCCATCACCGAGTGTAAACAAGGCGCTGATTGGCTGTTGTCCAGTCCGCACTGGGCCTCCTGAAAAAAGCAATTACTGGCTCCGCGGTTTCAAGGCGGCCCAAGGCCGCTTGATGAAAGGAGATAAGCTGGGGACCGTTTCCAGGATCCCCGCGGGCCGACCGGGGCAGCCCGGGAGCCGAGGTGCGGCGGAGAGCCCGCGGATCAAAGGAATCTGGAGAGAAAGGGGAAGCGGGCGGCCGGCCCCGGCCGGCCTTCCCCCCCGCAGGCCACGCCGACCTGGGGTGGGGGGCTGCGGGCCGCGGGCGGGGACTCCGGGATTTCCCGCCTGCCTGAGTCGGGGCCTACGCCGGCGCCCGCTTCGGGCGGCTCGGCCCGGAGGGGAGCTCCGGAGAGCCCGGGGCTCGCAGGTAAGCACCGGCGCTCCGCGGGCCGGGCCGGGGACGCAGGACAAGGCGCGGGGCCCACCCCGGCTGGCTCGGGAGTGGCGGTCGCGCGGGCCCGGCTCCCGTCTCCGGCGTCTCCCGGCTCCGGCGGCCGGGACCCCCCGCGGCCGAGCCCCTGGCCAGGCCCCAGGCCGGCGCCTTCGGAAGCGACGTCTGGCGGGCCGCGGGGCACGAGGGGGAGAGCCGGGAAGCGTAAATCCCCGAAGCGCGCGGAGATCCGATTAGCGCGCGGCTATTCATTAGGCTGGGGGCGATTGAATTAGGTCCCTGGGCGCGGTCGCCGGCTGGGGGTGTGTGGCGCCGACCCCCGGGCTCTTGCCGTGGCCTCGGGAGGCTGGAGCAGCGAGCAGCGGCCCCAGCGAGTGTGTCGGGGAAGCGGGTGCCTCCGGGTCCCGGCCCCGCGGGTGCAGGCGGAGGCTGCCCGCTTCCCGCGTACACCGAGGACGGCCGGCCCGGCTCCGGAGAAATGGCGCTTGAGAAAGGAGGGGAGGGGAAGGTTCCCGGACCCTGGGCAGGGACCCGTCGCCGGGGACCCGCGGAGCCCTCCGGGGATGGAGGAGGCGCGAGCTGGAAGCGGCGCGCGAGCCCGAGCGCGGGGCTAACACCGTGGGGCCCAGTCTCTCCTGGCTCGGGTAAGTGGACGCGCCCCGAGGCCCCGGGTCCACGCAGGGCGCCCCTCGCAGACGGCGCATTTCCTACTCTCCTAAGGAACCGAGTTCCCATCACTGCCTCCGATGAGCCTGTTTCCGGATCAGGAACCTTTTTCAAGTTAATTTTTAAAGCCTCATTTGAATTTTTTAATATAGGAAAATACGTATACGAGAAAAATCTTGGATGCAACAAAAAGAACACCGTGGCCACCCGTGGTGTCCCAGAAGTTGCTCTGAGCTCCTCGCATCAGGGCAGGTGCTCCACCTCTAACCGCCCTGTGGGGGAACGGGAGGCCCCAAGCCCCTGGGAGTCCTGGTCTCCTCTAGAGTGTGTTGGAAGGACAGCCGCTGGAAAGGCCCCTCAGAGCCCCTAAACCAGCCTCCCCTCCCCCGTGGGCAGATTGTTCGAGGGTCCTGGAGCCTGAATGATGGGCCCTCGGCTTGCCCACCCCCATCCCCAGTCATCAATCACCATTTGAGAAATGCCCACTGCCAGGGACATGGGAGGGCAGAGGGTAGCTCGCGGGTGCGTGGCCCCTATCTCCTCAAGCTGGTTTAGACCCTTCTGGCTCAGCCTCACCAGATTCCTAGGATGAGCACTGGCTTCAAATCCCCCAAGTGCTGGTCCCTTCGTGTCCCCGAAAGAGGCTGCTCGCGTGGGCAAAGGCCCCGAGGCGTCGAGTGCGCCTTCCAGGGCAGTGCGGAAGCTCCCTGCCCTCCTCCTTCCTCCCCACTTCTGCCTCCTCCTCCCCCAGTGTTCACTTGAAGCAAATTCTAGTGGGCTTTTTTTTTTTCAATACTGTTTCAAAACAGTTGTTACAGCAAATAACTGCAGACGGGTCTGCTGGACGCGGTGGAGAGGGGCTGGCAGCTGCCCAGCACAGGCGCCTGGCCGCTGGGCAGCTCCCGCAATACCAAAATAAGCTCCCGAGTTCCCCTGGAAGACTTGGGCCGCCGGGAGCTCAGGCTGGCGATCTGCTCAGAGGAAACCTCCCTACTTTCCTTTTTTACTCTTCCTGCTGTCCAGAGCTAACAAATGTTTTTAATTTCAGAGGAACATGGTGTGGGGATCTGCAGACTTGCCTTCCACTGGGGAGAGGGCCAGCGAGGGGACAGAGGGGGAGGAAAGGAGAGGGGATAATAGACCCGAGGTCAGTGTTGATGCTGGAGGGCCCAGGTCTCTGAAGTTCCTGCAGCTTTGCAGGTGAGCGGGCTGCAAGTGAGGCTAGGCCTGTGGACACCCAGTGGGGCCTGGAACAGTGCCAGGAGTGGCCTTGAACCCCACCTTGATCCCTCTCCAGCAGGATCTGGAGTCACTTCCATGGGCCTGGCATACACCACTCCAGATTTGCCCTCTGGCCTGGGGAGCAGATAACCCCCCGCCCCACATAACCAGCTGCGCTCCTACACCTAGCAGGCCGGCTCACATCACCCTTTAACGCACACTATATTCACACACACACTTGTGCACAGTCTTGAATGTGTGCCCACACATCTGCCTGCACACACTCATGTGCCCACATGTGAATCACTTGGAAGTGTACACAAAACCAAACCCACAGCACAGATGGGCAGACAGGTGAGCCTCGTGCAGCATGTGACACTCCCACATGCACAAGACATGTGTGCAGAGGCATATCACACACGCAGAAGCACTCCCGAGAACTGCCTTCTCCCTTTCAGCCTAGGGGCCCCTGTTCCCCCACAACCGGGCCCAGCCCTGGAGCCCCCTCCAGCACTCCTCTCCCACCCCCACGCTCCCCAAGAGCAGCAGATGTAGGTCTCCCGGCTCCCAAACCTCTGAGATGCTGCTCTGTCTGAAATCATCATATAAATAATCATTTTTTAATACAAGGGGGTGGGGGTGTCAGGCAAGTTCCATGAAATTGTGAATTAGCCGCTGCTCCAAATAAATGCCTGCTTCGGCCCGAGAGCAGCCGCGCTGCGCCCGCTGCGCCCCCAATAATCGTGTGTTGGGTATCTCTCCATTGTTCCCTGGGCCATTAGTCAAAGGGCAAATTAGAAACAATTTCTTGACGACAAAAATTGACTCTTAATTCTTCCCACCAGAGGCGCAGGGGGACAAGTCCAGAGGCCAGGCCTGAGGCTGGGGCTGGCGGCAGGAGGGGTAGGCGGGGTAGAGGTGGGGTAGAGGTGGGGGATCTAAGATGGTTCACAGCACAGAGACCTCCCTCAACTGGAGGGCAGCAGCAGCTCACCCCCACCCCAGAATCAGTGTTCCAGAGGACAGCTGGGGGCAGGGGGTTAGGAACAATCCCACTCCCTCCTGGAAGAGGTCCTGACCCCCCACCCCACCCATCTGCCTGTACGGGTCCCTCTGCTATCGACTGGGGCGAGTTCTTTTCATGAGGGCCTTGCCTGGTGCCTGGAGGGAACAGGGTGTGGGGGAAAGGTCTGTGTGTTCCCCCCTCACCTCCCCTGCTCAGCGGTGTGGCCTCTGGCTCTGGGGAGGATCGGGAAGCCCCAGGGTCCGTGCCTTGGAGTGGGGGGACAGCCTTTTCTCTGCCACAGCTTCTGCCTTTGGAGGCTTACCCTTCCTAGGAGCAGAACTGTTGTGGAGGGGAAGAGGACGGCGAAGGTTCCGAAGGGAAGGGGGCTGCCCCCACTGAAAACGAAGCTTCCAGTCACAGCCCCTTCATTATTTATCAGGACCCAGGGGATGAGGTGGCAGGGGAGGGGGCTGCATGGAGGGAGTGCCCTCACCCTCGTCCCCAGCGCCTGCCCCCTCCCGACCAGGCCTGGGCTGAGGCCCAGGGTAAGGGGGCTGAGGCAGGCCACAGAGGAGCAAGACTTGTCAGGGGCCAGACCTGGGTAGGAGGATTGTCCTCCAGGCACACACGGCCCCCAGCCCCCCAGCCTGTCGAACTGGGCTCTCCCAGAAGGTCCCCGGCTCCAGCCCAAGCAGGGAGCCAGGTTGGGGGTGTGGGAAGGCAGAAGTCCCAGGGATCCTGGGGGAGGCTCAGGTTGTACCTGAAGGCCACAGTCTCCTCGACAGACCTCGGACGAGGTTGTAAGTGTTTTAAAGAAACTAGAGCAGCAGAGAAGAGAGACTCAGAAGCCCGTGGCACGGCTTTCTCGGCGTCCCCTCCAGCGAGGGGGTCTCCATTGCTGCAGTTGCCGGTTTTGTCCAACCAGGTCAGGAGGCTGCCCGGCCCCCTCCCCACTCTCAAAGTTGCTTGTTAAACACAGAGTCGTAATTTGTGGCTAAATATAACTAGTGTGTTCTCACGGAAAGTATAATTCAGGGTGCTCATTGTATGAGGTTATCAACAAGACCCATCTGGGTTAAATTAAAGTGATTTTCATAAAGGGCAGAAGCGCCCCTTTGCCTGGTTTCCCCTGCCTTTTTATTAGTGACAGTGTTATTGTTGCAATTATTAGAGGGGATCAAGGAAGGTGGGAGTTGCCAGGGACCCCCAGGCTGAGGAGGGAGCCTCCCAGCCCCCCTCCACTCACCATTGTCCTGCTGCCCCTCCAGCCCCCTGGTCACTGTCACCTCTGCGGCTGGAGGGCTGGAGAAAGGCCCAGGAGCCCAGGGAACCTCCACCATGCCAGGCTGCCTTCCCTAAAGGCCGGCTCCTTCCCCCCAGGCAGCCAGTCTGGGGGTGGACCTGGAGGGGCAGGGTTCTCTGGGAATCTCTGGGCCAAGGGATGCGCTTTGGGGATCTGCTGGAATAAAGAGTAATCGGTTTTCCTTACAGGAGGTTGACCCGAAACAGCCCTCCGTCTTCCTGCCCATGAGGATGAGGACAGGAAGCCAGACCCGGGAGAGAAAGCCCAGATCAGACAGATGGGGGTTGGGAGGGCCTAGTGGCTGAAACTGCCCTGCTTGGGGACAATGCTCAGGCAGGACCAATCCAAACGAGGGCACTGCTTATGTGGTCCTTCCGGAGCATCCTCCAAGGCAGAGCCTGGCTTCGGGCCCTCCCTGCAAGGACACCTGCCTCCACTCCCTGCCAGACCAGGCCTGGCTGCAGAGGCGGAGGGGCGGCAGGGCTGCCTGTCTCCACTGTTTGGCGGTGTTTACACGTGTCGCTGTCAGGGTGTCTGGACAGTGGGGGTCGGGGGCCTCCCGGGCCCAGACTTCCCCAGGCCTATTCTCACACTGGTGAGAGGGCCCTAGGGGAAGGGTGTGGGCTGGGTGGCGGGGCCAGGCCAGCTGAGACCTACAGGACCGTGGAGCATTTAGGTCTCCCACCCAACTCCACCCGGTCCTCTGAGCATCAGTTACAGAGCCCAGGCAGCAGGAGGGCAGGGCCCAGCCCCTTATCACCCATCCTCAAGGCAGGCAGGAACCCTGAAGGCAGCTTCCACCAGGGGTTCCCTTAGCCCCCACCCTCCAAAAGCCCCAGACCCTGCCAGGCCTCACCCTGCCAGCATCGTGGCCCCAGCTGACGGCTCCCAAGGGCAGGTGCTGGCAACACAAGCAGGAGCCCTCGGGGCATCCCGCAGGGCACACACCAGGTCGCCCTGGGCTCCCCAAGCACCTCCCAGACCCAGCCCTTGGGTGGGTCCTGGCCCACAAACCCCCACGCCCTGCCCCTGAGATGAGCCCCACCGCCCACCTGCCCTCCAGCCCTGGAGACCTTTCTCCCCCTTGGCCATGGCTCCCATGGGGAGGCTGCAGGCCCTCCCTGGGCTGGACCAGAGGGGACAGACTGTCTCTCCCCTGCGACTTCTGGGGGCACTGGAGTCCTTGGCCTGGTTACCTTCAGCATTTATAGCCCTCCAGTGAGTTATTCCTCGGAGTTCTCACAGAGCAGCATGCGCCTGCGGCAAAGCCCTCACCTCCAGCCCCTGGACCACCTGACTGCTGCCTCCCGCCTGGCGCCAAACACGGCCACCGCCTCTTTTGTTAACAGGACAGTTGATCCATTAAATTAAAAATCATTCAATAGATTCATTTTTTTTTTCTGGCCTGAACAAATACGTATTCCATCTCAATTCATGAAGCATCAGTACCCGCTGCAGGGGTAATTCCCCAGGCGGGAGAGGAGTTTCGGGGAAAGTGCCCCCAAAGGGAGACTCCCCAGAAATCCCTTTCCAAGCAGCCAAGGCAGGCAGGCCAGAGGAGCCTGCCCCGGGCCAGGGCCCAGACCCACGCAGCCGCCCGCTCTCCCGGCCACTTCCGCCGGGGCCTTTCCGAGCGAAGTCCATTAGGGCCGGGTCTCTGCGCCTCCCCTACCCGGGGTCCGGGCAATACGCAGCCCCGACCACCGTCCTCGGCCCGGGGGAAGCGCAGACACACACTGGAGGCATTTTCTTCCCTCCGGAATTGATTGGTTTTTGTTTTTGTTTTAATAGCAGGACTTTTCCAAGCAAAAAGTCTCCTGAGGCGGGTGGTAAAAAAATCAAAGCCTCTACATCCAAGCCCGGAACAAAAGCCCTTTGGAAATCCCGCGGCGGGGCCGGGCGCGGGCGGATGCGGCGGGAGGGGCGGCCGAGCGCGCCCGGGACCCGCGTCGGGAGAAGCCGCGCAGCGCCTACCGCGGAGGTCGAGTCTCGGCGGCCCCACCTGCTCCGGAGTCGGCCCTGTCCCTCCGTCTGGGGAGGCGGCCGGAGGCGCCATCACCGCAAATTTATGGCCCGGGTGACGCGCTTCCTACTCCCACAGTGGGGCCCGGTGACATTAAACAGAAAATTGACGAGAGCGGAGCGAAACCGAATCCGTTTCCCTCCAGGCCCGTCCCCCTCGCTTTTCGGGGAGGGGACCAGGGACGGGAGGAAGGGCGTCCCTGAGTTTGTGCGCTCGGGAGCCCGTGCTGGAGGCTTCTCCCAGATTCCAGAGCCCAGGCAGCGTGCTGGGGGCGCGCGACCCCGCCCGGACCGCACCCCTTCGCCGGCCGCATTTCGGGCGGAACCTCGGCTCGCGTTCCACGCGCTCGGGGCGACCAGGCAGAGTGGGGCCCCGCACCCGGGTCGCTCCCGCTCGGAGGGCCCAGGCCGGATGAGGCTCCGACGCGCCCTCGGCCCTCCCTCCGCGCCCCAGCTCCGGGGAGCGCCCCGCTGCCTCCAGCACAGCGGGGGAGGGAGGACCCCGGCTGCCCAGCCCCCACCCTCGCCGCCGCGCCCCGCCCCCGGCCGGCGCAAGTGGGAGAAGAGAGCGAGTGACGAGCGGGGCGCGCCTGGGTGGCTGCCGGGGGTCGCTCCTCTGGCCTCGAGCGCCCCCTCCCTCCGCCCCCCGGCGCCTCCTGGCACCGAACCCGCCGCGCCGCCGCGTCCTTAAAAGCGCCGCCTGCTTTGCTGGCCTTTGGGCGCGCGGCAGGGAAGGTCACGCCGGGGTGGGGTCGGTGGCGCGGGGACAGCGACACTGCCGGGCGCCGGCATACCCCCTACCCCCGCCTCCGCCCCTCCGGGCACTTGCCGCCGCCCTGCAGGCCTGGGTCTTGCCGCACTTGTTCTGTCGTGCTGGGGCACACGGAGCCAAGACCAGAGCCGGCGCATGTGCTTGTCAGAGAGGAATCCAGGGAGCCCTGTGGGGGCTGCTTGGGGAAATGAGGCTGTCATCCCCGCGCCCCAGGTGCTCAACGGGGAGGATAAAGGAGCCCTGGCCTGCGGGAGGCAGCCCCAGGGGACGGACGGAGCCCTGGTTCAGAGCCCAGAGAGGGCATTGGAGGGCCAGGCCTCAGCCAACTCCATTTCTCCCCTCTCTGGCCTGCGTGGGCATCGGGGGCATGGTGGGTACCAGATCCTACCCTGCCTGCTCAACCCTCTAGACAGCCTGGGACACAGAGGGCATGGTGGCCATGCCCATTTTACAGATGAGCAGAAGGAGACTGTGAGAGCAAATAACGTGCCCTTGTTCACACTGAGGGCCTGGGTGCGTAGGCTCTGGATTCTTCTGGAAAACTAGTACTAGGGTTGGCTGACTTTTGGGCCTGGGACAACCCTAAGACTCCTGGCTGGGGCAGACATGATGCGTCCCGACTTCTGCCTTGTAGACCAGGAGCAGAACAAAATGGGCCTCATGACCAGCCATTGGGCGTCTTGGCCACAGCACCCACGGAAAGATGTGTCAGGGTCCAGCTCTTCCTGGGAAGCCCCTCCGAATGCTCCCGGCCAGCCTGTTTCTCTGGGATGAGGCCCCAGCAAGGCAGATCGCAGCCTGCAGCCGGGAGGAACTGCTAATATATGGCAAGAGTCTGGAAACCAGATTCCAAAAGGTCACGTTGGACTGGAACCAACAAGATTACGTTGAACAGGCTGGATGTGAACCTCCACTTTCAGGTTCAAAAATCAGTTGTAAAAATGCAGGCAGCTTCCCACTGAAGACTTGCTGGGCCAAGCTGCAGCTGTCTGCACCACTCAGGCAGTTCATCCACGCCCTGTCTCCCCAGCACAGGCCCTCTTGTGCATTTCCCTGAGCCCCAGCAGCTGAGCCTGCGCCCTGGGGTGGGAGTGGGGGATCCCGGGATGTCTGACCCGCTGTCTCTGATGTCAGGCCGGCTGGGGGAGGGGATGCAGCTGGAGACAGCAGAGAATGGGGTCCTTGTGCCACTGTCATCAGGCCCGGAGCTTCCATGAACACGGCTTTGTCTGCACCCATACCCCGTGGTGACCACGGGACCAGGGGATCAGTGGGCCTCTGAACAAGAGGGGCGTGCAGAGCGGCTTTTTGGCCTCAGTTAACTCTTAAATGGGTGTCAGAGGCACTGTCTTCCCCTAGCTATGCGCCTCGTGCCTGGGAGCCTTAGGGCCACACGGAAGGGTAGAAATCAGTTTCAGGTCAGGAGGTCTGGAACAGCTTTGTTAAACCCAGTTTTTTTCCTATGAAAATGGCTGCAGACACTGGGGGAGGGAGAGGGTGGCCCTGATCCCGATGACTCTGAAACATGCTTGGCCTTCCCCAGAGATTCCTGCTCCCAGCCCAGGCCCAGACGGCAACAGAAGCTCATGGTGAGTTCACCCCGGTCCTGGTCTGGCACCTCATTGCTGGGGAGGTCTCGGCAGTCCAGAGGAGGTAGCCCCCACCCTGGGCATCCATCCGCCCAGGCCCCAGCCTCCGCGGGAAGACCCAATTACAGAAGAGAGAAGTATGTGGAGACCCTTGGCTGAGGTTGGGGGTCCTGGAAGCTGGAGGTAGTGTTCCTGGGTATAGCATGATGGGTTGATGGGTGGGTTTTATTCTCTTTTTAAGGATTTTTTATATTTTTCAAATTTCCCTTTTGAAATGTATTCATTTTGCAATCAGAAAACAAAACAGGCCAGGCGTGGTGGTTCACACCTGTAATCCCAGCACTTTGGGAGGCTGAGGCGGGTGGATCACCTGAGGCCAGGAGTCCAAGACCAGCCTGGCCAACTTGGTGAAACCCCGTCTCTACTAAGAATACAAAAATTAGCCAGGCGTGGTGGTGGGCACCTGTAGCCCCAGCTACTTGGGAGGCTGAGGCACGAGAATCGCTCGAACCCAGGAGGCGGAGCTTGCAGTGAGCTGAGATCGCGCCACTGCACTCCAGCCTGGGCAACAGAGAGAGACTCTGTCTCAAAAAAAAGAAAACAAAACAAACCAGTGAACACTACTCCAAACAAATGTCCAGGCCCAGAGATCAGAGGCTGCAAGGTGGGCTCTGTCCCCATGTCCCCAGCCACACTGCTGGGGAACCCACAGGGTGCCAGGTCCCCTCAGCCCTGTCCCTGCCCCACAGGCCCCTGGAGTGATTGTAGGCTCTAGACTGCCTCAGTTTGCCCCCAGCCTCCCCTAGGTGCCCGGGGAGCCACTGGCCAGCCTCCGGTCGCACTCCACTCAGGGCTTGACGGGGAAACAGAAACCAGCCTTGAACGCCTTCCCACGCCCCAAAACGCCAGGGTGCACAGTGAGGGGAGCCCTGGTCAGATGGCACAGATGGCATTCCTGCCCGCGAGAGGCCCAGGACCCCGGGGAGCCAGAGGGGCAGGGTGCCCGCAGCGTCCAGGCAAATGGGCCCAGGCCCCCCGACACCCAGCTGAGGCCAGCTTCCCCCAGAGCGGTTTGGAGCCCTGCCCTGGAGAGGGGGCAGCTCGCCCAGCGTGGGGGTGATGCCACCAGGTGGTGAGGCTGCTGGGCAGGGCTGGACCCCCTTTTAGACTCCCCTTCCGATTTCTGTGTCCCTGAGTCTTGCCCATGCTACAGCCTAACCCTGCCGTGGCCAAGGGACAGCGGGGCAACAGTGCCCTCCCCGAGCTTGCCCTGGGACAGCCGCCTCACTCGGAGGAAGCTGGGTTTTGCCGAATTTTCTGCATGATGGGGCTCCGTGGGCTGGGGGCCACTTGCCTCCCTGCACCCGTCCCAGGACCCCAGGCTGCAAGCTGGAAACCCCATGGGGGCGAGTGGAGCCCTGGGACTCCACAGGAGAGGGTCCTCTGTGACAAGAGGCTCCAGGGGACACAGGCTTGCGAACATGGGGGCTGGGGTGGGGTCAAGGTATGAACAGCGCAGGCCTAGAAGCCTCAGACTCTGAGGGGCAGGAAAGAGTCCCCAAAACGGAATCAGAGGAGGAGCCCGGGGTGGGGGGAGGAGGAAAGGGGCGCAGTGGGCGCTGCCATCCCTCCTTGGGGCACATTTCTTCCCGCCCTGACCAAGAGGAAGGGACCCTCCTTCCTCCAGAAAGGACTTCTCCGAGCCCAGGACACACGAGGAAAGCGAGGCTCAGTCACCAGGAAGCCCTCACTCTCCGTCAAGGCCACCAAACGGGAAGAAGGGGAGCCAGGATTTGATCCCAGGCTTCCCTCCCAGCCTGCACGCTGCTGCACTACCCAACCCTGAGGACCCCAAGAACCTCTGAGAATGTGGGATTTTGGTTCTGAGCCTCCACGGGGCCCGTTGGTGGCCTCTGGTTCAGGACAACCAGAATTGGCCCAGACAGCCAAGCAGCCAAGGGGCAGGCTTTGTAGAGTGTGGGGGTCTGTCCTCCCTCATGGCCAGAAGCAGATCCCACCCCTCAAATGCAGGTGGGGTGGGGCAGGGGCTCCGGCTCCGTCATCTGGGCTCCAGTGAGGCTGCCCGCTCCTGCTCACCTGCACAGGAGGCTGAGGGTGGGGCCCTGGGGGAGGGGCTGCCCCAGGCTGTAGTGCCTGGGAGAGCTGGGGGTGGGGAGGGGACAGGCAGGGGGCAGGCAGATGGCCTTCCTGCTTGGCCCTCGCTGCCAGGTCTTGCTGCCTCCTCCTGTTGGGTGATTTAGATCATTATAGACCTGAGGTCCCACCAGGTGCATTGGCTCATGCCTGTAATCCCAGCACTTTGGGAGGCTAAGGCGGGTGTATGACCTGAGGTCAGGAGTTCGAGGCCAGCCTGGCCAACGTGGTGAAACCCCATCTCTACTAAAAATACAAAAATTAGCTGGATGTGGTGCCGCACACCTGTAATCCCAGCTACTCAGGAGGCTGAGGCAGGAGAATCGCTTGAACCTGGGAGGCGGAGGTTGCAGTGAGCTGAGATCACGCCACACCCCACAGCCTGCAGCCTGGGCGACAGAGCGAGTCTGTCTCAAAAAAAATAAAAATAAATAAATAAATAAAACTGAGGTGCAAAGTTTAAAGGTTTGGGTGACACATCAGAGGCAGACTTGGGGAAGAAGTGTCTGTCCCACCCTCCCAGACCACATCCTCTAAGGGCTTGGGCCCCGGGGATGCTGGGTGGCCCCTTGGAACTGTGAGGAGCTGACACATGGGTGGGGACCAGAGGAGGGGACGTGGAGAGCCCTGGTGAGGATGTGGGCGCTGGTGGGGACTGCCTGGTGTGTGATGGGGACAGGAACAGGCATGGAGATGGCCCACACCCGAGACAGTGGGCTCCTGGGGCCACCTCTTCTCCACACGGCGGCAGCAGGTCTAGTTCGGGCCTAACAGCCCAGCCATCCCTGAGAGCCAGCGCCGAGGGTGCAGCAGCTGCCTCCTCTCCGGGCCCACCGGACGGTCGCCGTCCTGCCAGGAGCTCCCGTGCCCATCGCCAGAGAGGGAAATGCTCCTTGGTCTCAGGAGGCAGCGGGGCCCGGGACTCACATGGACCTGGGCCCAAGTCGACCAGTTCCAGCTGGGCACACTGGGAAGGTCACCCACCTCCCGAGCCCTCCATGTCCAGGCCATTGTGGGAAAACCCTCTCCAACAGGGGAGTGAAGGGACAGGATGGAGCGGGAGCGGCGCCAAAGCACGGGGAGAACCAGAGGCCGCAGGTGAGACCCCGCCGTGGGCCATGTCCCGTCTCTTCCTCTGAGGGCAGGCGTTTCACCCGATCACCCTCCCGGCTCTCTCGGCCACCCCTGCTTGGGCTTGCTCCTGTCTGGTGTTGGGTGACCTGCCTGCTGCTCTCAGACCCCACACCCGTTTGTGGCCTCATGGCCATGAGTGGCCCCGTCCCCGACTCCACTGCAGTGGGCACAGTGGTGGCCCCCAAATGATCGGTCCACCTGGAGCCTGTGAACACGACAGGCTTATTTGGGAAAAGGGTCTTTGTCCAGAGACAAAGGCCCTTAGAAGACAGAGGTCGGGGGAGATTTGAGAGGGAGGCGACAGAGGCCACGTGAAGATGAGGCAGAGATGGGAATGACACGGCCACGTCCACGGGACACCTGGGGCCACCAAATGCCAGAAGAGGCGGGAAGAACCTCCCCTGCAGCCTGCAGAGAGAGGACAGTCCTGCCGATAGCTTGATTTTGGTTCCGGCCACCAGGACTCGGAGAAAATAGACTTCTGTTGTTTGCAGCTGCCCCATTTGTGGTCTTTTGTTGGGTGGCCCCAGACATAATCCCAGCACTGGCCTGGCCCGGCCCATGGGCAGCTGTCCCCAGCCTGGCGGAGGGTGTGGCTGTGATGTTACCCCCAGGATATCCAGTACCGCAGTCTCCATCTGAGCCGCCATCGGGCTGTGGGGTGCCTGCTAGCCTGTGGCAGAAGGACCAGGACCTGGGGGCTGGCAGGGAGCAAGAGCTGAGCGAACCAGCTGGGAGGAAGGACTGAGGCCACACCGGTGTCCGGGGGGATTCGGACGTCACCAGTGTGGAGTCTGGGGGTGTTCTGACTGACTTTAGACAGAAATTTCTTTTTCTCTCTGGAAAGGGCGGCGGTGGGCCCGTGTGCAGGGGAGCGTGGACTTGGAACTCGGGGAGCCCTGGGTTCTGCCTCATCCTCTACATCCCTGTGGGGCCACGTCCACTCACCGAGGGGTTCTTGCCGCCTTGACTGAGGGTGGCCGGGCACCAGCACCTTTGCAGCTTTGCCCAGCACCTTGGCATGGGGTCGGGGGCGGTGCAGAGTTCTGTTTTACAGGGAAGGGAACTGAGGCACAGGGAGATGACAGCTCGCCGCTGGTGCTGACCATGGGCTCACACTGCCTGGCCGCCCGTGCAGCCCCTGCCCTCCATGACGAACGTGCTCATGTTTCCTGGCTGCCCCCCGGCCCCACTCCCACCTCCCTGGCTAAACAAGGGAGATCTTGATGTGAGTTCTCCTTTTTCCTTTCTGGAAGGAATGGCAGACTCTGGACATGCTCCTAGAGATGGGAGGTCAAAATGATCAACGTTCAGGGTCCCTTCATCTCAGAGGGTCTCGAGTCACCTCATTTAAAGGTGGGAACTGGGGATCCTGGAACCTCCCCTGCACCCCAGATGCTTCTGGGGCCCTTGAGAACTTGCCCTGAGCTGTCACCTGGCCTAGACTCCCAGCCACTTTCAGGGCACAGAGAAACTGCCCTCACTCTGAAAATGTGGAGACCGGGACCCAGAGAGGTAGAGTGACTTGCCCATGGCCACACAGCCTGTGAAGGATGACCAGGTTTGGTCTCCGCCAGCTGTTCTGGCTCTGCTCCTGCAGTCAACAGCCACCACCCCTGAGGCTTGCCTGGGGCAGGGCGGGTGGGGAGTGGGGGTGGGGAGTAGTGGGAGTGGGGGGAGAGCGGGGGGGATGGGAGAGTGGGGGGAGCGGGGGAGTGGAGCGGGAGGATGGGAGGCAGCGGTGGGGGTGGGGGGAGCGGGGGGGGGAGCCAGGGGGATGGGGGCTAGTGGGGAGGATGTGAGGGGAGGCGGGGGGGGAGCGGAGGGGTGTGGGTGTGGGGAGTGGGGGGGAGCAGGGGGTGGAGGGGTAGGGAGCGGGGTGTGGGGGGAGCGGGGGGCACAGCCAGGTGCATGTTATGGGTCCAGGGCAGCGACCTAGTCCATTTGTCCTTTTCGAAGTGTGGCCTGGGACACCTCCTATCCAGCCATACGCCGCCCAGGACTGGCTCAACAGCTCCACCCTCCACTGCTGTTCACCCATGACACGTCACTTCCCACCCGCCACTGCTGGCTCACCTGTGACACCCCAGGCAGCTCAGATGCCCGGCAGGTCCTGCTGGTAAGAGGGAGGCAGGAACTTGTCCTGTCTGGGACCCGGGCATTGCTGGGCGCCGGAGGGACCTGGGACCTCAACCACGCTGGGAGCTGGCCTGTCGTACAGGCGGTGCCTGGCAGATGTGGACGGGCTCCGCAGGCTCCTGGCGGCCCACCCCTGCCTTCGTGCCATCCTTCCTGGGAGTCTCCTGGCCAAGGAGGACTCGAGGCCTGTCCCACCTGTGCCCAGGGCTCACTGTGGCTCCCTTCAGCGGGGCTCTGCTCTCTCCCCGCCTGCTTCCCCTCCAGCTCCTGGGCTCTGCCCCAGCATCCCCCCGAGCCTCTCCCATTCCTGGCCCCAGCCTGGCCAGGGATCCCAGAGGATGCCTTCACCAGCCCAGCCCCTTGCCTGGTGGATCACCACTCCTGTCTCCTGCTGCTCTGCCCCCTGCCCCGGGCCTGGGAAACCTGGGAGGACCCTGAGGGAGGGTCAGGGATGTGTGACACCAGCAGGAGGCTGACGAGTTCCCTGGCAGGAAGCACACTGCACAGGGAGCCTGCCGCCATGCTGCCACTCTCATGCCCCTGCGGGGCCGCAGAGAGGGATGCCTAGGGCGGGGTGGGCAGTGGCTGCCGTAGGGGAGGCGCTCTGGGCAGTGCTGTTCCCTGAGAAACTGCAGCCCCAAGGGGCCTGGGCAGGGCCTGGCCTGACTGAGTGGGATTGAAGGGGAGGTAGGGTGGGTGTGCCCTATGATGTAGGGCCTGCTGCACCCTGGGGAGGGGACCCAGTGCAGTGATGCCCAAGTTCCAGCGTTCAGACTGCCTGGGAGCCCTGAGACTCCCTGACCCAGCAGGACGCCCCATCCTGGGTGAGGGGGAGAGTGGGGTGGGCCAGAAAGCCCACCCAGACAACTGAGACCCCTCCCCACCTGCTACCCCATCTGCTTGGGCCCAGGAATAGAGGGGCCAAGGCAGACCCCTCAACATACATGCTGAACCCTGATGTGTAGCCGCCCACACACCATGAGCCCAGATTGTGGCATTCAGTATTTTTTCTGACATCAAAACAGTCTTGGCAGGGCACGGTGGCTCACACTTGTAATCCTAGTACTTTGGGAGGCCGAGGCAGGTGGATCACCTGAGGTCAGGAGTTCGAGATCAGCCTGGCCAACATGGTGAAACCCTGAAATACAAAAATTAGTCAGGCATGGTGGTGGGCGCCTGTAATCCCAGCTACTCGGGAGGCTGAGGTGGGAGAATTGCTTGAACCTGGGAAGTGGAGGCTGCAGTGAGCCGAGATCGTGCCACCTACACTCCAGCCTGGGTGACAGAGCAAACTCTCTCTTAAAAAAAAAAAAAAAAAGACCAGGGCCCGGCGTGGTGGATCATGCCTGTAATCCCAGTACTTTGGGAGGCCGAGGTGGGCGGATCACCTGAGGTCAGGAGTTTGAGACCAGCCTGACCAACATGGAGAAACCCCATCTCTACTAAAAATACAAAAAATTAGCTGGATGTTATTGCGGGCACCTGTAATCCCAGCTACTTGGGTGGCCGAGGCAGGAGAATCACTTGAACCAGGGAGGCAGAGGCTGCGGTGAGCCGAGACCACACCATTGCACTCCAGCCTGGGCAACAAGAACAAAACTCCATCTGAAAAAAAAAAAAATACTGAGCCAGTCCATGTGCATTATTTCATTTCTGGTGGACTCTTCCCGATGTTAATTTCACCTGAGATATTTATGCATGTGCTCATGTGAACACACACGTGCGTCAGCACACACTGGCCTGCTCATGCACACACCTGCAAGTGCTGCTTCCAGCCTCCTGCCACGAGGCCAGCCTGGCTCCCTCCCTGTGGAGTGGGCTCTGCCCACGGGGCAGATGGACTAAGACGAACGCTCGTTAAGCCCCCCAGAAGTTGCCTGGCTTGGCACTCTCTGCGGTATCTGAGGCGGGGCTCACTCGCCCATTTGACAGATGGAGAAACTGATGCTTAGAGATGTGGAGTGAGTGCCTGACTCCCCCAGCGCCCCCGGAATCCCCCAGCCCCACCGACTCTCCCAGATCCCCCGACTCCCCCAGCCCCCCCAACTCCCCCAGCCCCACCAGCACCTGCTCCCACCCTCCCCAAACTCAAATTGCACCCGCCCCAGCTTCAGGGCTTGGTTGGGGTTCCCTTTTCAGTCAAGGTACAACATCCAGGCGGTAAAATGCTCCCATCAGCCACTTACTGGCGCAGTGGCTCATGCCGGTAATCCAGTACTTTGGGAGGCCAAGGCGGGCAGATCACAAGGTCAGGAGTTCAAGACCAGCCTGGCCAATATGGTGAAAAAAATTAGCTGGCCGTGGTGGCACATGCCCGTAATCCCAGCTAGTCAGGAGGCTGAGGCAGGAGAATTGCTTGAACCCAGGAGGCGGAGGTTGCAGTGAGCCGAGATTGTGCCACTGCACTCCAGCCTGGGTGACAGAGCAAGACTCCATCTCAAAAATAAATAAATAAATAAATAAATGCTCCCATCTTTGGGCTGCAGCTCAACGCGTTCTCACCCATGAGATTCTCGTGCAGCCCTTGGGTCTTCAACCGGCACTCCAAGCCCTGACCAGGGTCCGCTGCTGAGGCCCACCTGGCAGCTTCGCCTTCCTCAGGCCTTGGTCCTATCTTGCTGCTTGAGTTCGGCGTCATGCCTGGGAGATTCATCCGAGTTGCCACGTGCATCAGTGGCTCCTCTTTGTTGCTGAATTATATTCCGTTGTAGGAATAAACCACGCACGCTGACCCAGCCTCCCACTGATGGACATTTGGGTTATTTCTGGTTTGGGGCTTGTTGAATGGTGGCACCCAAAATATGTGTCCACCCAGATCCTATGAAAGGGAACTTCTTCGGAAAAATAATCTTTGTAAATGTCATTAATTAATGACATTTAATTACAGACTGTTATTTATTTATTTATTCTTTTTTTGGAGACAGAGTCTCACTCTGTTGCCCAGGCTGGAGTGCAGTGGCGCGATCTCAGCACACTGCAAACTCTGCCTCCTGGGTTCAAACGATTCTCCTGCCTCAGGCTCCCAAGTAGCTGGAACTACAGGCATGCACCACCATGCCAGGCTAATTTTTGCATTTTTAGTAGAGACGGGGTTTTACCATGTTGGCCAGGCTGGTCGTGAACTCTTGGTCTCAGGTGACATTTACAAATTAATTAATGACATTTACAAAGATTATCTTGGAGTTGGGTGGGTCCTAAATCCAACGACAGGTGTCCTTAGAAGAGCGAGGTGGAGGGAGACTAGACACAGATACCCGGGGGGCATTGCTGCTGTCCCCAGAAGCTGGGGAGAGGTGCCGGAAGGATTTTCCCTCAGAGCCTTCAGAAGGAGCCAATCCTGCCCACGCCTTGATTCCAGGCCTTGGCTTTACAGACTGTGAGAGAATGCAATGGTGTTGCTTTAGGCCACCTGACTGGGGAACTTTGTTACGGCATCCCTAAAGAAACACACAAGGGCTGTGATGAGGAACTCTGCTCGGCAGGTTCCTGTTTGTGTCCCTTGGTCACAGAAGCCCTTCTCCGTCTCAGGTGTGTGTTAGCCGGGGTCTCCAAAGAACCAGAGCCAGCAGGGGACACACCCATCTCTGTATCTGGAGAAAAAGATCGATGAGAAGGAATCTGCTCCTGTGATGATGGAGGCTGACAAGTCCCGAGAGCCACGGTTGGCACCCTGGAGACCCCTGAGGGTGATACCACCACTCCAGGCTGAAAGCTGGCAGGCTTGAGACCCTGGGAGAGCTGGCCCTCTGACTCCTGGGACTTCTTATTCTATCCTAGTATTTCCTCAGCTGAGTGCATGGGGCCAGACCACACTGGGGAGGGCAGTCAGCGTCACTCAGAGCACCGGGTCATCTCATGCAGAAACACCCTCAAAGAAATAGCCCAAATTATGCTGACCAAATATCTGGGCACCCCGTGCCCCAGACAAGTTGACACAGAAAATTAACCATCACAGGTTAACTCCATCCAGGAGTGGAATTGCTGGGTCATAGAGAAGGCATAGGAATTCACAGAAATCACCAAACGGTTTTCAGGCGGTTGTGCCATGTTAAACTCCCACTGGAAAGAGAGGAGAGCTGTGATTGTTCCACGTCCTCAGCAACGTTTAGAATAGGCAGTCTTTGGCCGGGCCGGGCACAGAGGCTCAAACCTGTAACCCCAGCACTTTGGGAGGCCATAGTGGGTGGATTACCTGAGATCAAGAGTTCAAGACCAGCCTGGCCAACATGGTTAAACCCCGTCTCTATTAAAAATGCAAAAATTAGCCAGGCGTGGTGGTGCGTGCCTGTAATTCCAGCTACTTGGGGGCTGAGGCAGGAGAATCGTTTGAACCCAGGAGGCAGAGTTTGCAGCGAGCCGAGATCGCGCCACTGCACTCCAGCCTGGGCAACAGAATGAGACTCTGTCTCCAAAAAAAGAAAAAATAAATAAAGAAAAGTCATTCTGTAGTTTTAGCCTTTGTGAAGGCATGAAGTGGCATCTCATTATGGTTTAAATGCTTATTTCGCTGGTGACTAATGAGGCTGACCAGTTTTTCACTGCATTTAGCCCTTTCAATGCACTTCAGGTCTGTGAAGTACTTGTTCAAGTGTATTGCCCATTTTAAAAATTGGTTTGTTTATCTTTTTCTTATCAATTTGTAGGAGTTCTTGATATATTCTGGGCAGAAGGCCTTGGTGTAGAATCTATTAAGACACACCGAGGCGAACGGTACATTTGTCTGCAACTTACCTTTTGACTCTCTTGATGGTGTCTCAAAGTTGTTGATTTTAAGGAAGCCCAGTCTTTTATGTCGAGTCCCTTTGTGTTCTATGTTAGAAATCTTTGCTGACCACAGTGTCTTCTTCTTTTTCTTTTGAGACGGAGTCTCGCTTTGTCGCCCAGGCTGGAGTGCAGTGGCGCCATTTCAGCTCACTGCAACCTCCGCCTCCCAGGTTCAGGTGATTCTCCTGCCTCAGCCTCCCGAGTAGCTGGGATTACAGGCATGCGCCACCATACCCAGCTAATTTTTATATTTTTAGTAGAGACAGGGTTTCACCATGTTGGCCAGGCTGGTCTCAAACTCCTGACCTCAGGTGATCCGCCCACCTCGGCCTCCCAAAGTGCTGGGATGACAGGTGTGAGCCACTGTGCCTGGCCTGACCACAGTGTCTTGAAGAGATTTTGCTATGTTTTATTCTAGAAGCTTTGGGGCTTATTTTTCACACTTTGTTCTATGACTTATTTCATTTATTAGTATTATTTTTTGAGACAGAGTCTCCCTCTGTCACCCAGGCTGGAGTGCGGTGGTGCAATTTCAGCTCACTGCACCCTCTGCCTCCTGGGTTCAAACAATTCTTGTGCTTCAGCCTCCCGAGTAGCTGGGATTACAGGAGTGTGCCACCACGCCCGGCTAAGTTATGTATTTTTAGTAGAGACAGGGTGTCACCATGTTGGCCAGGCTGGTCTTGAACTCCTGGCCTGAAGTGATCCGCCCGCCTCAGCCTCCCAAAGTGCTGGGATTACAGGTGTGAGCCACCGTGCCCAGCCTGCTCTGTGACTCATTTTAAATTAATTGTGGGGATGGGGTCACTTTTTTCTGTCAGTGTCCAACTGATACTGGACACGTGGCAGGGAAAGGCCACCTCTTCCCCCTGCTCTGCAGGGGCCTTTGTTATAAATCGGCGTGGGGAAGGGGCCGCTTTCTGGACCCGCCCTTGGGTCCAGGGTCTCTTTGCTTATTCCTGCGCCAATCATGCAGGCCCCATACCGCTGTCAGCGCACGGGCTGGCTTCAGCAGAGGAGGCTCAGGGCCGGGCTGTGGGGCCTGGAGAGCTCATCTTGGTCTCTTGGGCCCCTAGGTCGGCTTGCTTGTCCTGACCATGGAGCACAGCTTCCTTGACAGCAGCCTCTGCAGTCATCCCAGGCCGACAGGCAGGCCTCGGCGCTCCAGACAGGGGCCCAGCCCGGGGCCAGTCTCCAAGTACCCTGTGGATGAGGAAGGAAGCAGCTCTCAGGGAAGGGGCACCCCATGGGTCAGCTGGCCGCCTGGTTCAGTCACCACATGGGCACACAGGGCCAGCATGGGTGCACAGGAGCTGGGACACGCCAAGCGCTGGCGCCTGCGTTGTTGAGGGTGCGCATAGCGGCTCGAGGGGCTGCAGTGTTCAACGGGGCAGCCAAGGTGACCTTGGAGTACAGTACTGCGGGCGAGGAGGAGGCATACAGCTGGGGGCATTTCTTTTTCTTTTCTTTTCTTTTTTTTTTTTTTGAGACGGAGTCTCTCTCTGTTGCCCAGGCTGGAGTGCAGTGGCGCAATCTCGGCTCACTGCAACCTCCGCCTCCCAGGTTCAGGCAATTCTCCTGCCTCAGCTTCCTGAGTAGCTGGGATTACAGGCGCCAGCCACCACGCCCAGCTAATTTTTGCATTTTTATTAGAGACGGGGTTTCACCGTGTTAGCCAGGATGGTCTCTATCTCCTGACCTCGTGATCCACCTACTTCAGCCTCCCAAAGTGCTGGGATTACAGGTGTGAGCCACCGCGCCCTGACTGGGGGGCATTTCTGACTGGGAGACTGTCAGGTACAAAGGCCCTGGGGCTTCCAGGAAGGAAAGGAGGCCACTGGGCCTTCAGTGGGGGCAGGAAATGGGGAGGGGAGGAGAGATGGGGTCAGAGGGTTCGAGCCAGTGGCTGGATTCCAGAGGTCCTGGAAGGCCGAGGGGAAGACTTTGGCTCTGGGACTGTGCCTTGGGGGGCCCGTGGAGGGCTTGGAGCCTGGGCTGCTTGCAGGGAGGGAACCAGAGGAGGTCCAAGTGGAGGGGATGCAGGGCCAGGGAGGAGGTGCTGGGTTGGGGAGGGAGCCGAGTGGCTGGGAAGGCCCGAGCTGGACATTGCCTGAATTTTGAAGACGCCCAGGATCTGTTGTGCGTGTTCTTGTGGGTGTGGGGAGCAAAGCCACATAGGAACACAGCCACAGGCCTGTACTCCTGGGGTGGGGGGGCCCCTCAATGAGATGGGTGCCAGAGGGCCAGCAGGTTCCACTGCAACTCAGGGCTCTGCGTGGCCATCTGCTGGGCTCAAGGAGGTCAGGCGGCCGGTTCGAGCAGGAGCATGTGAGGGACGCCTACTCGGCTTGGAGATGTGGACTCCGGAGCCTGCCGCAGAGCATGGAATGGGAAACTGGCGTGGGTGAGGTCATCTCAGGGACGCTGGGGACAGGATGGAGCTTCAGGAGGGAGGAGGGGCCGGGAAGCGGAGACCAGAGACACAGGAGTGCCTCCTGGAAGCCTCAAGAAGGGAGGTCCCACCAGGAAGGAGTCGTCCCTGGGTTGACTAAGAGGAGGCCGAGCAGTGTCCCTTGGAGCTGACACCGTGGAGGCCACGTGACCTGCACAGGCCCTGGTCCCCCCCACACTCAGGCTAAGTGCCCAGGCACAGGCCGGATCCCTCCCAGCCCGTGTGTGGCCACAGCCTCAGGGCCCCTTGCTGGAACAGCCTGTTCCCCCAGCCCCAGCCTCCAGAGAGTTTAGGGAACCCCCACCCTGTGCCTTCTGGGCCCATGGGCATTCCTGGCGGGTGGATCCCCTGAGGCCTCCCAGCCTGCACTGGAGGAGCCCTGCCCCATCCCGCTCCTGGGAGACCCCCCCCAAGCACCGACCCTGGGAGCAGAGAGTCCCCCTCACCCTGTGCCTCCCCAGGACACACACATAGCTGGGTCTGGGCCTTGGTGTCCTTGACTGTGCAACAGATGGCCACAGACTGGGCGCTTCAATGGCAGGAAGCTCTTTTCTTATGGATTGAGAGGCCAGAAGCTGGCCACCGACGTGCGGTGGTGTGGATCCTTCTGGAGGCTCTGCGGGGAGGCCTGTCGAGGCCTCTGTCCCAGCTTCAGGTGGTCTCCAATCTCTGCCTCACTCTTTTTTTGTATACATATTCTTTCTAAAATTGTATATTGTCAGGTGCGAAACTGAATGAAGTATTTCAGTAACTTGCCTGGTAACAAGACCCAGGTTTGAATTTGTCCATTTGACTTCATATATTCAAATGCCCTGCAAGCAAGCTAGCACTTACCCTCGAAATCAGCACCATTTTCAATTTTTCCTTTTTTTGGTGGGTGAGTGTTCTTCTCACTAGGAGTTGACAGATGAAAGCTGCCGGCGGGCGGTGCGGTCCCTCACTGTATACACGCCCCATAACTTCAGGCTCCTAAAATTTTATCTGGTTATTTTTTGAATTGTGGTTATATATATAATCTACCATTTTAACAATTTTTAAGTGCACGGCTCATTGGCATTGGGACTGTCTCAGTGTCTTTTTTTTTTTTTTTTTTGAGACGGAGCCTTGCTCTGTCACCCAGGCTGGAGTGCAGTGGCACGATCTCGGCTCACTGCAATCTCCGCCTGCAGGGTTCAAGTGATTCTCCTGCCTCAGCCCCCTGAATAACTGGGAGTGCAGGTGCACACCACCATGCCCAGCTAATTTTTGTATTTTTAGTAGAGACGGGGTTTCACCATGTTGGCCAGGATGGTCTCAATCTCTTGACCTCGTGATCCGCCCGCCTCAGCCTCCCAAAGTGCTGGGATTTACAGGTGTGATCCACCGCGCCCGTCCTCAGTGTCTCACTCTTAGAAGGACACCAGGCACTGGATTAGGGCCCACTCTACTCCAGTCTGACTTCATCTTAGCTTGATTATAGCTGCAAAGACCATATTTCTTTTTCTTTCTTTCTTTCTTTTTTTTTTTTTTTTTGAGGTGGAGTTTTGCTCTTGTTGCCCAGGCTGGAGTGCAATGGCGTGATCTCAGCTCACCGCAACCTCTGCCTCCTGGGTTCAAGTGATTCTCCTGCCTCAGCCCGAGTAGCTGGGATTACAGGCATGCGCCACCACGCCCAGCTAATTTTTTGTATTTTTAGTAGAGAGGGGGTTTCTCCATGTCGGTCCAGCTGGTCTCAGACTCCCAACCTCAGGTGATCCGCCGGTCTCAGCCTCCCAAAGTGCTGGGATTACAGGCGTGAGCCACCACGCCCGGCTGACCCTATTTCTAGATAAGGTCACATTCACAGATATGAGGGCACCAGGACTTGGACATATTTGGGGGGCACAATTCCACCTTCTGAGTCAGGCTGGAGTGAAGGGGATGGATGACACTCTGGGCCGGTTCCTGACTCTGGCAGGCAGCGACGTCAATTATGATATCACAAACTCTCAAAGTCCATTTCAGGAAGGGCTGCCTGCTTCTGGCAGAGATGGCTGGCTTAGCCCTGTCCCCCGCACCCCTGCCCCCTAGGCCAGCACCACCTCTCCTTCCTCTTCCCCTAGGACCTGGCTGCCTCTAGCATGTGCCTGACCCCATAGGGCACTGCAGTTTCCATCCAGATGTGTCTGTCCCTGGCTCCAGTAGGTTCCCGGGCACCCTGAGGATTTTTTTTTTTTTTTTTCAGATAGAGTCTCGCTCTGTCACCAGACTGGAGTGCAGTGGCACAATCTCGGCTCACCACAACCTCCGCTTCCCGGGTTTAAGTGATTCTCCTGCTCAGCCTCCCGAGTAGCTGGGATTACAGGTATGTGCCACCATCCCCGGCTAATTTTTGTATTTTTAGTAGAGACGGGGTTTCACCATGTTGGCCAGGCTGGTCTTGAACTCCTGACCTCAGGTGATCTACCCACCTTGGCCTCCCAAAGTGCTGGGATTACAGGCATGAGCCACCGCGCCTGGCCAACCCTGAGGATCTTTGCTCTGGGACCCAGCCTTGAGAGGGTTTGTTTTGAAGGAGAAGGTTTAGAAAACAGGAGAGGAGCCTTGAGGAAAAGAAAGGGTAAGAGGCTTGAGGGTCGGAGGCCAGGCAGGCTCTGGGGTGTCAGGGACCAGGGGCCCAGGAACTGAGGCTCAGCGACTTCCCCAGGTATCTAGAGCGAGGCTCCCCAGGAGCAGGGCTAGAGGCTCTGTCTGCAACAGGTCCCGGGACCCCACAGGAAACCACCTTCTCCCAGATCTGCCTGTGCCCTTGGGTGACCAGGTAGCTCCCGGCCCTGCTGAGCCTCATTTGAAAATCAGACTTGGCCAGGAGGGGTGGCTCACGCCTGTTATCCCAGCACTGTGGAGGCCAAAGCAGGCAGATCATGAGGTCAGGAGTTCAAGACCAGCCTGGCCAAGATGGTGAAACCCTGTCTCTACTAAAAATACAAAAATTAGCCAGGCGTGGTGGCAGGTGCCTGTAGTCCCAGCTACTCAGGAGGCTGAGGCAGAAGAATCACCTGAACCTGGGTGGTGGAAGTTGTGGTGAGCTGAGATCGCCATTGCACTCCAGCCTGGGCGACAGAGTGAGACTGTCTCAAAAAAAAAAAGAAAATCAGACTAAGCCGGGCACGGTGGCACATGCCTGTAATCCCAGCATTTTGAGAGACCGAGGCAGGAGGATTGCTTGAGCTTAGAAGTTCAAGACCAGCTTGGGCAATGTAATGCCCCCATCTCTACAAAATAAAAACAAAAAATTATCTGAGTGTGGTGGCACGTACCTGTAGTTCCAGCTATTCCAGAGGCTGAGGCGGGAGGACCGCTTGAGCCCAGGAGGTTGAGGCAGCATTAAACGCTGATCTCACCATAGCAGTCCAGCCTGGACAACAGAGTGAGACCCTATCTCAAAAAAACAAAGAAAGAAGAAAATTGGACTCACATGAGTCTCTCTCAGGGGGTGCCTGGGAGAATGAGGGGGTCATCGGTGCCCAGCAGTGACCGGGAGCAGGGCCAGCCATGAGGAGGCACTGGCGGCCACCACGCCAGGGTCAAAGAAGGGCTCACTGAGGTCCACCAGGCCCATGCTGGGGACCACAAGACACACCCTCTGGGCATTTCTCTTGTGTTTTGTGTGTCCTCGCCAAGTCGGCCGAGGGACCCCCATCTGGATGCGAGCTCCTCGACGGCCCGTTTCTCTGGAGCCTTCTCATCCGGCCCCCCAGGGTTTCTGTGAAGGCAGATCATGGCCGGGAAGCTCCAGAGCAAGGCTGTGCATGTGAAGAGCCAGCCCAGAAAGGGCTCACAGCTGCCCCAGGACCTCCAAGCCTCCTGGTCTCCCCAGAGAAGGCCTGGGGGCGCGAGGGACCTTGGGCTCTGGCGAGGGTCCTCTGCCACCCCTCTGTACCCTGCCTCCCCGCTAAGGCTGCCATGGGCCCACTGGGCACAGAGAGCAGAGCTGCCCCTGGACCTTGGGGCTCTGTGCTCCCTGTCCACCCCCAGCAGGGCACCGGTGCATCACAGAGCTCCAGCCTGAGCCTGCGTCCAACATGGAGAAGGAAGTCCCAGAGCCTTGGTCGGTGGGACCCAGGGCCCACCCTTCCTGCACCACCTCGTTCTGCAGACCTACACACTGGGACACCATCACGAGCCCTGAACTCCAGAGCAGACCCAGCAGGGCCGGGAGCGCAGAGCCTGGACAGCGGCCACCTGGTTCTCCCGATGCTGCTCAGTGAAGGCAGCAGCAGGACCAGATCAGTCCCACCTGAGAACGGCCACCGGGGCCGTCTGTTGAAAGGTGGCTTGGACGGGCGTGGTGGCTCACGCCTGTAATCCCAGCACTTTGGGAGGCCAAGGAGGGTGGATCACTTGAGGTCAGGAGTTGGAGACTAGCCTGGGCCAACATGGTGAAACCCCATCTCTACTAAAAATACAAAAATTAGCCAGGCGTGGTGGTGCACGCCTGTAATCCCAGCTACTAGGAAGGCTGAGGCAGGAGAATTGCTTAAACCCGGGAGGCGAGATCGCGCCGCTGCACTCCATCCAGTCTGGGTGACAGAGCGAGATTCCATCTCCAAAAAAAAAAAAAAAAAAGGAGGCTGGGCACGGGGGCTCACGCCTGTAATCCCAGCACTTTGGGAGGCTGAGGCGGGCAGATCATGAGGTGAGGAGATGGAGACCATCCTGGCCAACACGGTGAAACCCCGTCTCTACTAAAAATAGAAAAAATTAGCCAGGCGTGGTGGCGGGCGCCTGTAGTCCCAGCTACTCAGGAGGTTGAGGCAGGAGAATGGCATGAACCTGGGAGGCGGAGCTTGCAGGGAGCTGAGATCGCACCACTGCACTCCAGCCTGGGTGACAGAGTGAGAGTCCGTCTCAAAAAAAAAAAAAAGAAAGAAAGAAAGGTGAGCCCTGGGCTGTCCTGCTAGGTAATCCCACCAGCCCTGAGGCAGCCACCATGATGCTGCTGTCCAAATGAGCACCAGAGGTCCCTCGTCCAAGGCCCCCCAGCTGTGGACAGAGCCCAGGCAGCCTGACTCAAACACTGCACCTGCTGGCTTTGGGGTTGCCACGTGGGAAAGTGCCACACGAGGTGGGCGGGGCCTCCCCAGGGGTGCAGTCTGGGACCAATGGCCTGGCCGGCTGGTCTCTGCATGGTCCACGCGCTCGGCTGCACTTGGTTCTGAGGTCTCAAATACACATCGATGCCTCAGTGGTGGTTTCCACCACCTTCCTTCTTACCACCACCCGCTCCTCGTTGTGGGCCCTGGACTCGAGGCCAGTTGGGGAAGCCTGGGCTTGGGGAAAGGGGCATTGTGGGGGTGTCTAGGTGTCCTAGCGTCCAGATGTCCAGGCTCCAAGTGTTCAGACGCCTGGGTTCCCAGGTGTCCAGACGTCCAGGTCCTGCTTGGACTGTCACCTCCTTCCGGGACATAGACCCTGCATTCATAGAGTGGGGGCCCCATGAACCTCCAGCTTCTGATTGACATCTAATTTCCAGATGAGGTCATCCTGAACTTAGGCTGGGCCCTAAATCCGATGACACTTAGGCATCGGAGAAAGGGAAAGCCAGAGGATGACTGAGACCCAGAGCGGAGAAGGCGCGTGGAGGTGGAGGCAGAGGCTGGAGCCATGCGGGGCTGCAAGTCCAGGAGCACCTGTGGCCCCCAGAAGCTGGAAGAGACCAGGAAGGATTCCCCCAACCCCGCCTCCCCGGGCGCCTCCAGAGGGAACACGGCCCTCAGGCACCTTGATTCTGGACTTGCGGCCTCCAGGCCTGTGAGAGAATGGAATTTTGTTGTTTTACATGAACAACTTTGTAGAAATTTGTGACAGCAGTTTAGGAAGGTAAAACAACACTGCTTTTACACCTCAAAGGCATAGAAGGTTATACAGTGCAGGGACCCTCCAGGCACCATTCCCCTCCCATCTGGTTTTAGCAAAGTCCCACACACAGCATGGGGGTGGCACCTCACCTTTGTCCCGGAGCAGCACCTAGAAAGTCTTTAACCACTTGTCCACGTAATCTCCTTCTTCTCGATGGCTACCAGGCTGCATGGCCTCGGCTCACCTCTCCCTTACCCAGCCGCCCCCTCCCAGGCATTTAGCCTGTGTCCAGCCCCAGGAGCCGCCGGCACCTTCCCACAAATGTCCTGCCTCTACATCGTGGCACCCTGGTGGGACTCGGTGGTGGGAGAGATCCCTGGAAGTAGAATTGCTGGGTGAAGAGCATTTTATTGGTTGAGGGTGGCTGGATGAGTCTCTCCAGCAGTCACAGGCACCTCCCTTCCCACCCCCAGCTGGACGACTTCACAGGAAGGACTGAAGAACGGGGGGCCTGCAGCCCAGGGCAGGCCTGGCTGTGGCACCTGGCACACGGGGTTTCCTGTGGGGCTGGCACTCACCACAGCCCCTGCCCACGGGTTGGAGCGCTCTGGCAGCAGGACTCTGTGGCCATGAAGGCGGGAGGGAGGGCTTGGCTCGCTCCCCAGGCGTGTTGATGGACACGCAATTAACCTGCCTGTGGTTATGTTGGCACTGAACTGGAACAGGAAGTTAGCATATAAACCAGAGCCTTTCAAGTTATGACAAATTCATCAAACAAATGAACCCGTGAGCACAGAGGGCGGTGTGCGTCCAGCCTCTGTGCGCTCCGGTGGAGATAAGCGTCCACTCTGCTGGGAGGACCAAGGCCCTTTCCAGCCTTTCCCCTGAGCTCCAGGCCCGTGTCTTTCTGGCCCCAAACAGAACCATGCCCGGGGCAGAGACGGGGGCTGGTCTGGAGCAGACACAGGCAGGTGGTCACGTCCCACCAGTGACTCCACACATCTCTCTGGGCCTCAATTTCCCCAGCTCTCTGGGGAGAGGCCGCTTCCATGATTGGCCCGGCAATGTCTGATTTCCCTTCTGAGTTCCAGACGCCAGCTTTGACCCAGTCCTGCTAAAACCCGACAGCATCCCAGCTGACCCTGCTGTGAGAGCAGCTTCCAGAGCCGGTTCCCTCCTGGGGCGGCGTGCTTAGCAACACCCAGGGGGCAGCCCTCCCTGGCCTCCGTGCCAGCCTGTGCTCAGCGATGGTGCTTATCGGGCCGGGGAGTGTCCTTTAAGTCAGGGGTCCCCAACCCCTGGGCCACGGACCTGTTGGTGTCCTGTTAGGAACCGGACTGCACGTCAGCAAGTGAGCTGCGGGTGAGTAAGCGTCCCCGCCTGAGCTCCGCCTCCCGTCAGATCAGCGGTGGCGTTGGATTCTCATAGGCGCGGAACCTGAGAACCCTATTGTGAACTGCGTGTGTGAGGGATCTGGGCTGCACCCTTCTTATGAGACTCTAATGCCTGATGATCTGAGGTGAAACAGTTTCATCCCGAAACCACCACCACCCTCACTGCCCATGGAAAGATTGCCTTTCACGAAACCCATCCTGGGTGCCAAACAGGTTGGGGACCGCTGCTTTAAGTTGTAAGCCCAGCACAGGTTTCTAAATGGCCCCACGCTGCGGCAGAGCTGGGACGGCGGCCTCCAGGCAGGGGCGCCTGCAGGTGCCCGTTCAGGTGGGGGCCTCTGGTCAACCCCTTCACTGGATATGAAGGAACTGAGCCTGGGAGCTCTTGGCTCTCACTCAGGGTTACTCAGCTCACACTGCGGGCAGCGCTGGGACTGGGGGAAGCCCCCTCGCAGACCTCCTGGGCAGCCCAGGAAGAGCCGCTCTGGCCTTCCCAGCCTGTTGGACCCGAGACCTCAGGCCACTGCGGTGCTGAGGTCAGAAGAAGCAAGACAGGAGCCTCTCTTGGGGCTGAGGCTGGAGGCTGGTGGTGTCGTGAAAGGGTCCCCAAGCCAGTGTCCCCTAGCTGTCACGAGGTGAGGGGGTATCATCCCTGGGCAGGGCTCCTGCACCCCTGCCCTGTCCTGTGTCTGTGGCGCTGCCAGCAGCCCCTCCTGTCCCCAACACAGCCCCTGTCCTGGCTGCCCCCGTGCAGGTCCAGGCCCCTCCCTGGCTGTTGAACTCAGACACCACACCCAGGTGTCTGGGATTGATGGTGCAGGAGGAAGCACCTTGGGCCTGTTACAGATGCGGTTCCACCCGCTGTGGACCGGCCCTGGGTCCCCCCAAGAGGTACACTGAAGTCCTGATCCCCAGCGCCTGAGACTGCGGCCTTATTTGGAAACAGGGTCTTTGCAGATGTGACCGAGTGAAGATGAGAGAACCTGCCTGCGGCTGTGTTGGCAGCTGAACTGGAAGAGAATTTCGTTTTATTACCAAGGCCCTGATCCAGTGACTCTCATCCTTATAGAGGGACATTTTCACACAGGGACACTTGGAGGGGAGAGAAGGCTGCGTGAAGATGGAGTCAGAGATGGGAGTGGCGTCCACAAGGGTCGCTGGGAGCCACCAGGAGCTGGGGGAGAGGCCTGGGCCAGGTTCTCCTGCAGAGCCTCAGACAGAACCAGCCCTGCCGACATCTTGGCCTCAGGCTTCAGGCCTCTAGAGCCACAAGAAAATGAATTTCTGTTGTGGTTTTTTTGGTTTTTTGGAGACGGAGTCTCGCTCTGTCACCCAGGCTGGAGTGCAATGGCGCAATCTCAGCTCACCACAACCTCCTTCCCAGGTTCAAGTGATTCTCCTGCTTCAGCCTCCTGAGCAGCTGGGATTACAGGCATACGCCACCACGCGCAGCTCATTTTTTGTATGTCTAGTAGAGATGGGGTTTCTCCATGTTGGTCAGGCTGGTCACGAACTCTTGACCTCAGGTGATCCACCCGACTCGGCCTCCCAAAGTGCTGGGATTATAGGCGTGAGCCACCTCGTCCGGCCAAATTTCTGTTGTTTGAAGCCCTCAGTTTGTGGTGGTTTGGTACGGCAGCCGCAGGACATGCATACGACCCCCTCCCGTTTTCCCTTCCCTTCCCTTTAGTAGGAGCCAAGGAACCAGCTAGCACCTTGCATGGTGGGAGGAGAGATAGGAGGTCGGGGAGCAAGGCATGCGATCAGGGGAGCAGGGAGGAGGCATCCTGGGGAGGTGGAGCCGCTTCTTCCCATGGGCGAGGGGGGTCACAAAGAAGGAGGCGCCTGGCTGTGTTGGTCAGTGGGGATGAGGGTCCTAACCAGACATGGAAAGGAGGAGGCTGGAGTCAGCTCTCTGGTGCTGGACTACAGTTACAGTATTGGTGCGAATGCGTGTGGCTTTTCTTTTTCTTTTTTTTTTGAGACGGAGTCTTACTGTGTCACTCAGGCTATAGTGCAATGGCGTGATCTCAGCTCACTGCAACCTCCGCCTCCCGATTCAAGAGATTCTCCTGCCTCAGTCTCCTGAGTAGCTGGGATTACAGGCATGCGCCACCACGCCCAGCTAATTTTTGGATTTTTAGTAGAGGCGGGGTTTCACCACGTTGGCCAGGGCTGGTCTCAAACTCCTGACCTTGTGATCTGCCTGCCTCGTCCTCCCAAAGTTCTGGGATTACAGTTATGAGCCACTGCACCCAGTCTCTCTCTCTCTCTTTTTTTTTTAAGGGTCTCACTCTTGTTGCCCATGCTGGGGTGCAGTGGCAGGATCAAGGCTCACTGTAACCTCCAACTCCTGGGCTCAACTGATCCTCCCTCCTCAGCCTCCTGAGTGGCTTGGACTACAAGCATGAGCCACCATGCCCGGCTTCATGCTTTTTCATATAGTAGATGGATATAGCGAGGTAGAGGCGTGTGTGTGTGTGTGTGTGTGCACAGTTCCTAGCTCTGCCTGTCAGAAGGACCCAGAAACAATGAAGTCTCAGTAGTCATGTGCACACCCGGTGCCCTGCCCAGATCTAAATTCCGTTTCCCACTAACAGGAACAGGGGTTCTTTGGAGAGAAGGCTACATCCAGGGCTGGGGCAGGGAATGTTTGAGATGAGCCTGGGATATCCTGTTGTGCCAGAAAGTCAGGAAGCACCCAAGGAAACAGGCTGGGCGTGGTGGCTCATGCCTGTAATCCCAGCACTTTGGGAGGCCAAGGTGGGAAGATTGCTTGAGCCCAGGAATTTGAGAACAGCCTAGCCAACATGGCAAAACCCCGTCTCTACAAACAAACACACACAGAAAATTAGCTGAGCACGGTCTGTATTAGTCTGTTATTACGCTGCTAATAAAGACATACCTGAGTCTGGGTAACTTATAAAGGAAAGAGGTTTAATGGACTCACAGTTCCACATGGCTGGGGAGGCCTCACAATCGTGGTGGAAGGTGAAGGAGGAGCAAAGTCTCGTCTCACATGGAGGCAGGCAGAGAGCGTGTGCAGGGGAACTCCCCTTTATAAAACCATCAGATCTCGTGAGACTTATTTACTACCTCATGAAAACAGCACAGGAAAGACCCAACCCCATGATTCAATTCCTCCCACTGGGTCCTTCCCTCCATGCAGGGGAATTATGGGAACTACAATTCAAGATGAGATTTGCGTGGGGACACAGCCAAACCATATCAGTGTCACATGTCTGTGGTCCCAGGTACTCGGGAGGCTGAAGCAGGAGGATCGCTTGAGCTGGGGCAGTCGAGGCTGCAATGAGCCAAGACTGCACCACTGCACTCCAGCCTGGGCAACAGAGTGAGACCATCTTAAAATAAATAAATAAAAGAGGCCGGGTGCGGTGGCTCACGCCTGCAATCCCAGCACTTTGGGAGGCCGAGGCGGGTGGATCATGAAGTCAGGAGATCGAGACGATCCTGGCTAACACGGTGAAACCCCATCTCTACTAAAAATATAAAAAATTAGCTGGGCGTGGTGGTGGGTGCCTGTAGTCCCAGCTACTCGGGAGGCTGAGGCAGAAGAATGGTGTGAAGCCGGGAGGCGGAGCTTGCAGCGAGCCGAGATCGTGCCACTGCACTCCAGCCTGGGCAACGCACCTCAAAAAATAAAAATAAATAAAAATAAAAAATAAATAAATAAATAAAAGATGGAGATGTGTCAAAAGGCAAGAGATGGCTCAAGGGGCTTCCCTCTGGCGAAACCTAGAAAAATTTATACATAAATGGGGGGTGCAGCAGAAGGAATAATGGAATTAGAAAACTTCCATTTGGCATGGCTGGGCATGGTGGCTCACACCTGTAATCCCAGCACTTTTGGAGGCTGAGGCAGGTGGGATCAGCTGAGGTCAGTAGTTAGAGACCAGCCTGGCTAACATGGTGACACCCTGTCTCTACTAAAAATACAAAAAATTAGCTGGACATGGTGGTAGGCACCTGTAATCCCAGTGGCTCAGGAGGCTGAGGCAGGAGAATCACTTGAACCCGGGAGGCAGAGGTTGCAGTGAGCCGAGACTATGCCACTGTACTCCATCCTGGGTGACAAAAGTGAAAGTCCATCTCAAAAAAAAAAAAAGTGGGCCTGGCACGGTGGCTCACGCCTGTAATCCCAGCACTTTGGGAGGCAGAGGTGGGCAGATTACAAGGTCAGGAGTTAGAGACCAGCCTGGCTAATATGGTGAAACCCTGTCTCTACTAAAAATACAAAAAATTAGCCGGGGGTGGTGACGGCGCCTGTAGTCCCAGCTACTCAGAAGGCTGAGGCAGGAGAATCGCTTGAACCAGGAGGCAGAGGTTGCAGTGAGCCGAGATCGCGCCACTGCACTCCAGCCTGGGCCACAGAGCAAGACTCCGTAAAAAAAAAAAACAAAACAAACAAGCAAAAAAACAAAAACAGAGAATTTAAAAAGGTGGTAAAATATGAACGCTTGGCGATTCTGGGTGACTGGGATCTAGCAGCTCTTTGTACAATTCTAACCACTTTTTTGTAAGTTGGAAGTCATTCAAAAGCATGAAGCTACAAATAACAAAACCCTGTTTAGGTATGAAAAGACAAAGTACAGACTGGAAGAAGATTTCTGTAAACCACAGATATCAAACCAAGGGCTAGTATCTAAAATATGTAAAGAATGCTTAAAGCTCAAAGGTGAAAAAACAAACAATTCAATTGGAAAGTGAGCTAAAGACATGAACAGACATTTCACTAGAGAGGTTATACAGATGGCAAATAAGCACGTGAAAAGATGTTCAACATCATCAGTGGTCAGGAAAATGCAAACTAAAAAACACAGTGAGATACCAGCACACGCCTATCAGGATGGTTAAAGTAAAAAATAGTCATGAAACCAAATGTTGGCAAGGATGTGGAGAAACCGAATTACTTGTGTGTTACTGGTGGGAATGTAAAATGACACAACCTCTCCAGAAGATAGTTTGGCAGTTTCTTTAAAAATTAAACATATTGGAGAAACCCCATCTCTACTAAAAATACAAAAATTAGCACGGCATGGTGGTGCATGCCTGTAATCCCAGCTACTCAGGAGGCTGAGAAAGGAGAATCACTTGAACTTGGGAGGCGAAGGTTGTAGTGAGTGGAGATCGCGCCACTGCACTGCAGCCTGGGTGACGGAGTGAGACTTCATCTCAAAAAAAAAAAAAAAAAAAAAAATTAAACTTGTAACTACTAAACAGCCCTGCAATTGTATTCCTAGGCATTTGTCCCAGAGCAAAGATTTATGTTCACACAAAATCCTGAACATCAATGTACACAGCAGCTCTGTTCATAAGAGCTGAAAGCAGAAAGAACCCAGATGCCTTTCAGTGGGTGAATGGTCAAAGACACTGTGGTACCTCCACACCCTGGAATATCACTCAACAAAGAAATGAATGAGCTCTTGGCCAGGCACGGTGCCTCACGCCTGTAATCCCAGCACTTTGGGAGGCCGAGGCGGGCGGATCATTTAAGGTCAGGAGTTCGAGACCAGCCTGGCCAATATGGCAAAACCCCATCTCTACTAAAACTACAAAAATTAGCCGGGTGTGGTGGTGGGTGCCTGTAGTCCCAGCTACTTGGGAGGCTGAGGCAGGAGAATCACTTGAACCCGGGAGACAGAGGTTGCAGTGAGCTGAGATAGCGCCACTGCATTCCAGCCTGGGTGACAGAGTGACACTCTGTTTCAAAAAGAAAGAGAGAAAGAGAGAGAGAGAGGAAGGGAATGAGGGAGGGAGGGAAGGAGGAAGGAAGGAAGGAAGGAAGGAAGGAAGGAAGGAAGGAAGGAAGGAAGGAAGGGGCTCTTGACACCGCAGCCCGGATGGATTTCCAGAGAATTATGCTAAGAGAAAACAGCCCATCCCACCACGGGGCTCAGGAGAGGATGGAGGGCTGGTGGGTGTGGCTGTAAACAGGTGACACCGAGACCCTTGTGGCGATGGAAAGCCTGGGTGTCTTGGCGATCCCTATGCCAGTATCCTCGCTATCCTTGCTGGGGCATTGTAGTACAGTTCTGCAAGATGTTACCATTGGGGGAAATGGGGAAAAGGGTATGTGGGATCACTGTGTTAGTTCTATTTTTTTTTTTTTTTTGAGACGGAGTTTCACTCTTGTTGCCCAGGCTGGAGTGCAGTGGTGCAATCTCGGCTCACCGCAACCTCCGCCTCCCAGGTTCAAGCGATTCTCCTGCCTCAGCCTCCTGAGTAGCTGGGATTAGAGGCACGTGCCACCACGCCCAGCTAATTTTGTATTTTCAGTAGAGATGGGGTTTCTCCATGTTGGTCAGGCTGGTCTCAAACTCTCGACCTCAGGTGATCCTCCCGCCTTGGCCTCCCAAAGTGCTGGGATTACAGGCATGAGCCACCATGCCCAGCCTACTGTGTTATTTCTGATAACTGCATGTGAATCTACAATTATTCCAAATGAAAAAGCTTACCAAAAAAATCCTGGTGTGTTTGTGTGTGTGTGTGCACGTGTTCACGTGCATGTGTGTGCGTGTGTGATTTTACATAATTGCTACATATTGTTGGCCAAGGCTCTGCCTATTGGCAAATTCCCAAGTCGATTCTGAGACTAATGCTCAGGAGAACTCCCGGGTCTACAGAGAAGATGAAGATGCGTATCTTCCCAAGTCCTCCACCTCCACTAGGCCACGACCTCCCACTGCAATTCCACTTCTGTTATTTGAGAATGTGCTGGGAGCCAGGCACTGGGCTGGAGCCGGGAATACACAGCAGGCGGGACCTGCTGTCACGTGCAGCTCCCAGGCTAGGAGGGGACGCAGACGAGGTTGGTGCACAAAGACAGTCCAGGAAGCAAGGCCAGTTCCCAGGGACCACAGTCCCCCCAGCCCCAGCTTCCATCCCCCATGCCTCGCAACCCCACCCCCGCCACAACCGCATGGGGCTGTCTTTTACTCTCATGGGACCCCTGCTCAGACCAAGTTCATCATCACCCCACACCCAGCCAGAACCTGGGATCCAGTTTCCAATCATCACCTGTTCACCCCTCACTTACCAAGGCTTGGTGTGAGGACCTCCAGGAAGGGACCTCAAGTGCACAGCAGGTGAGCAGTGGCCCCGCGTGGAGCAGAGCACGGAGCAGTGGCTCTTTGTCCGCCACTGCCTCCACCACGCCCCTGCTGCCCTTTAGCCCGCACTGCCTTGACCACTCACACACTGGGAAAACCAGGAGAAAGTTACACTGATGCCTCTGAGTAAGGTTCCCCAGGAACCTGCACCAGAATCACTAAGGGAGCCTATTCTGCCAGCTTCCTGGGCCCCCACCCCAAGTGAAGAAACCAAATTTCCTGGCTGGGAATCAGAATTTAACAGGAGCTCTCCCAGAAGAATCCCACCTGTGGACAGGAGTCTCCGCAGCGTGACTCTCGCCCCTGGGGCTTTGGACTCTGCCGCAGAGTGACAGAAATTCAGAAAACGTTTCCCTCATGTAGCAATTTGACAACAAAACATGTTCACCAGGCTTGCCACAGTGGCTCACGCCTGTAACCCCAGCACTGTGGGAGGCCGAGGCGGGCGGATCACGAGGTCAGGAAATCGAGACCAGCCTGGCCAACATGGCGAAACCCCGTCTCTACTAAAAATACAAATAATTGGCCAGTCGCAGTGACTCTCGCCTGTAAACCCAGCACTTTGGGAGGCCGAGGCGGGCAGATCACGAGGTCAACAGATCGAGACCAGCCTGGCCAACATGATGAAACCCCGTCTCTATTAAAAATACAAACAAACTTGTAATCCCAGCACTTTGGGAGGCCAAGGCGGGCGGATCACGAGGTCAGGAGATCGAGACCAGCCTGGCCAACATGGTGAAACCACATCTCTACTAAAAATACAAAAGTTAGCTGGGCTTGGTGGTGCATGCCTGTAGTCCCAGCTACTTGGGAGGCTGAGGCAGGAGAATCACTTGAACCCGGGAGATGGAGGTTACAGTGAGCCGAGATCACGCCATTGCACTCCAGCCTGGGTAACACAGCGAAACTCCGTCTTAAAAAAAAAAAAATACAAACAGGCCGGGCGCGGTGGCTCGCGTCTGTAATCCCAGCACTTTGGGAGGCCGAGGCAGGCGGATCACGAGGTCAGGAGATCGAGACCATCCTGGCTAACACGATGAAACCCCGTCTCTACTAAAAATACAAAAAATTAGCCGGGTGTGGTGGCGGGCGCCTGTAGTCCCAGCTACTCGGGAGGCTGAGGCAGGAGAGTGGCGTGAACCCGGGAGGTGGAGCTGGCAGTGGGCCAAGATGGCGTCACTGCACTCCAGCCTGGGTGACAGAGCGAGACTCCATCTCAAAAAATAAAATAAAAATAAAAATACAAACAATTAGCTGGGCGTGGTGGCGCATGCATCAAACAAAACAAAACAAAACAAAAAAACGCCACCAGGCCCACATGGTCTCAAATAATTTTTTTTTTTTTTTTGAGATGGAATCTCGCTCTGTCGCCCAGGCTGGTGTGCCGTGGCGTGATCTTGGCTCACTGCAAGCTCCGCCTCCCGGGTTCAAGTGATTCTCTGTCTTCAGCCTGCCAAGTAGCTGGGACTACAGGTGCCCACCACTGCACTGGGCTAATTTTTTGGTTTTTTAGTAGAGATGGGGTTTCACCATGTTAGCCAAGATGGTCTCGATCTCCTGACCTTGTGATCCACCCACCTCTGCCTCCGAAATTGCTGGGATTACAGGCGTGAGCCACCGCGCCCGGCCGACCAGGCTGGTCTTGAACTCCTGGCCTCAAGCAGTCCTCCCGCCCTCCCAAAGTGTTGGGAGAGATTACAGGCGTGAGCCACTGCACCTGGCTCTTACTCTTAATTTCCAAGTGATCTCATTATAGTCAAAGAATGTGAACGGTATGGTTTCTGCTTGTAACCTATTGAGATTTATCTGTTTTTTTTTTTTTGAGACAGAGTTTCACTCTTGCTGCCCAGGCTGGAGTGCAATGGCGCGATCTCGGCTCACGGCAACCTCCGCCTCCCGGATTCAAGCGATTCTTCTGCTTCAGCCTCCCGAGTAGCTAGGATTACAGGCATGCACCACCAAGCCTGGCTAATTTTGTATTTCTTTTCAGTAGAGACGGGGTTTCTCCACGTTGGTCAGGCTGGTCTCGAACTCTTGACCTCAGGTGATCCATCAGCCGTGGCCTCCCAAAGTGCTGGAATTACAGGTGTGAGCCACCACACCCGACCTGAGATTTCTTTTGTGGTCCAATAAATGATCAATTCTGGGGACTGATTTATGTGTGAAAATAATATAGTCTCTGTTCACTGATTATAAAGTTCCATTATATAGATCTGTTGGATCAAGTTTGTTATTTGTTTTTCTTTTTTTTCTTTTCTTTTTTTCTCTTTTTTTTTTTTTTTGAGATGGAGTCTCTCTCTGCAGCCCAGGCTGGAGTGCAGTGGGACAATCTTGGCTCACTGCAAGCTCTGCCTCCTGGGTTCACGCCATTCTCCTGCCTCAGCCTCCCGAGTAGCTGGGACTACAGGCGCCTGCCACCATGCCTAGCTAATTTTTTTTTTTTTGTATTTTTTAGTAGAGACGGGGTTTCACCCTGTTAGCCAGGATGGTGTCCATCTCCTGACCTCATGATCCGCCCGCCTTGGCCTCCTAAAGTGCTGGGATTACAGGCGTGAGCCACCGCGCCCGGCCTATTTGTGCTTTTCAAATCTATTATATCCCTAATTGCTTTGGGTCCGCTTGGTGTCTCAATGTCTGAGACCAAATGTGGATTTATTAATAGTGTACTTCTATAATTTTTTGCTCTGTTTTGAAGATATGTTGGTTGGTCCACAGTAGTTCACAATTGGTGTGGCCGACTCTGTAGAAAGAGGCTTGTCACCTACTCCCACCCTTCTCTTTGCCTTCCTCTTCTCTACTCAAGGGAAATGCCCAGATTCCTGGTCTCCCTCACAGATAGGGGTGTCCACATAACCTGGTTCTGGCCAAGGAGATGTAGGCAGAAAGAGAGAAGCTTTGTGGGGATGGCCTGTTGCCTCAGCTCTTCCTTCTTCTTCTGGAACAGGATATCATAACTAGGGGGGCGGCAACCATCCTGTAACCACGAGGACAGAAGCCGAAAGCCACCAAGAGACAGAACCCTTATCTGAGATGATGTCACCAGTGGCTGCATTCACCTTGGACTACTACCCCCTTCCATTGCACTGCGTGAGACAAACCCGTGCGCTGGGAAGTTTTCTGTCATTTGCAGCTGGTCGGTTACAGAAGCAGCCCATCCAGCTGGCGTATCTCTGTGAGGGTTGTAGCGGAAATCATATAGGTTTCTACCCATCCCATGTTTTTGGTCTTTATTTCTTTGGGTCTTTTATTAATATTACGATAGCTGCTCTTTTTTTGCTAGCATTTGTCTGTTTTTATTGAAGGATAATAAACATATATCAAAGTACGCCTATTTTCAATATACTGCCCTGTGAATGCTCACATAATGAACACACCCGTGCAGCCTACACCTAGGTCAAAAAACAGGACCTTTGTGTGGGGTGACTTTTTCCCTCTTTCCAGTTTCAGTGTTTCTGCAGTATCTTCTACTGGGAGGTGTGTGCAGGTCACAGAGCCTCTGCCTCAAACGGGCCTCCATGATCAAGAAGCAGAACGTTTCACAAGACTGAGGTGGGCAGGTGCAGGGGCAGCACTCAGAGGCCCCAGCGCCTCCTGGTCCTGAGTCCTTCCACCTCTCAGCTCTGACTCAGGACAGGAGCAAGTCAGCTGACAGGCGCTGCGGCAGAGGCAGGCGTCCCACTTACACCCGGGGGATCCAGAGGAAGGGGAGAGCATCTCCTTCAGCAGCCCTGGGGCACACGGCCCTTGTGTCCAGCGTGCAACTCTTGCCCCACATCCACCCATCCTGGCTGTGACCATGGTCACCGTGATTGACCCGGGCCCCACTTGGCACTGATGAAGTCTAAGGACCCCTTCTGAAAAGTGTTTTTTAAAATAAAGTATATAGGATTATAAAGAGAACCAATTACACTGCAATACAATAATAAATGTATATGAGTTTGCATATATATATATATATATATTTTTTTTTTTCTTGTCTTGCTTTCTTTCTTAATTTCTTTTTTGAGACAAGGTCTTGCTCTGTTGCCCAGGCTGGAGTGCAGTGGCACAATCATGGCTCACTGCAGCCTGGAACTCCTGGCCTCAAGCAATCCTCCTGCCTCAGCCGCCTAAGTATCTGGGACTACAGGCACGCACCACCATGCCTAGCTAATTTTTAAATTTTTTGTAGAGACACAGGGGCTCCCCATGTTGCCCACGCTGGTCTTGAATTCCTGGACTCAAGCAATCTTATTTCCGCAGCCTCCCAAAGCACTGGGATTACAGCATGAGCTACCACACCCTGCCCCTGCATATATTTTTTATACTTGTACACATTAATGCATATTAATTATACATATTAATGCATCACAAAAGTTCTGGTACATGCAATACATGTGTTTGTGATGAACAGAAACAGTATTTTGAGATATCTGTGGCCAGCTGCAGTGGCTGACGCCTATAATTCCAGCACTTTGGAGGCCGAGGCAGGTGGATTACTTGAGATCAGGAGTTTAAGACCAGCCTGGCTGGCTGGGCGTGGTGGCTCACGTCTGTAACCCCAGCACTCTGGGAGGCCGAGGTGGGCCGACCATGAGGTCAGGAGATCAAGACCATCCTGGCCAACATGGTGAAATCCCGTCTCTACTAAAAATACAAAAATAAGCCAGACGTGGTGGCGTGCGCCTATAGTCCCAGCTCCTTGGGAGGCTGAGACAGGAGAATCGCTTAAACCCGGGAGGCAGAGGTTGCAGTGAGCCGAGATGGCGCCACTGCACTCCAGCCTAGGCGACAGGGCAAGACTCCGTTTCCAAAAAAAGATATCTGCAACAATCGCAGCATGATTTGAGTCATTTTAGTTATTTTAGTTATGTCATACATTCATCACTGAAGGAAATGTCAAATTTTGGTTAGAGACCAGTGAAAATAAATAATGAGTTGGGGCTGATTAGAAAAAAAAAGAAAGTGGGGCGGGGTGAGGTGGCTCATGTCTGTAATCCCAGCACTTTGGGAGGTCAAGGAGGGAGGATCACTTGAGGCCAGGAGTTTCAGACCAGCCTGGAAAACATAGCAAGACCTCATCTCTACAAAGCAAACATGAAAAATTAGCTGGGTGTAGTGGCTCAAACCCTCTGGTCCCAGCTACTTGGGAGGCTGAGGTGGGAGGATTGCGTGACCCTGGGAGGTGGAGGCTGCAGTGACTCCTGTGCTGTACTACAGTGACCCTGCTGCTGTACTCCCTGTCTCAAAACACTCCACAAAACCAAACGAGCCCAATTTTTTATTTATTTATTTATTTATTTTTGAGACGGAGTCTTGCTCTGTCACCCAGGCTGGAGTACAGTGACGCGATCTCGGCTCACTGCAAGCTCCGCCTCCTGGGTTCACGCCATTCTCCTGCCTCGGCCTCCCAAGTAGCTGGGACTACAGGCGCCCGCCACCACGCCCGGCTAATTTTTTGTATTTTTAGTAGAGATAGGGTTTTACCGTGTTAGCCAGGATGGCCTCGATCTCCTGACCTCGTGATCCACCCGCCTCGGCCTCCCAAAGTGCTGCGATTGAGAGGTGACAGCGTGTGGCAGTCCTCACAGCCCTCGCTCGCTGTCGGCGCCTCCTCTGCCTGGGCTCCCACTGGCGGCACTTGAGGAGCCCTTCAGCCCGCCGCTGCACTGTGGGAGCCCCTTTCTGGGCTGGCCAAGGCCGGAGCCGGCTCCCTCAGCTTGCGGGGAGGTGTGGAGGGAGAGGCGCGAGAGGGAACTGGGGCTGCGTGCGTCGCTTGCGGGCCAGCTGGAGTTCCGCGTGGGCTTGGCGGGCTCCGCACTCGGAGCAGCCGGCCGGCCCTGCCAGCCCCGGGCAATGAGGGGCTTAGCACCCGGGCCAGCGGCTGCGGAGGGTGTGCTGGGTCCCCCAACAGTGCCGGCGCACCGGCGCTGCGCTGGATTTCTCGCCAGGCCTTAGCTGCCTTCCCGTGGGGCAGAGCTGGGACCTACAGCCTGCCATGCCTGAGCCTCCCGTCCCCGCCCCGCGCCCCCCACCCGTGGGCTCCTGTGCAGCCCGAGCCTCCCCGACGAGCGCCACCCCCTGCTCCACGGCGCCCAGTCCCATCGACCACCCAGGGGCTGAGGAGCGTGGGCGCACGGCGCGGGATTGGCAGGCAGCTCCACCTGCAGCCCCAGTGCGAGATCCACTGGGTGAAGCCAGCTAGGCTCCTGAGTCTAGTGGGAACTTGAAGAACTTTATGTCTAGCTAAGGGATTGTAAATACACCAATCGGCACTCTGTATCTAGTCCAAGTTTTGTAAACACACCAATCAGCACCCTGTGTCTAGCTCAGGGTTTGTGAATGCACCAATCGACACTCTGTATCTAGCTACTCTGGTGGGGCCTTGGAGAACCTTTGTGTAGACACTCTGTATCTAGCTAATCGGGTGGGGACGTGGAGAACCTTTGTGTCTAGCTCAGGGATTGTAAACACACCAATCAGTGCCCTGTCAAAACAGACCACTGGGCTCTACCAATCAGCAGGATGTGGGTGGGGCCAGATAAGAGAATAAAAGCAGGCTGCCCGAGCCAGCAGTGCCAACCTGTTCTGGTCTGCTTACACGCTGTGGAAGCTTTGTTCTTTCGCTTTTTGCAATAAATCTTGCTACTGCTCACGCTTTGGGTCCACACTGCCTTTATGAGCTGTAACACTCACCCCGAAGGTCTGCAGCTTCACTCTTGAAGCCAGCGAGACCACGAGCCCACCGGGAGGAAGGACAACTCCAGACGCGCTGCCTTAAGAGCCGTAACACTCACCGCGAAGGTCCGCAGCTTCACTCCTGAGCCAGCGAGACCACGAACCCACCAGAAGGAAGAAACTCCGAACGCATCTGAATATCAGAAGGAACAAACTCCAGACACGCCGCCTTTAAGAACTGTAACACTCACCGTGACGGTCCACGGCTTCATTCTTGAAGTCAGTGAGACCAAGAACCCACCAATTCCAGATACAGGATTACAAGTGTGAGCCACCGTGCCCGGCCTCTATTTATTTTTTATAATTTTTGAGACAGAGTCTTACTTTGTTGTCCAGGTTGGAGTGCAATGACGCAGTCCTGGCTCACTGCAACTTCTGCCTCCCGGATTCAAGTGATTCTCCTGCCTCAGCCTCCTGAGTAGCTGGGATTACAGGCACCCGCCACCACGCCCAGCTCATTTTTGTATTTTTAGTAGGGACAGGGTTTCACCATGTTGGTCAAGCTGGTCTCAAATGCCTGACCTCAAGCAATCCACCCGCCTTGGCCTCCCAAAATGCTGGGATTACAGGCGCGAGCCACTGTGCCCAGCCCCAAAGCTTATTTTTATTTGTTCACATGAATGCAGTTTTCTTGGTTATTATTTCTGAATCTTCTTGTAAATTTTTGAATACTACCTAAAATTATGAGGAAGGAAGCAAAAATCTGAGTTCACTTCCCCAGATTCTTTTTTTAAAGAACAAAATCTCTTTTCTCTCTGAAGCTATTACTGGTGTTTTTGAACACTGTGTGTTCTGAAACTCTTGCTCAGTGCAAGTTACACAACTGTAGCAAATAGACCCCAAACGTAGCTGCCCATGCCAGCCCGCGGCTTATTTATCCCTGACCTGCCCAAGCAAGTGCTCCTGCGGGGTGGGGCCTGGTTGGGCCCCAGGCTGAAGGCTGCCCTGTCATCTTGCACATTTGTCTTCCACAGTCTCTCTGATGTGCCCATTTCAGCCATCAGAAGGGGGAACCCTAAAAGCCTCCTGGAAGGGTGACCTGCTCCTGAAACTGGTGCACACTGCTTCTGCCAGATTCTGTTGGACACCACGGTTACCCAGCCACACCTACTGCGAGGGAGCCTGGGAATGCAGACCAGCCAGGGGCCCCATGAGAAGGGGTAACGGCTTCTGTTGGACAGCCGGACGGCAGCCAGCCAGCCCTTGGCCTCCAGACATCTGTGAGACCCACCCTTCCTCCACACATCGTGTTAGAAAAAGTCACCATCATCTCCAGGGAGAAGACCCAGCCCAAAGCCTGCCTCTCTAGGATGGGCAGAGCCTTTCCGTGGGTCCCGATGACTGTCTTCCGGGTCCAACTGACAGATGATTCATTAAGCCATCTGCTCCCCTCCCCCCGCAACCTGAGCCTTCATCTGATCTTTGCCGTAGGCCTGCACACTTTTGTTGGACTGAGCTGCCTGAGTGACAGGCCTTGAACAGCCACCATCTTTTCTCCTACTGTTTGAGGCATAAACAGTGGCTTTTTCAACCTGGGAGTCCCAACTTTCTGGGGTAACTCTAATTGCAAACCGGCCCTCAATTTCTGGAAACAGTAGTCAAGCTACAGGGAATGAGTGCCTCGCGCTAACCTTCTGGCTCTTTCCTCCCTCTTCCCAGCGTTCCCAAGCCTTTACCTCGGCACACCAGGGGACGTGTGGCATCATCTTCAATTCACCACATCCGTTTCCCTGTATCCCCAAGTGCCAGGGCAGGTGTATCAGTCGGCTTTTGCCACAACAGTGCTGCATAACGACGACCTTAAAGCTTGGTGGCCGAGTCTCACGCTCACAGGGCTAGGGCCGACCTCCACCTGGCCAAGCCCCTGGCCTCCGGGTTCTGGGATGTGGGCTGGGCTGAGGTCCGCCCAGGTTTCTCGCTTCTTGGAGCCCCCGTCAGTTATCTGCGTTCTCCATTCTTCTCTGGGGCACAGCCTGCTTGTAGTGGGTCCCTGGCAAGCAGGAAGACCAGGCTGCCCTTGCTGGCACATTCCAAACCTTTGCCCATTTCAAATCTGCTACCTTCCCACTAGCCAGAGCACGTCACTCGCCAAGCCCAAAGTCAAGGGAGGAGAGCCCACCCACCACCTAGAGACCACAGCAAGCAGACGGATGTAAAATTCTGCTACGGGGGAGTGAAAAACCAATGATTAAATTGCTAATTGAATTGTAAGTTAAACTGCTCTGAGGCATAGACGCTGGTGTAAATGCCTAAACAAAAGAGAAGTGGATTTCTCTCTTGACAACCATGGCAGGGTTTCCGTTTGACAATGGCCTTGATTCTTGCAGTCACTCAGAGCCCTAGGCTGAGGGTGACTCTGCTGTCCTCAAGCGAAGCTTCCTGTGTCACCCTGGTTGTTGCCAGGCCCTGGGAAAGGAAAAGTTAATGGAGGGCCTTTTGGGCCAGTCACAGGAGAGGCACACGTCACTGCTGTCACCTCCACTGCAGGTGGCCACCTGGCCACACCCCTTGCCAGGGAACCTGGCAGATTCAGTCTAGCCCAGGCCAAGGAGGAGGGGCACCCAATCTCGCTGTACAGCGCCGGCTCTGCGCTAGTTAGTTCGCTCGTGTTAGTTCTTCAGTTTGTGGTGCGTCCTTGGGGTTGGTGATCCCAGCTTTGTGTGGGATCCCTGCTTGTCCATCAGCAGCACGTGGTCAGACACCTCAACTGTGGCTGACGGCTCAGAGCCCACGACTCCCCGCTCCCTCCAGGTGTTATTCCACAATGGGATCTCTTCTCTGTCCACTGCCTGTGCTGAGTGTACTCAGCCAAGGGTGAGGCTGCCCTCCCACAGACACCCCAGCCATCCCCCTCCCACTGTCCCAGGGCCCCTTGGCTCCTCTGGGAGCTGCCATCACCTGCCAGCAGGTTTCACTTCTGGGCACCAAGGCTGTCATTTCTTCCCTCCAGCGAGAGCAACGTCCCCACCCCCATCTCCCCAGGACTCCTCCAGATTTCTGGGCCACGGAGGGCACCCATCTTGTCCCTGCTGGTTGTAATGGACTTACAGTTTTTTTTTCTTTGTTTTTTTGGAGATGGAGTTTCACTCTCGTTGTTGCCCAGGCTGGAGTGCAATGGCGCAATCTCGGCTCACCACAGCCTCTACCTCCTGGGTTCAAGCGATTCTCCTGCCTCAGCCTCCTGAATAGTTGGGACTACAGGCATTCGCCACCAAGGCTGGCTAATTTTGTATTTTTAGTAGAGATGGGGTTTCTCCATGTTGGTCAGGCTGGTCCTGAACTCCTGACCTCAGGTGATCTGCCTGCCTCAGACTCCCAAAGTGCTGTGCTGGGATTACAGGCATGAGCCACTGTGCCTGGCCTCAGTTTTTTTTTTTTTTTTTGTCATCTCCAGGGACTGGAAACAGGAGAGGAGGGTGTCAGGAGGAACTGTATGGAGGGCTACCTTGATTAAATCCCTTCTCAGCCTCTAAACCCATTCAGGTCTCTGGCCTTGGCTGCTTAATCCCTGGGAGCCACACCATTAAGGCCATATTGATCTGGGTCTGTGGGCTGCAACCAGGGCTGGAGGAGGTCAGGATGCTAGGAGGTCCTCCCTGAGTCCCCCAGACCCTGGGGCTGCTGTGGGCCTCAGGGGACACAGCAGAGTGCCCGCCTCAGAATTCTGGTGACCCCTGGAGTGGGGAACCCCAGGGTGGAGTCTTAAAAGTTGCTGTCTAGTGGCTTTGGCAACAACAGTTGAGGGATCGTGGCTTTGGTGACAACAGTGCCAGGGACCTGAGGACTGAGAAGGCCCATGCTGGCCCGGCAGGACTCCAGCAGATCCTGGGATGTTTGTGACAAGACTGTGTTCCCTGGTGCTGGCTCCTCTGCCATGCTGTGCCTTATTTATGCCCAGGGCTCCACTTACCCTGCAGGGATGGACTGGACCCTGCAGGGAGAGGCCCTTTGAAATCTCACGGCCAGGGGCTGCTTTGCCTCTGTTTTTATTCTAGTTTGTGATTTCACTTTGACAAGGTTTGGAAACTTAGGAAAATGTGAGAAGCACGTTCCCTGAGGCCTGGGACTGCTGACACCCATATGTGCCTCCTTCTCAGTGAATTAAGACTGTGTCTATTACTTTTAAAGAAGATGCAGGACACAGCGGACCAAAGTCCTCCACCTAGAAACAGACAACCCGCTTTACATGTTTCTGTTACAGAGAAAGCGACACTCACCAGCTCTTTGGCATCCCAAAGGCAGTTTTGTCACTTTTTCCCCTGCCGTGGTGAAGGCAATCGGGGTAACAAGATAAGAAGGTCCAGGCATTCTCCACCCTTGCTGCCCTACAGGGCCTGACTGAGGGCACAGGAGGCCCTTCCCTCACCCCCTGCTCCAGGGGAGATGTGCGCTCCAGCCTGGAAGAAGACCCCCTCTGGGGAGGGCGCGGGGCACAGGCCAAGCCGCCTGGCTGTGCTCCGCTCCAGATTTCAGTGCCTGGGCCCTGGTGCGGGTGTCCTGGCATTTCCCCTCAATGCGACCCAGCTCAGGGGACAGGGGTCACTCCTCCATTCGGGGTAAGCCTGGGGCAGCGGACGCCAATCCCACGAACCCTGCCCGGGCTGGGGGCCTGGGACGCTTTCCCTGGACTCCAGGATCCGTTTGTACGGAGTCACAGAACACAGCGTTATCGCTCGTCCGAGCCCAGGTACCCTCCTTCCTTCCCGGGGCCTGCGTCGCCTGCACGTCTCTCCGCAGATCCTCGCGGAAACGTGCACAGTAGGGCTCTGAACAGAACCCAGGCTGCTCTGAGCCGAACCCTCTCCGGCCCGGGGCTGACCGTGTCCATCCAAGCCGCCGTCCCGCTCCCCGCACCCCCGACGCGGGGCCACCTCCTCCCACCTCCCTCCCCACTCAGGCGCTTCTCCCGACAGCGGAGGGAGAGTCAAAAACCCACAACCCGGCGGCGGGATCCTGCCGGCTCTAGCTGGGCGACCTGGGCGCACCCGCCGGCGACGCAGTCTCGGGTCTCAGCGCATAGAACCCGGCCGCCCGCAGCCCCTCCCGCCAGCCACGCCCCCTGGGCCTTCCATTGGCCAAGCCGCCCGCGCCTCCGCGTGATTCCATTGGCCTGCGCCGGGGGCTCAGACAAAGGGAGCAGCCGCGGAGGGCGGTGATTGGGCGGGGTTGGGGGCGGGTCGGGCGGGCGCGCGGGTCGGGCGGGAGCCGCGCGCTGGAGAGGCGGGGAGCACGGCGCTGGGGGAGGGGCGCGGTGTTTCGGGCCCGGGACCGGGAGGCGCGGGTGTGCGGCGAGGCTCGGGTGCCTTCCCTCGTGGGGGCGGGGCGGCGGGGGCGGGGCGGTTCCACGTGGGTGGGGCTGGGCGCCCCGGAGGGCGGCGGCCGCGGGGCGCGGGGCGCTGGGATCCCGCCCGCTCCTCCGCCCTGCACCCCTCCCGCCCCGGGGCTCCTGCCCGGACGGCGGCCGCCGCCGCCTCGTCTTCCCCGAGGGCTCCGCGTCCGTCTCCGCAGCTCGGCCGGGAACCTGGGAACTCGGACGCAGAAGGACGCGCCCGAGCCAGGACCCGCCGCGGGGTCCCTCTGGTGGGCCGTGGCCGGGGAGAGGACGCGGGCCCTGGCGGTCGAAGACGGACGCAGCGCCCGGAAAGGCGAGCCAGGTCTCCGGCTCCTGGCGCTTCCTGTGAGCTGGCTCGGCGGGGTGCGTCGCCGGGGAGGGAGGGACTGGCCGTGGGGCGAGCAGCCGGGCGGGGAGTGGCTTCTGGGGGCCTTCGCCAGCGGAGGGCCCGCGAGGCCGCCCTCGGAGCGCCGCCAGGTACGTGCGTTTTCCTTGTTTCCCGCGCTCCCAGAGCGCACTCTCGGTAGGGAACGAATAAAATCCCGGCTGGTGTGTAAGAGCCTTTCGCTGCAAACGTGTCTTTCTGCGGGATTCGGGGAGCCGCCGAACGCGGGGTAGACCCCGGCCCAAAGTGTTCCTGCAGCTTCCACCAGGGACCCTTCTCCACCCTCACCTTGGGCTCGGAGCGGGTGCCAGTTTGGAAATGCTTGTCTCTTCTGCAGCTCCGATTGAATTCGCCCAGGAGGAGGTGCGCCCTGCCTCGGCCTCAGAGCTGGGAGGACCGGGCTTTGTTCCCCGAAGCTCTCCCACCCCGTCCTCCTGGAAAATGCGGATTTTTTCTAGTAGGGATGCTCAGTTTTGAGGGGGTTGTTTTCGGAGGAAGCTTGGGTTGGGAAAGCCCGATATTGGCCCCAATCTGGCGGGCAGCTTCCCTTGTCTTGGAGCAGCCCCTCCTAGCCCCCGGAGCCCCGGACTTACACGGTTAGGAGACGCCCATGGGCTTTGGGGGTATTCTGCGGGGTCCGAGGAGGCCGGGTGGCCTGGGCGGGGTCCGAGGAGGCCGGGTGGCCTGAGCGGGGTCCGAGGAGGCCGGGTGGCCTGAGCGGGGTCCGAGGAGGCCGGGTGGCCTGAGCGGGCTCCTTCCCCTCCCCCATGTGCACGTCAAACAAAAGAATCTTCGAACAGTTTTGGGGACAGAACTCTTCGGAATGTGAGCCTGTCCTCCCCGCCCCCCTTCCTAGGAAGGACAGGGGTCTTTCAACAAAGGCAAGGCTGCGGTTGGAGCGGGCTGAAGGGAAGGAGCGCTGTTATTTTGGGGTACTTGATGAAAGAGAAACTCACTTTCTCTTTCTCCTCCCAAAATTAGAGGCAGCTGAGTCAGAGCTCTCCCTACTTTCTTACCTGATTAATGGGGTTTCACACGATGTTTGCATTTGGGGTGACTGGGTTTGAAGACTTTCAGAAGTGGGAAAGGATCCTGCTTGTGTGGGAGATTGGAAAGCTGGCCTCCACCCGGTGGGGGATAGAACCCCTATGGAGTGAAATGGATTCCAGGCCATTTTGCGGAAGATTGGAAATTTAAGGATTTGACGGGGGGGCGGTGATTTTGTGTCCTTTTCTCTCCCCCCTCCCCCCTCCCCAGTTTAGAACAAAGGGCGGAGGCGAAGGAGGCAAGATGGGTGGTGGGCTCGGAAGCCGGAGTCGAAAGAAGAATGTTATAAAAGTCCCTCACTTCCCAGTCCCCGCGCACTCCCAAATAGCTCATCAGAGTTTGGGTGGGGACAAAGTGAATGACCGCCTAGAGTCGGGTTTGGTACCCATGGCCCGGTTTTCGGCGCGGGCGTCCGGAGCCCGGGGGAAGCTCCTCCAGCTCGTCCCAAGTCGCGGTTGGCCAGGGCGAGAGAGGTCGGGGCACAGCGCGCGGTTTCTCCTGCCGCCTTCGAGGACCGAGACTCGGGGTTCGCGGCTCCCTGACTGCGCAAGTCTCCTCGCCCCTCCTGCTCCCCCCTCCCCCCCGCCGAAAGACGCTCGGAGCGCACACCCGCCTGCACCAAAGCCAGGGATCTCATTTCTCTCAAAATAAAACAACAAGCCATAAAGGCTCCTGATTCCAGTGGAAAAGGCGCCGCAGATTTATGGTCCCTCCAAATCCCCACACTCTAATTATCCCTGTTTTTAGTTTACTTATGGGTGGTGACCAATAAAATGATTTTCCATTTTGAATTTTTTTTTCAACATAAAAAATGCAAGCTTCGCTTCCCTCTTACCCGCTTGGATGGATCTTTTCCGTGCGGGAAGCAAAGAAATCCCGTTTCCCTCGGCCTTATCGGCCCAGGGCTGAGCTGCTGCCTCCGGTTGAGCGAACCCGGCCTGCCGCAGCACCCCCCAAGCACCCCCGCCCCGCACACCCTTAATTGCAATTTAAGGGAGAATATTCTTTCCGTCCTCTCTTCGCCCAAGGGCATTTGCAGGGACCCCTCCCTAGAAGTCCTGTCGTGGGCCTAGCGGCTAGAAGGGCCACCCCGCAGAGCGGGTCTCCGACAGCCCCAGCCCGGTCACCTTTCAAACTGCGCCCTCCTGGGCCCCGCATTGGGCGCGAGCCTGGGGCGCCCAAGGGCCCCCACTGAGGAGGAAGGTTGCCGGACCGAGCCCTCGCCACCGCTTGGCGCCCCCATCCCCCATCCTCCTCCCTTTGTTCGCCTTTCCGGACGCCGACTTGGAGATGGCAGGAAAAAAAAAATAATCAGATGGAAATCAAAGATTAGCCTGGGTGCGCGGGCGGCCTCCGCCGGGCCGGGCCATGCTCGGCCCGCGCCTCATAAATCTTCCTCGCGACGTGACAACAGCCGCGGCCTCGTTTCCCTGGGAACTCAGGAACGCATCGATCCTCCTCGCCGTCCGCGCAAGTCCCCTCTTCGGGAGCGAGAACGGAGAGTCCCTGGTGACCCTGACTTCTGGCCAGCGCAGGACGCCCCAGGCCCCAGCCAGGGTATCATGCACAGGAGTGGAGGAAGGTGGAAGGGAAGGGGCCCAACCCTCACCCAAGAAAGCGCAGCAAATACCCACACCCCGCAGGTTAAACCAAACACATTATTAGGGGCCGCATCTTCTCTCCTCCGCGCCGCCTGAGAAGGGGGCGGAAGGAAGGACGGAGAAGGGTGAGGGGCGGATTAACCCCTCCCTGGCGACTCCTTTGTCTGGCCCGGACATTGCTGAGCCGAGTGGGGCGCCCAGGAGCCAGCGAGGGGCTCCCGAGGCGGCCCCGGCTCGGCCCAGGTGTGCGGGCCGCGGTGGGGCGCAGGTTCGCAGCGGAGCCACGAGATCCCCGCGCCTCCGGCTGACGTCCGGGCGCCCAGGGTCTGCGGCCCCACGTGCGATCCATCCGGGAGCTGCGCCTCAGACGCCTCGTGGAGCGGGGGAGAACCTGAAGGAAGTCGTGGCGCGTTTAGATATTTTAAAAACTCGAATTAATTGGGAAAATAGGAAGGGCGCTTCCAAACGCGGAGAAGACATCCCGGGGTGGGGAAGGATGTCTTTTAAAAATTATATCCCCTTGTTGTGGCGGTTGTTTTTGACCTTTCCTACTATTAAAAGAAATGTTGCCACGTTTAATTTTTGTTGCCATGAGATATGGAGGGGGTAGCCCAGCATTTTGAAGTAATTTGATAAGCCTTCAAGTAGTAAATCCGAAAGGGAGGCCGGCGGCCCAGGTATAGTTTCTTTGTAACCTGAATTTACAATGAAAGCATTCTCCTTTATGGATATAATAGATTAGATTTCACAACTTAATTCACCGGAATGGCTCCGTTTAAGGGAGCTCCGGCTGATTTTATTACGCCAAGCCAAATTGGATGTTTGTGGTCTTAACGAAAAGCGATCGTGACATAAAATATATAATTTTTAAAGTAAAAAACCAGCGGGTTGGATCCTGTCCCCTCCCCTATCCTTGCTCCTTACTCCCAATCCCCCAGTGTGGGAAATACGGATAATTATTTGTGTGTGTTGGTTTCTACCGGGGAGACAGGCGCTCTGGGCTCCTTCCCCGGCGGGCCAGAGGCCTCGCCGGCCAGTGCGCACGCGGCGCCGGTTCCCGACCAAGGCTCCGGCCCGCTCTGCTGGCTCGTTTGAAACGTCGACATTCTCAGCGCACGATCCGGGGTCTCGGGGGCACCCATGGGGCCCGAAGCCTCTGCCTGCCGGCGGCGACCGGACAGCTCCCCCGGGCGCGCAGGGTAGAGGAAGCGCCCTCGAAAGCCCCCGCACGCATTCACGAGCCGGCCCTGCGCGGGCACAGCGGCAGCCGCGGCGGGACACCCGGCAGGGTCTTCGGCGCTACTTTGTGCCAAAAACTGCGCTCCCGGAGACCCGGGCACCGCCGGCGTCGGCAGCTAGAGCGGGACCCAGCTCCCACCGCGTCCTCCACTGGAGCCCCTTTCGGCCCCTCGGCGAGTGCGGCCCGTGGGGAGTGGGCGTCGGCGCGAGGAAGTTCCCCGGCCCGGGCGACCCCGGCTTCTGAGCGGCCCCTCCCCACGTCGCCGCCCGCCAGGCCGACGGAGGACCGGGGCGGGGACGGGGGTCTCAGCGGCCCATTCTGCTGTCACTTCTGACCTATTCTCCAGCAACGGCGCGTCCCCCCCTCGGCTTTTTCGCGAGGTTTGTTGAAGACGGATTTAGCCCCCGCAGAGCTGGGGAAGGACGGATGGACGGAAGGCCCAGCGCGGCCCACCCCTTCCCCTCGTCGTCTCCCGGCTGGCAGGAGCCGCAGCGACAGCTTCGGGGAGCGGGGCCTGCCCCAAGACCCCCTTCGCGGCATCGGGAGCCAGGCGTGGCCGGAGGCACCGCGGCTGCTCCACGTGGCTCCCGCCGGCCGCCACCCCGCGCGGGGAGGACGCGTGCGTGCGGTGCGTGGCCGGCGGGCTGCGGGGACGCGCTTGAAATTAAATCTTCGCAGTGCCTGACCTTGTTTTTTCCTCGGCCCTGATAACTGCAGCAGCTGTTTTTTCCAGAATCCCTGCTGCTGGGGGAGGGGCGTTATTATTATTTTTGGTTGTCACAACCTCCTGGAAAAATTCCCTGGCCTCAGAAAGTGTAACAATGGCCTGGCGGATTTCTGGAGGAAGCGCCCCCTCCTCTGCTTTCTGCGGGGACACTTCTGCCCTCGAGCTGCAGTGGGGACCTCCTCCCCTGCTCTGGCCCTATAGCCCCCTCCCCGGCCTTCAGAGCCTTACATCAGGCTCCTAAGTACGTGGCCTTGGGGTCCTGCGGGCCCCTTCTGCTTGCCGTCCCTGCCCCTGGTCACGCCTGGGAAAGGTTGCAGCTCTGAACTGGGGAGAAGCTTATAGTCTCCAGCACGAATGAGGCTTGAGGGGCACGAGGCAGAGGCCTGGACACCCCACCCACCTGGAGCCAGTGACCCTCACCCAGTGCCTCCTTTAAGACACCACTGCAGGCTGGGTACGGTGGCTCACGCCTGTAATCCCAGCACTTTGGGAGGCAGGCGGATCACTAGGTCGGGAGTTTGCGACCAGCCTGGACAATATGGTGAAACCCCATCTCTACTAAAAATATAAAAATTAAGGGCCGGGCGCGGTGGCTCACGCCTGTAATCCCAGCACTTTGGGAAGCCGAGGCGGGCGGATCACGAGGTCAGGAGATGGAGACCATCCTGGCTAACACGGTAAAACCCCGTCTCTACTAAAAATACAAAAAATTAGCCGGGAGTGGTGGCGGGCGCCTGCAGTCCCAGCTGCTGGGGAGGCTGAGGCAAGAGAATGACTTGAACCGGGGAGGCGGAGGTTGCAGTGAGCCGAGATCACACTACTGCACTCAAGCCTGGGCGACAAAGTGAGACTCCATCTGAAAAAAAAAAAAAAAGACACCACTGCCCAGCCGTACTTGGAAGACATGTCTCCTCCCCAGGAATCCTGCTGTGTTTGCTTTTGGGGTCAGTGCTAGTCCAGAAGCAGTTAAAGATTAACCGGCCTGGGCCCTGGGGTAGAAGAGGAGGCTGAGGAGGGGGAGGGGAGGGGAAGGGGCTGCAGCACAAGTGGTGCCTGATTCCTGGGCCATTCCCTGGCAGCCAAGTGGCTGCTGGGCTCTGCACACAGCCCATCCCCCCCAGTGCTGCTGCCCGCGTTCCAGCTTGCCCCCACCTGCCAGGCTGTGCAGTGGGTTCAGGTGGGAAGCAGTTGCTGGGCCCACCTGTCTGGCAAGGGCAGTTGGGGAGCCCTGGCTGCTTAGCACAGGGGTGACCCCAGCTTCTGGCTCACACATCCCTGCAGACTGTGGGTGCTTAGTGTGGAAAGAGGAAGGACCTCTGCCCTCCTGGCCCTTCCTCCAGTGGGACGAGAAGCCCAGGAAAGAGGCTGAACCCAGGAAGGGCTCTGGGCAGCCTGGCCGCTGGTCTCGCAGTGTGTGGCTGGTCTTGGCCTCCTGTTCTGCTTCCCTGTCACGGGGGTCCAGGGTGTGTGTGTGTGTGTGTGTGTGTGTGCACCATACAGCCAATCCTGCGCCTGCATCTCCTTCTCCTGCATGGGCCCTCCTTGATCAGGAAGGGGAGGCAGGAGGATCTCAGCCCCCACCTCATTCTACCCCAGTGGGAGTGGCCTCTTCATGTCCAGTTGGTCCCAGGATCCCCTAACCCATCATCATCCTGGGAGGAAGGCAGTGGCTCCTCCCAGCAGAGAGCTCCAGGACCCGCCCTGCCCTGTGGGCGGCAGGGCCCTCCTCCTAAGCCCCTCTTCCTGCCCATAAATGTATTTACACTTGTATTACCCCAGGTACGTGGCTGTGACAATGGCATCCCCAGCCTGCATGGAGGACAGGAATTGAACTTTAGTCTCCAGGCAATGAAGGTGCAGGGACTACACTTTATTAATGGTTGTTATGTAATAAAAAACGATAAAATGGCCCCTATTTGTAATTTTTAAATGCAATTTGTTTTAATTTATGTTTCTGAGTACTTCTGGGGCTTGATGGGGGCTGTTGGGACATTGCTGGAGGGGCTGGGCCACAGCGCCTCCATTAGGAGGCACCGGAGATGAGATAAGCCTGGGGTGGCGGGAAGTGCCGGGGACATGGAGGGCACAGCCATGGCCTTACTCTGGCAGGAGACGAATGTTCTGGCTGCCTTTTAAAAAGCCATGGCCTTGCCCTTCTGTCTCTGGCCACTACAGAGTGGGCCTGGGGAGACATTCCTGAACCAGACATCCGGAAGCCTGCTGGGCAGGACCATTTCCCAGGGATGCTGCGACCTTGGGTACGGTGGCTCCCCTCACTCCCCACACCCCCACAGGCATCTGGGCAGGTCCCTTGGGTCCAAAAGCAGCTGGCCCAGTGCCTCTGGCCCCCTCATCAGGAGCCCTGCCTTCGATCTGGCCACAGAGGAAGCAGCCTCGTTGAGTGGGGATTGGTTATTTCTTCTAGCCTTGGGAGGGTCCAGTGTCCCTTCTGGCGCTATCTGCCCAGCCAGGGCCCCGTAGTCAGTGCCAAGGCCTGAGGGCCCAGAAGCCTCTCCAGGTGGGTCTCCTTGGCTTCCTTCTGCACCTGGCATCTGCCTCCCTGAGGCTGCACACCCACTGTGCAGAGGCTGCTTGGCTGGGAAGGGGCGCCATCCTGCTGCCCCCTCCCCAACCCACACACAGACCTCAGAGCAAGGCAGGAGCCGAGATTGTGACAGCAACATTTCACCGCCAGTGACTGAGCCAAAGCAAACCGCATCAGATGCATGGTCAGAGAGGGGGAAGAGAGGGGGAAGGCCTTCTGGGGGAGTGTGGAGCCCAGCATCGGGGGTGGGGGGGGCCTGGCTTTGCACAAAAGAAGGGGCCGGGCCTGGTGGCTCATGCCTGTAATCCCAGCACTTTGGGAGGCCAAGGATCGAGGATCACTTGAGTTCCAGAGTTTGAGACCAGCCTGGGCAACATAGGGAGACCCTCATCTCTACAAAAAATAAAATAAAATTAGCTGGGCTTGGTGGCACATGCCTGTGGTCTCAGCTACTCAGGAGGCTGAGGCAGGAGGATTGCTTGAGCCCAGGAAGTTGAGGCTGCAGTGAGCCGTGATCATGCCACTGCACTCCAGCCTGGGAGACAGAGCAAGAACTTGTCGCAAAAATAAAAACAAAAAAACAAAACAAACAAACAAACAGAAGAAAGTGAGAAGGACCAGAGCTGGGGACTGTTGGATGGGAAGATGCCCAGCCGCGGTGGTCCCAGGCTCTGCCCGCTGCCCTCAGCCCCTTTTATTTCAGACCCATCAATAGCCTGTGTGTTCCGCGTGCAGATGTGGACACTGTCAGAGCCAGGGCCCCCAGGCGCCCCTGCATCCCCCGCCCAGACCTCCCGAGTTTCAACCAGATGCGGTGCAGCCCTGCGTGGGGCCACCCTTGGTATGGTGGGCGGGGCCGCTGCAGGGTACCTCCTCGTTCCACTTCAGGCCACTCCCAGCCAGTGGCCCCGGCTCTGTCCGAGGCCACCCCACCCCCACTCCTGAGGATGGAGTCTGCACCTGCTGCCCCTCCCACCAAGGACCGTCCCAGTGCCTCTCCCTCCCTTTGCCTTTTATTTTGGGAGCCTCAGCTTGCCAAGTTAATTGGCAAACTTTCCCAGAAGTAAACTTGAGGGATAGAAATTAATAATTTTCCCGGAGTTGCGCTCATTGCTAATCAGGCCAGCTGGGAGGAGGGGGCCTGGGTGCATCAGAGGACCCCTGCAAAGCCATTAGCATGAACAAGATCTAAGGGTGAGGGGTCCCCCTTGCAATTCAGCAGCTCTGCAGCCCCAGTGCCCAGGTGCAGGAGCACGGGGGGCACAGGGTGAAGGCAAGGGCACCTTGGAAGGATTCCAGCCATTCTCACACCCACACCCGGGCCTAGGCAAGCAGTTCCCCTCTTGCCGTGTGGCCTGGGCTGGATGGGGTCCCCAGGGTCTCTCACTGACCCTGGAAAGGCCCACTTGAGTGAGACAGGGAAGGGTGTGAGCCCTGACTGAAGCTCAGGCCGGGCGGGGGATGCGCCCTTGGGGAAGGAGCCTGAAAGGAGAGCCAGGAGTCCAGAGCAGGGCCCAGCTGGGACCCAGGCAACCCGCCCCGACTTTGGAGCCCTCCTTTTGGAGACAAGTGCCAGCCCACCAAAGGGTGCACAGTGTTGGGGACCCTGTCCCCAGGACTCCCTTGTCCTATAAGGAAGTGTAGCCCCAAATCCCCTACATTCCAGAACTCTGGCCTTCTTGGGCCTTGTGTCAGGCTGGTGGGAAATGGGTGGAGCTTAGAGGCCTCTGCTCAGGTCTCTGCACCCCCAGAGCCATGGCTGGGCCCCTGGCAGAACCTCGCCACCGTCCATTGCTTTGTCAGCTCCTTGGCTGGGCCTTCAGAGCCTGTGGAAAAAAGCATCAGTATGTGGTCCTCAGAGGACCTCGGTGAAAATGCAGATGCCAGGGCCCAGCCCTGGAGAGTAGAGTCGACGTGTCCACCAGGACCCCATGTGATCTAACCCAGGCAGTCCAATGACCGTGCCAGGAGGCCTGGGCTGGGCTACAGGGTCAGCTCTGGAGGGTGGGTCTCTTCTCTCATGAAGCGTTTATTGAATGGAAGGACAGATGGGTGGATGGATAGGATGGATGGGGTGTGGATGGGTGGATAGGTGGATGGGTGGATGGGTGGATGGTTGGATGGGTGGATGGGTGGGTGGGGGGTGGATAGATGGGTGGGTTGGGGAGTGGATAGATGGGTGGGTTGGGGGGTGGATAGATGGGTGGGTGGGTGGGTGGATAGATAGATGGGTGGGTGGATGGATGAATAACTAGTGAATGGTGGGGGTTTCCTAGGTGCAGAGATAATGTCCTTAGCCCATTCTAGGCCCCACTGTTGTCAGCAAAGTTGACTCCACTAACTCCACAAGGAAATTTCCCCTGGAGAGCCAGAGATCAGAGCCAAACCCTGAAGGTGGACAGACAGGGGTGGAGGAGGGGGAGGGGACTTCCTGCTGCTTCTCATGGGTGGGGGCATGTGGGTGGCCCTGGGTGCAGCCTGGCCCGGCCCCGGCCCCCCAGCATTCCTCTACTTGTGAAATGTGACTGCGTGAGTCTGGAAGAGCTGGGCATGCTCAAGGAGGGCGGGGGTGAAGCTCACATTAGGGGAAAGAGCAGGGCAGGGCCACAGATGCGCTCCCAGCTCACTGCCACAGCTGGGCGGGGCTTCTCTGCCCAAAGGCCAGGTGAGAGGCTGCCCTTTGCTGCCGGCAGCTTACCTGTGACCACCTCGTGCCCTCGGCCATGCCTACCCATCTGCCCACTCTGAGCAGGGCTGACCCTTCCCAGAGCCTGGTGGGCTTATGCTGGCCAAGAGCGCCAGCCCCAGGCACCTCATGGAGACTGCCAACCACCTTGTCCCTTGGCCACAGGGACATGGGGTAGGAAGGGAGAGGAGAAGGAAGAGAAAGTTGGCACAGGCCAGCACCTGTACTTGGTCTGTTTATAGCATTAGCACTTGGCGTCCCCATGACTGCCCTGCCATGGAAATCACATTAAAGATGAGGCACAGAGAGGGTCAGTAATTTACCCAAGGCCACACAGCAGGATTGGAGCTAGGTTTGTCTGACTAAGAAGCCTACCCTTATCTAAGACACAATGTTTTGCAGATTAATGAAAATCATCATCCCGCAGGGCACATGGCAGATCCCTGCTCCTGCCCAGCATAGTGCCCATGGCCTTCAGCCAGGTAGCTGACCTGGCTTCCCAGACGAGGCAGACTGGGGAGAACAGCTTCTCAGGGCCAAGGGCTCACACTGCATCCCACAGCTCTGGAGCCCGCATCAGGCCAGGGCAGCGGGGCCACTGCCTCTAGGACATTGCTGGGAAGAGTGAGTTCTGACCCCTTCCACGTTCTGCAGAGCCTCGCTGGGGCCTGGTTAGATCCACCTGATGTGCTAGTCCAGTGCTGACTTTGTAGCATTAGCTCAGGAACTCAGGGCTCCCATCCCCTCTGCTCTCACGTGCCTCCCCGCTCGAGCACTGGAGACCTCGGTACACCAGATGTGGTCCCCATTGCTGCAGATAATGTCCCCAGTCTCAGGAAAGCTTTGGCGGTTTCTGTGGACTTACGGGCATTTTGCAGAGACAGCTATTCCAGCAGGGGTCCTGTGGGATGTGGAGTGAGGGCGTGGATGGCAGAGGGGGGCTGCTGTCTCCCGAGCGGGGTGGCCTCCCTGTCCGCACCCTACCCTTGGGGTTCAGCAAGTCCTGCTGAGCCTGCCGCTGGCACTGCTTCTCCAGCTCCAGGTCTCTCGTGTCACACTGGGCTCCTGCTCCACCCTGTCCCCAGCCTCCCTGACCCCTGGCTGGCTCCCTCCTTGTTCTCGTCCATCCTAGGTCCACAGCCAGCTGGAGAACTGAGACAAGCCGTGAGCAGTTCCCAAACTCCTGGGGAAGGTCAGCGGTCCCCTCCTCCCGGGCCTTACCTGCTCTGTCCCAGGCTGGGGGTGGCTATTCCCAGGCCACAGCCCTGGGGGGATCAGAAGGGCGGTGCTGGCCTTGCAGGGTGACCTGGGAGCCAGGGTGGACAGCAGGAGGCCCACAGCTCCTCCCCTTCCCCTGGGCGGGTCCTAACAGGTGCCAGAGCCGGCCCACTGGGGGCCCTAAGCTCTGCAGAGTTGGCCGTGGACCCAATCCTGGGGCTTGGGAATCTGCTCTTCATTGATGCTTTCACCGAAGTGGAATTCATTCCTACACTTTTTATTGATCTGAGTGAAGGGGCCAGGCTGGAGTGGCTGCTGGGCTGGAGAGGCAGGGGCTATGGCCCAGGTCCCCACCCTGCTCAGACCCTGGAGGCTGACCCTGTGCCTGTGCCTAATGGTGGCTTCTGGGCACTGGGGCCCGAGGGAAGCCTGAGGGCAGGGGGGAGGGAGGAGGGCGTGCACGTTCACCTCGGGCCCCCATGCTCAAGGCCCCTCTCACCAGTTCCAGCAGCACCTTCTCTCCTCACCCCCTGCCTGAGGAGGTGACGGCCCCCTGCTGTTGCCACGTGCTGGGGCACCTCCTCGGGTCCTGACAGCTCCAAACCACGGACTGCCTGATGGCCAGAGCCCGCTGCGAAGTGGCGATCCCGCACCCATGCGGAGGCTCCAAGACAAGATGAGAGGGCCCTGCCAGAGGAAGGGTTCCCTCTCCTCCACCCACCCCGATAGGAGTCCACCCTGGGATTCGGTGATGCCTCACCCTCTGTCTCCCAGCACCCCTGGCTGCCGGGGGGGATTGAGGGCCGGTCCCACCTTCCTCCTGTACCCAACTGGACCACAGGGCCGCCCCATGCCCCAAGGGGCCTCGGCTGGGACGCTTGCCATCTCCGTGAGCCTTTTCTCAGGAGAAGGGGGGCTGGTTCCCGTCCGGATGCCTCCCTGGCCTGCCTCTGCACCTGGCCCACCTCTGCACCTGGCCCTCCTGCCTGACTCTCGGACACTCCCCTTGGTTTGAGGGTCAGGCAGTGGCCAGACGCCCAGGGAGAGTTCTCCATCTCGAGCTGTGCTCTCTCTGCACTGCCCCCCTCGCTTCTAGCCATCAGGGGTCCCCTCTGCTCTCCGCCAGCCACCTCCTGCCTGCTTAGGGGAGAAACAAGAGGAAGGTGCCCCCGTAGGAGCCCCAAGACCACCAAAGGGACAGATCTGAGAGGCCACTCCCCAGGCCTGCTGTCCAGCTCTGGGGTGGGAGATGGCACCAGAGGAGAGGCCATCAGAGGCCCCCGAGTGGCAGGACAACGGCTGCGGGACTGCCTCTCCCAGGCTTGCCTTCCCTCGGGTGGCTCAGCAGCCCCTGAGTGATGCTCCTGCCTGGGACGCTTGACCTGCACTGAGCACAGGGGAGTCGGATCCGGAGGCATTCTCGGAATCACCTCTCCGGATGCTCAGAAAAGGGCAATGTTTTTAAAAAGGCAAAAGGGTGCGGTGCGTGTTATAGATGAGAGGAGGCTAACGGGAGACCCTGGATAGGATCCTGAACGAGGCTTGGGGTGGGACTGCTCTGGCGGGCCGTGGAGCTGACTGGGAAGTTTACACACAGCAGGCGGGGCCACGGGGCCGTGCATCGTTCTGTGTGGCACTGCGTTTCCCCAGGCGTGCTGCTGGAGGCAGGCAGGTGTTCTTAGACATTTGATGCTACAGTATTTAGGGTGAAGTGTCAAGGTGTCTGCAACTGACACTCAAAAGATTCAGCAGTTTTACATAAAGGGGGAGCAAGAAGTAAGAGAGGAAGCCAAGGTGACACAATATTTTTTAAAAGGGCTTCTGGGTACAAATCAGTGTACGTACAGAAATACATTTTATTTGTGCAGATGTGCAGAGACACTTTCGGCTGGCATGGTGGTTCATGCCTGTAATTCTAGCACTTTGGGAAGCCAGGGCAGGAGGATTGCTTGAGCCCAGGCTGGACAACATAGTGAGACCCCATCTCTGCAAAAAACACAAAAATTAGCCAGGCGTGGTGGTGTGTGCCTGTAGACCCAGCTACTTGGGAAGCCGAGGATCGCTTGAGTCCAGGAGGTCGAAGCTGCAGTGAGCCTTATTCTCACCACTGCCCTGCAGCCTGGGCAACAGAGCAAGACTCTCTCAAATCAATCAATCAATAAATTTGACTGCAGGTGCCAGAAGTGGACTCTGACTAACTGAAGCCGGGAGCAGGTATTTGGTTGGAGCTTGCAGCAGGGAGGGCAGGGGGAAGGCGCTGTTCAGGCCCCAACAGCAGCGGCTCGGGAGTGGCCCCAGCACAAGCCCAGTGTCCCTCGGCTCAGCATTCAAATTCCAGGAAAAGAGTCCCGATGGTCCGGCTTGGTCTAGGGCTGTGGCCCGTGGCAGGTCCCCAAAACCACACCTGCCGCTCCAGTGCCCCCCAAGGCTGCATGACCTTCGTGTGGACAGGATCATGGAACACATGACCTCACCCAAGCCTCCCAACCATGCCGTGATCCAGCACTGTTAGAATCATCCCCGTTTCACAGAGCAGAGTTGAAGTGTTGGGTGTTTAAACGCTGTGCCCAGGGCTGTCCAGCCAGGGAGTGGAATCTGGTCCTGGCCCAGAAGGCAGCAGCCCCACCCAGGCCACCTGCTCCAGGTCCCCGGGCTCCACAGACTTTCACATCTACTGCAGAGGCGCAAGGACGTTCCCCAGCATCAAAGCCCTCAGACCCTGGTGCCAGCCACGTCGTCACAGAACTTGTAGACCAGAGGATGCCCTGCGGATAGAGGGCCTGCCCTGGGCCTGCGCCAGGCTGGGCATATTGCTGAGGTCCCTGCTCTGTGCTGGCAAAATCCAGACCTCAGGAGAGGGGCAGGCAGGCTCTGAGAGGTTGCGGCTGCCCAGGGCCTGCAGCTGGGAGGAGCGGAGACAGACCCCCCCTCCCCTGGGACACAGTTGCTCTGCACCACACAGCTCCGCTCCTGGCGTCCCCTGGCTTTGCCGGGGGCGGCCGACCCAGCTGGCCAGGCCCCCTCCCCCTGCCCCACAGGTGGCCCTGAGCTGCTGAGGATAAGGCATGCTGGGCGATCTCTGCTGATTAGAGTCGCCCTCCGCTGTGGGCTAGGGGCCCCTATTTTGCTCCTGAGATCCCAGTCGGCCCATAGAAGCCCTCACAGGCTCTCCCGGGGGTCCAAGGAGTCCCAGGAGGCCCCCGTTCACCCCGGGTTTGCCTTCTCCCTCCTGTAATTTGCTTTTCATATGCGTGAAGGGGAACTCAGCAGGAGCAGAAGATGATGTGGCCTCGTGGGAGCGTGGGAGAGCTGGGACGGGGTGGTGGGGAGGAGCGGGGACCCAGGGACAGGGGCTCTGGGTCCAACCACCAGGCCTTTTGCACTTCGTGCTCTCTGTAGCCTCAGCTTCCCCCGAGGGTCAGGAACTCCAGGCAGGGGCATGGGGCAGCTCAGAAACCTTCCTGAGCCCCTTCCCCTGGCAAGAGGCAAACCAAGCAGGTGAGGGCTGGGCCCTGTTCTCAGAGCTGGCATCCCAGCCCTGGCCAGATCCAGGCTGAGGGCGGCCCAGCCCCCTGTTCTGCCTGGTGCAGAGGACACGGCTTCCCTGGCCGGAGCCCCCGCCCCCTCCTCTCCTTTCTTGGCGTCTGCCCCTGGGCGTGCCCTACCATTAAGCCCTTGTTGGTTCCACAAGCTGGGGGCACCCCTTCCTCCCTTCCTCCGGGCAGCCATTGGCAATGGCTGGCGGCTCGGGACAGGGCCCGTATTCTCTGAAAATGATGGCTGGGCTGGAACCCGGGATCGATTCTCAGACCTGCGTCATGTGGAGTCCCGGATGCTTGTTACGAATTCGGACCCTGGCCTGTGCCTGCTCCCTGGTACCTCTGAACAGGGCTTTCTGCCCTGGGGGTGTGAAGAGGGCCAAGTCCACTCCCCGACTGGGGTCACGCCTGCCTCCTGTCAGGACTGTGAACACTGCGTCCCCATCAGCTCAAAGAATACGCATGGGGACAAGCCTGGGGGGCCGTCTGAGAGTCCCCCAACCCTGGATCCCCACGGCAGCCCCCACTGTTGGGTTTTTCAGTGGCTGGTGTGCCCTGGGCTGGTCACCTCTGCATTTTGCTCTGCTGGGAGTTTGCTCCTGGCCCTCCAACAGCGCCTCCTCTGTGAGGAGGAACTCCTGTTCCCGTGGCTCTGCTGGCTCTGGAGGCTGGAGTTCCCGTGCTGGGCCCTCCTGGGCGGGTTCTCTCTTGCTGCCGCCAGTACCCTGCCCCTCTCGTCCTCCTGGGTAGCCTGGGAGGAATGGCAGAAGAAAGCAGTGAAGCCAGGTAGCAGTAGCCCGGCCACCCCACCAGGCTCTGCTGTAGGCTGGGCTCTCAAGGCAGCTGCTCCAGGAGGGGCCCCCTAGGAAGGGACTGCCACACTCCTGGGAGCGTTCCTGGCCCCCTCCAGTGCAAATGACCCTGGGCCCCAAGGCTCCGAACACCCGCCCCTCTGCTCCAGGTAAGAGGGAGATGTGGGTGGTGCCTGGACTGTTGTGTGCTTAGGTGGGGGAGTGGAGCCTTCAGGTCTCAGGAACCCACAAATGCTTGTTGAGCTGATGAACCCTGCAGAGATGAGAAGCTTAGGCCCAGAGAGCTGATGCCACCTGCCTGGGGCCACAAAGTCCACTGGGCAGAGGAGGGTGGGAACCCCAGTCCTTGGCCCCACTGTCAAAGCGGGTGCTTCCCAGGGAGAGCAGAGCCTGGGGTCAGTGCGGAGGACACTGGATCCCCAGTTCCGGGCTGGGGAGAGGCAGCTGGTGTTTCAGTGCTGCAGAGAGGGCCAGGCCGGCCTCAGACACCCTCCCCGAGGCCTGTGTGGGGGTGGAGGGCGGCCACACCTGTCCCACTGCAGGCCCTGGGGTGGGGTTTCCTGTCTGTGCTGGAGCCCGGTCAGGTTTCTCACTTCGCCCGGGGCAGGGGTGCAGGGCAGATGGCCCAGCCAGTCATGAGTCACCAGCCCAGCCTGCCGGCCTGCCTGACAAACGGGAAAGACCCGGCGGGTAGGAGCTGGGCTGGGAGCATCCTAGCTGGGCCTGGGCCAGCCCCTTCCTGGGAGAGGAGGGAAGCTGCCTCAGGCCTCCGGGGAGAAGCTCCCACCTGGCCCGGACCCTCCTCCCTCCTCCCTCCTCTGGCGGGGTGAGTGGGCTGAGGGCCTGCTGGGCCCCTGCATGGTGGGAAAGTTTGGGGAGGGGAGGGGTTTCCAAGCCTCAGCCGTCCAGGCCTACGCATCCCAGATCTCGCTCGCTCCACAGCGCTGTGCCATGTCATGGGCTTCTTTTTTCCTGGTCCGAAGTGTTAGTATCTGCGAAATTGCAGGCTTGATGTGTTGGCTTTATTTTTCTAACACACACTAAAATAAATCATGCGTGTTTTACAGTGTGTTGGGGCCATCTGTGGGTCACGGACGGCCCTTCTGGCCTGGGGGCTGGCCAGCTCTTTCTGTAGGGTCCAAAGAGAGCTTGAGTCCCCAGCTGGGGTAACCCAGGCAGGGATTTTCCCGACATGTAGCCCCAGAGCAGGGAGGCTGTGGCTTTGAGGAGAGGCGGAGTCCTCAGCCCAGCCTTCCTCAGGCCTCCAGAAGCAGCCTCGCCAGGCAGCCTGGGTCTGCCACCCTGCAGACAGTGTGCAGGGCAAGGGAAAAAGGACAGGCCTCTCTCCAGCCCCACACCTGCCCACGCCTCTCCTGGAATTGCCCCCATCAGAGCCCCTTGGGGGCTCATTTTCAAGTCCCCTGCCCCTACTCCGGGGACCCGGGTAGCCCTGGGCTAGCCTCTCCTCCCTGGGCCCCGCCGTCCTCATACACACCTTGTCCTTAAGCTGCCTTGGCTCCCAGGGGTGCTCAGTGTGGCCATGGCCGACAGCCCTGGACTCTTACAAATCAAGGGGGAGACACGCGAGGCCCCGCCCCCACCCTGGGCCCGGAGCCAGGTGTCCCTCAGGAAAGGGCTGCTGCAGGTCTGCAGGAAAGTGCAGAGGGTGCCCTGCGGGAGAGACGCCCACACTGCTGCCCAGCACGGGCTGCTGAGAGCCTGCGAACTCAGGCTCTGGGGCACACAGAATGCCCCCACCCCCTGCCTGTCCACCTCTTGCCCAGTCCCTCTTGCGGGCACTGTGTCCTCCCTATGGGGCTGTGAGCCCTGCCCTTGCCAGCCCTGCTCCTGCCCTGGAGACCCTGGGGGTGATTCAGGGGAGAAGATGCATGGGGTGAAGGGCGAGGCTCCCGGGCGGGTGAGGGTGGGCTGGGATCAGCCCCACTGCGAAATGGACCCCGGGGCTGATGCACCTGTCTTCCCCAGGCAAGCCTGTGGCGAGTGGGGGCTGGCTCAGTTGAACCCTCACTGCATACCAGGGCTGGGCCTCAGCTGCCACCATGATCGCAACTAGCTCTGAGAGGTAGAGGCTGCTCCGTCCCCAGATAAAGATGAGGAAACTGAGGCGCAGAGTGAGGAGGCCTCCTGCTCAGATCCTGCAGCTGGGGAGGAGCAGAACTGAGGCCCTCCAGGCAGCCCCGGCTGCTTCGGTCTGCCTGCCAGGCTGTGTCCAGGCCATGTGGTCTTAGAGGCCACCCCTCTCACCTGAGCCGTTCTTGGGTGTTCCTCACCCAACAGCCCCCCTACCCCGGCCCAGGAATAGATACAAAAATCTTTCTTTTCCCTCAAAGGTTAAAATCTGGATTGAAAAAGCAAGTGGGGTTTGTTGGCCTCTCAAAAAGTGGAGCATAGGCCGGGTGCGGTGGCTCACGCCTGTAACGCCAGCACTTTGGGAGGTCAAGGTGGGCGGATCACCTGAGGTCAGAAGTTTGAGACCAGCCTGGCCAACATGGTGAAACCCCATCTCCACTAAAAAGACAAAAGTTAGCCAGGCGTGGTGGTGAACACCTGTAATCCCAGCTACTTGGGAGGCTGAGGCAGGAGAATCGCTTGAACCCGGGAGGTGGAGGTTGCAGGGAGCCAAGATCGCACCACTGCACTCCAGCCTGGGTGAGAGAGCAAGACTCTGTCTCAAGAAAAGAAGAAAAGAAAAAAGAAAAGAAAAGAAAAGAAAAAAAGCAGAGCACAGGATTCCCACGTGACTCAACGATGCCACTCCGGCTACAGACCCCAGAGAACTGAAGGCAGCAGCTGGTGCAGACGAGAGCGCCAGAGTCCACAGCAGCCCTGGTCACGGCCAGCAGGAGGTGGAAGCACCCAAGTGCCGTCGACCCATGAGTGGACAGACACACAAGTTGTGGTCTAGCCACGTGTGGAACAGGGTTCAGCCTGGAAAAGGAAGGAAATCTGACACCCGCTACTGCGTGGATGGACCTCAGGGACGTTATGCTAACTGAGGAATTCCAGACAGAAAGGGACGTGGTGTGTGCTTCCACTTCTGTGCAACTTCTAGAACAGGCCATTCACAAAGACAGACAGAAGATTTGGGGTCACCAGGGACTGGCGGGGGGGCGGAGGGTGGGAGGGATATTGCTTAATGAGTACAGAGTTTCTGTTTGGGATGATGAAATGTTCTGGAACTATTAATAGAGGTGACAGTTGCACAACATCGTGAATGGAGTTGATGCCATTGAATTACACACTTGAAGATGGGTCCGTTGGGGCCGGGCGAGGTGGCTCATGCCTATAATCCCAGCACTTTGGGAGGCTGAGGCAGGTGGATCACCTGAGGTCAGGAGTTCGAGACCAATTTCACCAACATGGTGAAACCCCGCCTCTACTAGAAATACAAAAAATTAGCTGGGGGTGGTGGCGCATGCCTGTAATCCCAGCTGCTTGGGAGGCTGAGGCAGGAGAATCGCTTGAACCTGGGAAGCAGAAGTTGTGGTGAGCCGAGATTGCACCATTGCACTCCAGCCTGGGTGACAGAGTGAGACTCTCCAAAAAAACAAAAAAACCACAACAGAAATTCGTTTTCTTGTGGCTCTAGAGGCCTGAAGCCTGAGGCTTGTATCTACTAAAAATACAAAAATTAGCTGGGTGTGGTGGTGCACGCCTGTAGTCCCAGCTACTCGGGAGGCTGAGGCAGGAGAATCGCTTGAACCCGGGAGGCAGAGGTTGCAATGAGCCGAGATCACACCACTGCACTCTAGCCTGGGTGACAGAGTGAGACTCTGTCTCAAAAAAAAAAAAAAAAGGAGGGGGGACCCTGTGCAAGGCCAGGAGGGGCCCACCTGCGTCATCTGGCAACCCATCCCTTCTGAGGGCCAGACCCGTTGGCAGCAGGGATAACAGGCAATGCCTCTGTACTTTGCCTTTTTTCTTTTTAAAAGACAGAGTCTTGCTCTGTTGCTCAAGCTGGAGTACAATGGCACAATCGTGGCTCACTGTAGCCTCAAACTGCCAGGCTCAAGTGATCCTCCCATCTCAGCCTCCCAAGTAGCTGGGACCACAGGCATGTGTCACCACACATAGCTAATGTTTTTATTTTTAGTAGAGACGGGAGTCTTGCTGTGTTGCCCAGGCTGGTCTCAAACTCCTGGGCTCGAGCAATCTTCGCACCTCAGCCTCCCAAAGCGCTGGGATTACAGGCATGAGCCATGGTGCCTGGCCCACTTTGCTTCTCATTCAAAGGTTGGATGGGGAAGGTGAAATCGTCAGGGCCAGGAAGGCTGGGATCAGCTGTGGTCTCTTCCTGCTCCCTCCTCTGCCTGCTCTCGGGGCTGCTAGGCAGAGCTGGCTGTGGTCGGTCAGGCAGCATCCTTCCTCTGGCCTGCATCTTCCACTTTTTCCCACCGCCAGAAACCTGTTGGAGGTGGACCCCGGCGTCGGGCAGGTGCTGGTGGGCGTGGCCTCCCCTGTGGCTGAGAATGAAGCCTTGCCTGGTTCGTGGTTTGGGTTTTGGGGGCCTCAGAGTGTGAGCCTGAGCCAGAACCTGGTCCTCTCACCACTGGCCCTGCAACCCTCCTGGCTGCTGAGTGCACGCATCGCCCTTCAGTATCTGTGCCGGGAATAACATCTGCACACGTGTCACGAGACACACAGGCTCACGGTGGCACTCAGGGATGCCCAGGCATTGCAATGCTAAGCCTCAAGTGACAGCAGTGGTTTGGGGATGGCCCAGAGTCTCCAGTCTCCCCAGCATCTCAGGGTCCCCCAGAAGGCAGGGGCCTTATCAGCCGAGGTTGCAGGGGTGTGCCTGGTGCCTACCACCTCTGCACAGTCGGGTGGGCAGCATGGCTGGCCGCTGTAGAGGGGAGTCTCAGACTGTGGCGACTCCTGGTTGGAGCACGGGTCCCTGGCCATGCCACAAAGCATCTGACCGCTGTCATGAGGCACCTGTTGTGGCCTTTCAGGTTTTACTCTTCGGCTGTTTCCCAGCTAAGCCTCCTTGGGGCAGGCTGCTTCACATCTCTGATCCTCACTTAAGGATCTCGAGTTGAGATCATCCTGGATTACTGTAGGCCCTAAATCCAATGACATGTGTCCTCAGAAGAGAGGGGAGAGACATCAGGGAGGAAGGTCTCTCGAGGACAGCAGAGATCAGAGTGACGCCGCCGCAAGCCAGTGATCACCAAGAACTACCAGCCGCCCCCAGGAGCTGAGACAGTCAGGAGCAGATCTCCCTCCGAGCCTCCAGAAGGAACCAGCTATGTGCCATCCTGACTGTGGGCTTCTGCCTGTGGCCCTGTGAGGCAATAAAGGTCTGCTGCTTGAAGCTACTGGGTTGGTGGCCACTTGTCATGGCAGCCTCAGGGCACTCACAGATCACTCTCCCCACCACTGCTGCAGGACCAGGCACAGGTGCGGGAACTCGAGTCACTACTGCTGAGTGGCTAGTGGGTGCTGGGATTTCAGAGAGACTCACTAAACAGGTGGCCCAGGCACCAGGTAGGGAAGGGCGGCAGGGGCCTGTGCACCCTCCAAAGCCTGGGACTGGCTTCCCCTCCACAGCGGCGGCCACCGACACGCCCCCGACTGTGCTGAGGTTGTAGGCACCAGCACACACTTGCGACCTCAGCTGATGAGGCCCCTTCCTTCTGGCAGATGCTGGGAGATGCTGGGCCATCCTCAAACTCACAAGGAATTTATCTGTGACCATATGTGAAGCCCATGTGGGTGTGGAACCAGTGTTATGCCATCTTTCCTGCCCGTGGGCACCCCATTTACCCACAAGGCCAAGCTGAAAGGCCGCCATGGGGTCCCCCAGGCTCCGGGAGAAGTCAGGGCTGCCTGCTGCCCCCACACTTACTGGTGGAATGTCTGCTGTCCCTGGAGGCCTGGGCCCGGCTGCGGGCTCCCTGAGGAGGGCCTGTTTCCACCCCGGCTGGGCTTCGGTGTACAGGCTGCCGGGCAGGGACCCGAGTGTGGGAGGCCCCACCTGCCAGCACCAGGCCTGGGGTCCAGGCTCCAGGGCCTTCAGTCAGCTTCCATTTCCTCCTTAGCTCTTCTGAGTGTTGGAGGAATCACTCAAATCATAATCACCAAAGGCCTCGGTGGCCTTGAAGCCGGTCTTACCGTCACTGTGGGTGGACGTGCAAATGTTCCTGCATGGGTGAAGACCCTCGGGGTCACCATCTCAGGACAGAATGATCAGGGTGGAGAGAGGACACTGAGGACTCCCTGGGCTGTCAGACCCTGGACAGTCAGACCCTGGACAGACCCCCGGCGCGGCCCCCCACTCCCTGGCTGACCCTCTCGGGCCTGGGCCAGCTGTGACATGAGGAACTGTTCCTTCTGGCTCTGCCTCCAGCGTGAAGTGGGGCGTCACAAAGAGAGGAGGAGCCCCCTGTCGTACCCACACTTGTCCTGACAATTCTTGCCCCAACAGGAAACAGGCCCCGGCAGAAAGCCGCCTGGCCTCTGTCCGAGCCCGGGCACCCGGGTTCACGTGCTGGGCTGCCCGGCCCCAGGGTGTGGAACCGATTTATTCGGTAGCTTTGCTGCTGATTAGTTGCAGGTGAGTGGATGGCACGTGGTTTGTGTTGTAACAATATTTTGGGACAATTAGATTGAAACCACATTGCTGGCGGCCCCGTTGGCTGCTGGCCGCGGCGCTGCACTCTCTCTGCCCTTTGTGGCTCCCGGATGGCCGGGCCGCCCCCACCCCTCCTGGGGCCTCCCCATCCTCACCCCCACCTGGGCTCCAAACCCTCCTTCTGACCTCCAGCTGACCTCAGCCGTCAGTTGTTCCAGAAAACAGCTGCTGGGAGATTTCCCAGGGCAGGTGGGGAGGGGGCGACCTGGGGGGCCCATGTGGGATTTTGAGGATGGACGACCCCCAAGCCAGTCTCAGCACGTCTCTGTCTCTACTCCCAAAGAAGAGTTCCTCAAGTACCCCCTCCTCAGCCAACAGCCCCCTCTGCGTCCACTGCATCCTGTAGGAGGGAGAGCCTGACCCGGTGACCCCAGAGTGAGAGGGGACAGCCAAGGCCAGGTGTTCTGGGCCCAGCTCAACCACCGAGGGCTCCGTCCAGGGCTCCCCCGAGGCCCGGACACCAGCACCACCCAGAATCCCTTGCAGCGGGAGTCGTGGCTTGCACCTAGCGTGCAGGGGCTGAAGGAACCCGGCTCCCACCCAAAAGCAAGGCCTGGCAGGCTGCCACTCACAGTGCCCCCAGGATGGCCAATCAGAGGAGGCCCTGCTCTGATCACGTGACTGGGTTTGACAGAGCTGGGCCAATCAGCCTTCTCAGCATTGGGACTCCGGTGTCAGCAGAGGGCGCTGTGATCTTTGGGGCGTCCAGTGGGGATGGGGATGCGGGTGAGGATGGGGGGTCAGGGTCAGGGTCAGGGGCTGGGTCAGGGCCGGATTCGGGGGAGTCCCTCCATGGGCAGCTAGGATGAGGTGGAGGGGCCGGTGGCAGCAGCTGGTGCAGGGCCCCTGACCTGCTGCTCCTGTCACCCCAAGTGCAGCTTCCCTTTCCGCATAGTGGGGGTTGGATCCCGGGGTCTGTGCGGGGGGACTCAGTGCCGGTGAAGGGTGGGTTAAGCGGGGCCACAGGTGACAGGCGTCGGCCACCACCCGGGGAGCCTGCTCTCAAAGTGTGGTCTGCAGACCCACAGCAGGACCCACAGCGGGCGCCCCTGAGAAGCGCAGGTGTGGGGCGGCTCCCAGGAGGCCCACGTGCTGAACCCGGCTGGGCCCACCATGGGGCTTCCCATGTGAGACCCTCTAAGGTGTGCGCCACTGGAGAGTCCAGGTGTGAGGCATGAGTGAGACACCGGGGCGGGGAGGGTTGTGGTGAGAGCGACGGGCAGAAGCGAGGCGGGACTGGGGCCTCCAGAAGGCGGGTGGGCACCGGGAGCCAGGCTGCGGGGAGAGGTCCCAGCAAGGGTGGTGGGGAGTGCCGACTGGTGCCCACCCCCTCGGCACAGGTCTGAGCTGCTCCCACATTGATTACTTTGATGCTGTTTGGAACCATCAAATATCAAATCATTTCCAAGAAGCCCATGGTGTCCTGGCTTTGCTGGTGCCCTTCCCTCACCTTTGTCAGTTCCTGGGGGTCCAGGCTGGCCGGGTGCTCAAGCAGCCTCCAAGATGGCTCCTGTGGTCCCCTTTCCCACCACACTGGTTTGCAATCCGTTGTCCATAACTTAGGCACCGGGCCACAGGGAGTGCTGGGAAAGGCAGCCCTGCACCCAGGAAGAAGGACAACGAATGGGGTCTCCTGAGCCCCGGTGGGACAAGTAGCTTGGGCTCACTGGTCAGGGTGAGACGTCGCTCTGTCTCCCTGCTGGGCGGCCTTGGCCTCTCCCCGCAGCCAGCTCTCTCCCCTTTGGGCCCTAGCTTCCTGCATGTGGGCTCATGCCCTGGGTTCCAGAGCTTTTGACCGGAGGGGAGCTCTGTGAGTGAGAAACAGGCAAAGCGGTTTCAGGTGCAGCATAAACACTGTCTTCTGCCCAGACTCCTGGAGGGCTGTGACCCCAGTAGCTGCAGGACAGGCCCTGGCATGGCATCGGTGCCCCAGGTGGACAGAGGTGCCTGTCTGCACAGCTTTCCACAAAGCTCTGAAGACAAGCCATGTGGCCAGAGTGAAGAAAGCTGGGGTGGGGGTCATGAGCCTGGGCGCTGGCTCCATCGCACTGGAAACTCCTAAAAGTAAATGGGGGACTTAAGCCATTGTTACTGGGGTATTTTTTTTTTTTTCCTGACACGGAGTCTCCCTCTGTCGCCCAGGCTGGAGTGCAGTGGCGCGATCTTGGCTCACTGCAAGCTCCGCCTCCCAGGTTCACGCCATTCTCCTGCCTCAGCCTCCCGAGTAGCTGGGACTACAGGCACCCGCCACCACGTCCGGCTAATTTTTTTTTTTGTATTTTTAGTAGAGACGACGTTTCACCATGTTAGCCAGGATGGTCTCGATCTCCTGACCCCGTGATCCGCCTGCCTCGGCCTCCCAAAGTGCTGGGATTACAGGCGTGAGCCACCGCGCCTGGCCGTCACTGGGGTACTAAAGGAAACTGTGATGAAACCCAAAAGCCATAACCAGAAATAAGTGTATTACACAAAATGTTTGACATTTCTGCATGATAAAGACATCATCCTTTATTTTATTTTTATTTTTTGAGACAGAGTCTTGCTCTGTCGCCCAGGCTGGAGTGCAATGGTGCGATCTCGGCTCACAGCAACCTCCGCTTCCCGGGTTCAAGGGATTCTCCTGCCTCAGCCTCCTGAGTAGCTGGGATTACAGGTGCATGCCACCATGCCCAGCTAACTTTTTTGTATTGTTAGTCGAGATGGGGTTTCACCATGTTGGTCAGGCTGGTCTCAAACTCCTGACCTCAGGTGATCCGCCCTCCTCGGCCTCCCAAAGAGCTGGAATTACAGGTGTGAGCCAACGCACCCTGCCAAAAGAGATCACTCTTAGCAAACGTCAAAACACAACACACTGATCAGGGAAATGCAAATTAGAATCACAGTGAGATACCACCGCACCCCTTCCAGTGTAACTAACATCAGTAGGGCAGACACTGTCGGGTTCTAGTGAGGAGGTAGAGGAACTGGAACTCTCATACTGTGGTGGGAACGTAAATGGTGCAACCACTTTGGAAGGCAGTTTGGCAGTGAGAGAAAAAATTAAACATCCACCTACCGTGTGACCCAGCCACTCCACTCCTGGGTGTTTACCCCAAAGTGAAAACACGATTCACACAAGGCCTCATACACAAGTGTTCATAACAGCTCTATGTTATGAACTGGAAGAAACAAGCCAAATGCCCACCAGCAGGTGAGGGTGCACATGCGGGGCACCCAGACTGCGGGGGCTGCCACACGCGGGGCACCCAGACTGCGGGGGCTGCCACACGCGGGGCACCCAGACTGCGGGGGCTGCCACACGCGGGGCTCCCAGACTGCGGGGGCTGCCACACGCGGGGCACCCAGACTGCGGGGGCTGCCACACGCCGGGCACCCAGACTGCGGGGGCTGCCACACGGGGGGCACCCAGACTGCGGGGGCTGCTTGGCAGCTGGGAGGTAGAACTGTCGGTACATGAAATGGCACGGATGAATCTCAAATCGCAGTGCTGAGCCAATGAAGCCAGAGTGTGCTGCCTGACTCCATTTCTATGAAATTCTAGAAAGGGCAAAACGAACCTATAGTGACAGAAAGTAGACCCATGGTTGCCTGGGACTGAAACTCAGTAGGAGATTGAAAAGGAGCCTGGAGGAACTTTCTGACTTTCTGAGGTGCTGGGTATGTTCTGTGTCTTTTTTTTTTTTAATTTTTTTTTAGAGGTGGGATCTTGCTCCGTCACCCAGGCTGGAGTGCAATGGTGCGATCACAGCTCACTGCAGCCTCAAACTCCTGGTCTCAAGTGATTCTCCCTGCTCAGCCTCCCAAATAGCTAGTGTTCTGTGTTTTGATTGTGGTGGTGGTTCTACAAATGTAAACATTCGTCAAAACTCTTCCAACTGTACACTTAAAATGGATGCATTTTCTTGTATCTAAAGTGTCATCTTGGCTGGGCACAGTGGCTCACGCCTGTCATCCAGCATTTTTGGAGCCTGGGGTGGGTGGATTACCTGAGGTCAGGAGTTGGAGATCAGCCTGGCCAACATGGCAAAACCCCATCTCTACTAAAAATACAACAAATTAGCTGGGCATGGTGGTAGGCACTTGTAATCCCAGCTACTCAGGAGGCTGAGGCAGGGAGAATTGCTTGAACCCGGGAGGCAAAAGTTGCAGTGAGCCGAGGTTATGCCATTGCACTCCAGCCTGGGTGACAGAGCGAGACTCCGTGTCAAAAAATAAAAATAAAAATAAATTTAAAAATTAAAAAATAAAGTATATCTCAATAAAGCCGATTAAAATTAAAATCCAACATTCTATTTGTCACCTATCAGATGACAAGGATCAAAATGACTTACAATATCCTGCTTTGCCATAGATGCAGGGAAACAGGCAGGTTCTCATCCCTGGGCAGGAGGGATGTGCACATTGGCACGCATTTGCTGGGCCATTTGGCAACATCAATCAAAATTTGAAATCTGCGTGGCTTTCACCTGGTAATTTGTTCTTCTAGGAATTTTATCTTCCAGATATACTTGCATAAGGTCACAAAGCTACATGAACAGAGGTGTGCTTTGCAGTGACATTTTGTTATGTTGAAAAATTAGAAGCAACCTAAATGTCCAACAGTACAACTGGGCAAATACATATAAGCTGTCAGCCATCCCAGTTTGCCCAGGGCGATCCCGGTATTAGCACTGAAAACCCCAGGCCGTGGGAAACTTTTCTTTTTTTTTTTTGAGACGGAGTCTCTGTCGCCCAGGCTGGAGTGCAGTGGCGCGATCTCGGCTCACTGCAAGCTCCGCCTCCTGGGTTCACGCCATTCTCCTGCCTCAGCCTCCCGAGTAGCTGGGACTACAGGCGCCCGCCACCATGCCCGGCCGGCACTGGGAAACTCTTTAATCCCCTAGAGCCCTCAGGCAGCTGGTGACTCCAAATACCCTACAGAGTGGACAGGCAGAGAAATACTACAAAGTCATGAAACATGGCGTGTGGGTCTCGGTACTACTATGGACGATGTCCATGTGACAGTAAATGAAATTAAACGGAACGCCAAGTTGCGAGTGGCAGGTATGGCAGGATTCGAACTGTGTGAGGATTTGATGCGTGTAGAATGGACCTCTCCGCATGCACAGTGCCTGGGAGGGGAATAAGGAGCCAGCCATTCATACACGTCTCTCTGGAGCCTGCCGGGGGAGGGGTTTGCTACTTTTTGCTTTAAATCTCATTGTGCCATTGGCTTCATTTGCTTTGTGTGTGCATGGATTTTATAATTAAAAAAAAATTTTCTATAGGAAGTGTGACCTTGATCTGCATTGAGAGGCAGGTGGGTGGGGCCTCTGGATCACAGCCGCAGTGAGGCCAACTCCGAGGGGTCCAAGGCTGCTGAAGCCTTTAGCAAGGGAGGGAGATGGGGAGAGGGAGGGGTGTCCCAAGGTCAAGGTCCCGGGGCAGGCGGAGGCGGCAGACTCCTCCCCTGAGGGGGACCCCTCGCCTGGGGCCACCTTCTGGCAGCGGCTCTAGCCCCTCTTGCGGCAGGCAGCCCCTGGTCTCCACCAAAACACGGCCAGCCTGGGATTGTTAAACAAATTGACTGGCTGGGCCCTGAGCCCGGCTAATTCTTGTGTCTTAATGAGTGGGAAGATGAGGTTTTATTCATCACCGGGGCTTTAAAAATTGCAGTAAAGTGGCCCACTTTATAAAGAAAAAATCAATAGCAAAAAGAAAACAGGAGTATGTAAATGGACAGGGTGACAAAAAGCAGGCCAATTACCCCCAAAATGAGACATAGTTATGGCTCCATTAACTCAATTATATTTTCAAAAGAATTTCTTACGAGGCCCCCACCCCACCCCACCCGCACACGCCTGTAATTTTTACATCAACTTCAAGGCATTAAACTGCATTAAATTATTTTGTGGGAGAGAGAGGTGTGTTTCGGAAGACAGAGCTGCAGGCAGCCCTGTCCGGCTCCACTCGGGGGATGGGGGTCAGGCGTAGGCAGGCAGGGAGCCCCCACGAGGGCCCGTGCAGGGGGCAGGCTCCGGCAAGCCAGTCCTGAGGGGCGAGAGGAAGAGGAGCCATGGGATCTCCCAGGTGTGGCAAGACCAGGGCCCAGCCAGGGACAGCAAGGGACTTGGTTGTTCCCAAGCTCCTAAGTCCCCATGACATATTTATCTCCAGATGGTTCCCTACTCTATCCACACCCCCAGACGGGTGGCCCCGAATATGCCAGTCCACATGTGGGAACCTAACCTTGCTGGCTTCATGAGTTTCTCTTGGTTCCATTAGAGTTAGAAAACTTAATTTTTTGGAGATATGGAAAAATAAAGTTGTATGAAAACACATCAGAATGGGGGACTACCTAGGGGTATGTCTGAAGCCTATCCTTTTTTTTTTTCTTTTTTTTTGAGACAGAGTCTCACTCTGTCACCCAGGCTGGAGTGCAGTAGCACAGTTTCAGCTCGCTGCAACCTCCGCCTCCTGGGTTCAAACCATTCTCATGCCTCCCAAGTAGCTGGGACTACAGGCGCCCACCACCATGCCTGGCTAATTTTTGTATTTTTAGTAGAGACAGGATTTCACCATGTTGGCCAGGCTGGTCTCGAACTCTTGACCTCAGGTGATCCACCTGCCTCAGCCTCCCAAAGTGCTGGGATTACAGGCGTGAGCCACCGTGCCCGGCCTGATGCCTATTCTTCATACCACCCTTTGCAGGCATAGAGTGAGTCCCTGGAACTCGGGGCTTTGAAGTGACACTGGGCATGACTCACTTATTCAAGCGCGGATCACCCTGCCCATGCCAGGGAGGCCTTGAAATCCCAGAGTCCATGAGCAGCTCCTGGCTGCTTCTATAAATGTGCCCAGCCCTGAGGCGTGGTGACTGTAACCTGCTTTTCCCCGTCAGCCGGGCCCTGGGGAGCCCAGGCCTGCCCTACATAAGTCTGCACCTGGGCCCCACGGGACTGAGCAGTTAATATCATGGATTTCAGGCAGAGTGGAGGTGGAGGAAGGGCTGGGGTGTGGAGGGGACCCTCAGACAGGTGTCCTGGACAGAATGCCAAGGGCCACCTGGCCAGGGTCAGCGGCCAGAGACTATAAACCCAACGGCGATGGACGAACAGAGAGTTCACAATTGGGCTGAGCAGTGGGGTTGGAGGGACCCTGAGGCAGGAGCCAGGGCCCCTCCAGGGCTCAGGGCCAGGGAGCCAGGGCTGGCATGATGAAGCTTAAACCACAAAACAGAAGAAAGCAAATCTGCCCCATTCTGCCTTCTGAGACATCTCACCAACGCAGCAAGAGGACTGCACAGGACAGGACTCAGGGGGTGGGGCTGCCCCGGGCAGAGTGTGAAGACCAGTCCTGCGGGCCTGCCCTTCAGGGTCCCTAGGCCGCCGGCCCTGCCAGGGGCTGTAGGAACAGCAGTGAGGGAGGACGGAGAAGGCAGCCGAGGCAGAGGGACCCCCTCCGGCCGGCTCCTGCAGGGCTATGGCTCCGCGTTGCCACTTGCCTGTCCTCCAGCCCCTGTAGCCTCCATCCCTCGCACAGCGCCCCAGACTGGCAGAGCCCATGCAGCTGCCAGACAGTCCCCGCTTCCCCTCGCAGCCAAGCACACCCTTAGCCCCAGTGTGAGGGTCTGGGACAGCAGACTGACGGGGGCAGGTGGGAAAAGACCACGTGCATGAGGTGTGCATGTGAGTACGTGTGTGTACATGTGTACACACACGTAAGAGACAAGGATATACCCTCAACTCTTACTGTCCCCCGCACCAGACCCTCAGGGGAGGCTCCGGACCCCAGCCTGTGCTCCCAGGTGGATGGTGAGGCTGCTTAGAACAGTCCTCACTCCGGGCAACGCCTGGGGAGGATCCTGGGGCAGGAGAGTCCCTGCCACGTGTGGAGCCCAGAGGAAGGTCTGGGAGGTCCCAGGAGAGGGAGTGATGCCTGGGGCAGGGCAGGGCAGGGTGAGGGGAGGCTGAGGCCGGGAAGCCGAGAAGACCTGGGCAGCTCTGGGGCCCCAGAGGCCTCAGCCTCGGGGAGCTGCCAGGTGCTGGGGAGAGCGTGGGTGCAACCCAACCCTGCCCTGCGCAACGCTCCTCAACCTGTGCCCTGTCACCACCCCAGGCCCTGGGTCCTCCCTACTCTCCCAACCCTCAGGGACCCTCTGTCGGCCCCCAGCCCTAAGGATGGCGCGTGGCTGCCCTCCCTGGCTGCCCGCCACCCCTGGGCTGGAGCTCCAGCCTCTTTCCCACTCCCTCTGGCCCTGTCAGTCATCTGCCTGCTCCTGCTGGCCAGTGGCCTCTTGCCCATGTGCTGAAAGAGCCATTGTTCAGGAGGGGATGGAGGGGAAGGGTCGGCTGGTCAGGCCTGGTTACTGGTCAGACTCCGGCGTGTGCCAGTGGATGGACTCGGCTGTCCCCTGGGGCCAGCTGGGCAGCCCACGGGACCTGGAGGCAGTGTTGGGTGGCTGGGGAGGCCTGAGTGAGCTCAGAGGCCACCTCCCCTCCTCTCAGCACCTTCCTTCCCAGCTGAGCCTGAGGGAGGATGAAGAAGATGCATTTGGCCCCGGTCGGCTGCTGCAGCCTCTTGTCCAGCAGAGACCCTGGGGGGCGGGGGACACACAGGGGCTCCCTGTGCGGCCAAAGAGGCATTGGAGAAGGGACTTCCCTGAGGCAGCCTGATGCCTCTGACTGGCGGCAGCTGGGAGCCCTCCGCTTGAGGACCCGCCGTCACAGCATGGCCCCTGCAGGCCGGGGCTCTAACGTGGTACTACTGTAGGGCTGGCAGGGCCTGGGCGTGGGGACCAGGCAGAGCTGGGGTCCCAGGCCCTGCATGGTGTCCACTAACAGGACACCAGGTAGTCTCCCGAGCCTGCCGACCTCCCTGGCCTCAGCCATAAGATGGGCTGAGAGAGAGTGGAGGCTCTGCGGCGGGATTGGGTGAGGAACATTTGAGCTGGAGGCCAGCCTGGCTCTGTGCGGCCCCGGGAGGCCAGAGGTGCCCCTCCGTCATGTGGAGGAGCTGACTGCAGAGGCCTCCCATCCTGTTCCTCAGGCAGGGGCCCCGTCTGGCACTCCCAGGCCACCCCGGTGCTGGGGGAGTTGCAGGTGGTGGGGTCACCTTGGGGGGGGTACAGCCTGTCCACATCAGCTCTGCTTCCCTCTCTCCCTGCCCCCACAGGCTAGCTTGGCTGAGCCCGATGCTTCTCAAGGTGAGGAGGGCGTCCTTGAAGCCTCCGGCCACCCCACACCAAGGTCTGTGCACCAAGGTCAGGGCTGCGCAGGAAGAGGGGAGGGGTGGCGGGGAGGTTATGGTCTGGAGGGAGGAGGGAGGGCAGGGGAGGGAAATAAAAAGAGATTACATTTTTTAAAAGGTACTCTAGCTGTCTGCTGACACCGCCCCTGGTCTCCATCCGTTTTATAGCCTGATGGGCTTGAGCAGCTGGGCCTCGTCTGTCAGGGGCATGCAAAGGGTGGGGGCTGGGAGCAGAGCCCCCACAGGAGGCCTGGATGGGGGCCACCTCTCCCCGGGCCTGGGTTCCCTCTGGGGTTGCCCAGGCCGGGCAGGGGCGCTCTGTGCAGGTGGGATGGGTGGAGGGAAGCTGGCCCGGGGCGGGCGGCCACTATCTGGGCCCATCTATTCCCCTGACAGGTCAATTTTCTCTCATGTTTTACAGGAGCTTTCAGGGCAGGAAATGTGATCGGGCAGCTGATTTATCTCCTTACCTGGTCTTTGTTCACAGCCTGGCTCCGGCCCCCCACCCTGCTGCAGGGCCCGAGGACGTCTCCCCAGGGGTCCCCACCTCGGTCTCCTTGGGGGGACTGTGCTGAGCCCAGCTGCCTCTGTGAGATGAAGATAAGAAGGCGAAGACATGAAGGGCCTGCCTGGGGGCAGTCTGGCTTTCTTGCAGGGGGGCTGCACCTGGTTCCCTCCTCCCTCTCGCTGGCAGCCTGCGGGGTGGTGAGGATGAAGGGGCTGTGGGGCCGGGGTGCAGGGATTAGAGGGAGGTGACTGCCATCTCTTCCTCCTCATCGTGTTTTTCACCTCTTAAGTCAACTTTAGATTCTCGGACTCAGAGTTCTCTCCTGACGGTGGCAGGGTCCTCAGATCACCGGTGCAGACAGGGCCAGACAGGGCCAATGTGGGGACCCACTCAGCCTGTGGCCTCTGCAGGAGGGAGGTCGGAGGCCTCAGCAGCCACCCCGGCCACCTCCTGAAACAGTGAATGTCCTTCATTTTCAGCTGGCAAGCTCTGATCTTACAACGAGGTATGGAACTGTTCAGAAAACTTTCAGCAGACGTTCGAGGGAAAACAGCTCAGCTTCCCATGCCCCCCACCTCTGCCAGGAGCGACCCCATATCCCCCAAACAGAATTCTGGTAGCCCGGGACCACAGGGTCTTCCTGTGCCTCCCCTGCCAGCTCTGCATGACTTTGTCACGTACTTGAGTGCTGGCTGAGATGATGCTACCGCTACCAAACAGGTGGGAGGCCAGCCCCAGCCCCAGCCCCAGCCCCACCGGGGCCGGAGCTCCCGGTGAAGAAGCGTCTGCCTGGTTCGCAGGTGTCCAGGACACACCAGTCGCCTGACTCCCGGTCAGGCAAACGCACACATCAAGTTCTTGCAAGCCAGGGCTCTGCTGGCATCTTCAAGAGGAGGGAGGGTCCTGGCCCTGACCACAGGGCTCCCTTAACAGGAGGAGTTACAAACTCGGCTTCCTGGGGGGCATCGTGGGGTGTGCTGCCTGCCAGGAGACCCCACTCCTGGTCACGGGGTTCCGTCCCACACAGTGGCAGGAGCCATGCATGATTCTTGGCTGAAGAAGAACCCGCACAGCTATGTGGTCTGCCGCCCAGCAGGGAAGCCCCCACATCAGCCCTAAGGGAACTTCCCAAAGCTCAGCAGGTGCCTCTTCCTGCCATCCGCTAGGTCTTCTCTTGGCCCCTCTCCCAAGCCTTGACCCATAGCTGACACTTCTAGAAAAGTCTTTACCGAGAAACGGACCGGCTGCATGGGTGGTGAGGAGGGCAGTTGCCCAGGGCCTGGCATCAGAGGGGCCTGTGGCTAAGGCTGTCCTGAAATTCTTAATCATTTTACCTCTGAACTTGCGGGTTTTTGTTGTTGTTTTTTGAGGCAGAGTCTTGCTCTGTCACCCAGGCTGGAGTGCAGTGGTGCGATCTTGGCTTACTGCAACTTCCGACTCCCAGGTTCAAGCGATTCTCCTGCCTCAGCCTCCCGAGTAGCTGGGACTACAGAAGTGCACCACCACACCCGGTTAATTTTTGTATTTTTAGTAGAGACGGGGTTTCACCATGTTGGCCAGGCTGATCTCAAACTCCTGATACACCCGCCTCGGCCTCTCAAAGCACTGGGATTACAGGTGTGAGCCACCGCGCCCGGCCCTTTTCCTGCCTCCTAAACAAGTGGCCAGGAATTCTCCTCCTGCACCGGGTCCCCAGATTGTGTGGCAAGCCCTGCAGATGGCACAGGGGACTGGTTCTTCCTCGTGGAAAGCCAGGCCCGGACACCTCTCGGGCATCGCCTGTTGGGGTGACCCTCCCACACCCAGCCTGGAACCCTAGCCAGCTCAGCCTCCGTCCGCTGAGAAATCAAGGTGACCTTGTGGCTCAGCCCTCAGGGGGCACTCACCACACAAGAGTTCCCTTTCAAGACCCCCTGTTCGGGGCTGGGGCCCCCAGGAACGGTTGGGGCACCTTCCTGGGGCCCTGTTTTTCCCCAGGAGCGGGGCCTGGGAGCTGAGGGCGTCTCATCTCCCCACAGGCATCTGCTGCTGCTCCTGGCTGCCACTCACCCCTGTGAGATGCTGAGGGCAGGATACCTGTCTGTGCGGGGCGTGGGAAAAAGGGAGAAAGCCTGGCAGAGGGTTGGGGGCTAAGAAGCAAAGGGCGTGGAAGGGCCACCGTGCACTTTTGAAGTCTCTACTTGCCAGTGGCCACCCCACCTCTCCCTGCCCTCATCCAAGGACGGACAGGCCTGGCAGGTGGACCGGAGCTGTGGGGCAGAAGCATCCCAGGCCTGGCCTCAGAGGAGGGAGGCCATGGTGAAAGTGGAGGCTGTCTGCATCCACCTCCCCAGCCTTTGTCACCGGGACCTCAGCCTGACCCCAGGCCCACCCCAGGCTGCTCACCGAGGTGGGTACCCTGCCCACCGCCAGCTCAGATGCGGTGTGTGGACTCCCTTCTCTCTGGGGGTGAGCGGGAGTTCCCTCCCCTCCACATCAGGAGCTGGGGGAGAGCTGGAGGGCCCTGGGATCCCCTTGACCCTGGTCATCAGCCCCAGCCCTGACAGGCCCTGCGTGTGCCATGTGTGGCCTGGGTTTGGAGCTCAGCACCCTGCGGGAATTCTATTAAATCTCCGATTTTATCTGAAAACTTCACCCACATGTTGCATTGCTCTGTGAGGCGTCTGTGTGTGTCCAGGCAGCAGTAACAACGCTACTAATGCTGGCGGCCATCACAGGAAGCCAGTCCGAACGTCCCCCAAGGGCCTGTTTCACCCTCATGACACCAGGCGTGGCAGAGACGAGGAGCAGAGGCCTGGACCTCTCAGGGTCTCAGCAGGGGGAGGCCGGCCTGTCACGAGTGTTTGATGACCATGGAGAGGAGGTGGTGGAGGTAAGCGTGGCTGCTTCCAGGGGAAGGGCGGGCAGTGCTGGGGGAGGGGTTCTGTATTGATTAAGCACGTACTGTGTGCTAGGTCCTCTGTGGGCTTCATTTAATTTATTGCCACAGCCACGGGAGGGAGGGGTGGTTAGCGCTATATTTCAGATGAGGAAACGAGGCTCCGGTGAAGACACTTGTCTAGTCCTCTGGCTGTGGAAGGTGGGAAAGGGATGTCAACCTGGGCTCGGGAGAGATAAGGAAGCTGAGGCCTAGAGCCTTGTCAGGCCTGGAGCTGCTGTCCTCCCGCTGGGGCAGCACCGCCTGCCTTCATTTAGAGCAGCAGATCCTACAGCACCCGGGTCCTCACCTATCAAAGGCAGACACCATTCCTGACCACGTGATGGCCTGGACGAGACCAGTGTCTGGGTGTCTGGGTGTCTGGGTGTCTGGATGGGAACTGGGAGGGCCCGGCCAGGCCCGGCACATGGTGACTCTGCCTGCCCTTTGCAGCTGAGAGCTGGCCTCTCCTAGACCTCAATGTCCACTGACACCCAGTGCCCCTGCAACCTTCTCTTCCTGCCCCACGAAGGTGGCACTCTCCTGGGGGCCGCTCCAGCCCTCTGCCTGGGGAGCAAGCGGAGGGGCCTGGGACCCCACCTGTGTTCCTGTCTCTATCCCTCCTCAGCTGTCACCAGCTTTAATTACCCCGGCTCCATCCGCCCCGGCCCCTGCGCAGCTGGAGAGCCCCTTGGGCGGGCGCAGGGCCCCTCGCCTGGGCACGCAGCATTCCTGCATTCCTCCCCGGGGCCCACCGACCTGTCCTGCCGGTTGTGGGCAGCTTCCGGGTGCGGGGAGCCCGGCGTGTGTTTGGGGGGGTGCGCAGCTGCTGGATGGGGAGCCTGGAGAGAGCCCGGCTGTGCCCCGGGACTCCCAGCTGCGTTGCCCACATCCCTCTGCCACCCCGCATCACGACCGGAGCCTGGCAAGAAGTCAGTGATTCATCACTCGGGCCCTGGGGGCTGCCTGGAGGGGCTGGGGTGCTTCTAACAGCAGGAAAGGGAAGGCAAGAGAGAACCTTCCACAGTTGGGAGCAGCAAAGCGGCCCAGGAAGCCCCCCAACAGGATGGGACCATCTAAGGTTCCAGCCACCCCAACCCCCCGGAGCAGGGCCCCCAGCCTAGTGGTATGTGGATAAGCCCTGCCTGGGGTGCACCTTCTCGGGGAGACCCTCTGCTCTTTGGGCTACTGTCCTGGGGAGCCTCCCCCTTCCTGGGGCTGGGTGGACCAGCTGCGGAATGGCAGCTCCCCCTGGAGGGGCTGGGGAAGAAGTGGGGCGTGCTGTCCACCAGCTCCTCCCTACCCCGAGGCGCCCCAGATGATCTGCCTCCAGCTCCAAACAGGAGTAGTGGCCACCTGTGAGTTTCTCTGAGGCCCAAGTGGTCACTGCCGGAGCTGCCTGTGTCCCTGTGTCCGGACAGGCTCCTCTCCACCTCTGTGTTTGGGCAGCTCTCCCCTTGTGTCTGGAATTTTTAGAAAACGGAAAAAGTGTAGACAAAAGCAGGCTTTTTATCTCGCTGAATGCTCCAACACCCTCCCTAGTTACACCACGGTAGTGGAAGATTCAGAGGAAGTTTCCTCCTGGTGGCCGTGATTACCATCTGCAGTTCTTGTTCGGGGACATTGCAAAGGTCACATTGTCCGTCCAGCCCCGCCCCGCCCTGACGTTGCTCCCGGAGTGGGGACGGGCTCTGAACCACCCCAGCTCTCAGGGGCCCCGCCCTGGGTAACACACGTCTGCGGTGTTACCCACGACTGCCTGGGACCTGGCCAAGGGCTCCACACACCAAGACCAAGGTGAGGGGAGGTGGTGGGTGGGGACCAGCCCTGCCTCTCTTGGAGACCCCGAGGGTATGGCGCCAGGCCAGCCTGGAGTCGGGTGTGGGGCGGTTAGTGTGAGCATTACGTCTTCTTTTCCCTAAAGTGGCTGAAAATGTCCCCGGGGCCAGTCCCTCAGGGCACCCTGCTGGACTCAATGCAGCAGAAAGAGTTGGGGTGTTTGGCCGGGTGCGGTGGCTCACGTCTGTCATCCCAGCACTTTGGGAGGCTGAGGCGGGCGGATCACCTGAGGTCAGGAGTTGGAGACCAGCCTGGTCAACATGGCGAAACCCCATCTCTACTAAAAATACAAACATTAGCTGGGTGTGGTGGCAGATGCCGGTAATCCCAGCTACTCCGGAGGCTGAAGCAGGAGAATCACTTGAACCCAGGTGGCGGAGGTTGCAGTGAGCTGAGATCTCACCATTGCATTCCAGCCTGGGTAACAAAGTGCGACTCCGTCTCAAAAAAAAAAAAAAAAAAGAGAAAGGGTTGGAGTGTCCCATCCTCAGGGCAGGGGTCAGAGCTGCATCCCTGGGGTGCCCTGAGCTTGGGGGTCATGATAACCTTCACCCTGCATGCAGCCCAGGCCCACACCTAGAAGTCTTGTGGCCTTGAGCACACTGCGTTGCCTCTCTGAGCCTCGGTTTCTCCATCTATAAAATGGAGAGGGTAACAGTGAGAGATTGCTATTGGCTGGCTTCGTTCATTGGGCCCTAAATCAAACAGTGGCTTAAATACCAGAGGCTTGCTCAATGGGTGGTGGGCAGGCAGCCGGGCTGGGGCGGCGCCCCCCCCATCTCCACGGTGTCCCCACCTCTACAGTGCCTCCCCCTCTCCATGGTGCCCCCCCACCACGGCCTCCATCCCTGGGGTCCAGGTTTCATTTGTTCCTCAGCAAATGCTACAGAGCTTTTGTAGGCCCACCAGCAGGAGTGGGGTTGCCAGGCAGTGAGCTAGGGGGTGCTGGGAGGGCCCGAGGGGAGGCAGGGCGCATCCTGCAGGGTGCCTGTGAGGACCTGGGCTGAGGGTGGGTTTGAGCAGAGGCTGACATGGTCTCACCCTCTGGCTGCTGGGTGGGAACAGACCATGGGGAGGCCAGGACGGAAGTGAGGAGAACATGACGATCCCGGAGAGAGATAACCCGGATCGTGGTGGAGACACAGGAAGTGGGGAGAAGTGGTCCAAGCTGTGGATATCTGAACATGGACTCAACAGAATTTCCCGATAGATTGGATGAGGGGTGTGACTGAAAGGGAGAAGTCAAGGATGGTTCCATAGCAACCGCAGGAGCTCCAGCCATTGCATCTGCATTCCAGGCAGCAGGAAGGAGAAAGGAGGGAAGGTAAAAGACTACTGAAAAGCTTTCAGCTGGGGCTGGGCATGGAGGCTCACACCTGTAATCCCAACACTTTGGGAAGCCGAGGCTGGTGGATCACTTGAGCCCAGGAGTCTGAGACCAGCCTGGCCAACATGGCAAAACCCTGTCGCTACAAAAAATACAAGAATTAGCCATGTGCACCTGTGGTCCCAGGTATGATCTCACCACTGTACCTCAGCCTGGGTGACAGAGTGAGACCCTGATTCAGAGAAGGGGGAGGGGAAGAGGAAGGGGAAGGGGAAGGGGGACGGAAGGGGGAAGGGAAGGGGAAGGAGAAAGGGAAAGTGAAGGGGGAGGGGAAGGAGAAAGGGAAGGGGAAGGGGAAGGGGGAGGGGGAGGGGAAGAGGAGTGGAAGGGGAAGGGGGAGAAGGGGAAGGGGAAGGGGGAAGAGAAAGGGAAGGAGGAGGGGGAGGGGGAGGGTCTTTTGGCAAGCCATGAAGTCGGCCCAGCCCTTCTGCTTATATTGCTCAGGTTGTAGTCACAGGACCATGCCCGGTGCTCGTGAGGATGGGGAGGTGATTGCTAGCTGGGAACTGCGCACTCAACAATGACAGGGAGATGCCTCTGGGTGGGGAAGGCAGTGCATGGACGCTGGTCAGCCGGCCACTCCAGGCAGTGGGAAGGTGCTCAGAGGCCCGAGGAGTCAACTCTGGTGGGCGCTGGCTGTGCAGCCGGTGCTGGTGGCCTGAACACGGCAGAGGGCCAGGCCGGGCCTCACTCAAAGGAAGCAGGGAGACAGGAGCGGGGCTGTGGGCTTCTCTCGAGAGCTGCCAGGCAGCCAGGCAGGCTGGGAATGACATTTGCCATGCTGTGCCCCCGGCTCTGGCACTGGGCGGCTCCTGAGGCCCAGGGAGGAGCGTGACCTGCCCACGGGTCCACCATCATCGAATGCGAGTCAGAGTCAGACCAATGCTGTGGCTCCAGGACAATGCCGTGTCCCCTCCTGGGGCTCAAAAAAGCATGACAGGGATTTGGGGGACAGGGGTGTTCACTTCTGCCCTCCAACAGGCTGAGGGGGAGGGTCTGGTTTCTCTGCTCACCTGTGCTGAGACGGTGCTGGGGAGAGGCAGGCGGGAGCCCCAGCCCCCTCCAAGTGTTTGCCAGCCCAGGCTCTGTCCTGTCCAGGCATGTCCTGTCCACCTGCCTCCCTCTAGGGACCGTGGGGGCAGGCCTGGAGCACTGAGCTCAGGGCCCCGAGCCGTCTAGAGGGACAGCTTCCTCACACCATGCACCTGGGCTGAGCTCAAGTCGCTGCAGCCCCTGACCCCCAACTCAGATATCCCTTTGCAGCCCACCTACTACCCAAGAAGCTGCTGTGTAGGGACAGAGCCCACCAGGGCACTGGGGACACGTGGCACAGGCCAGAGAGCTCCTGAGGCCTGGGAGGCTGCCATGTTGGGTCCCAGATGGACACACCCCAGTACGCCCAGTCTCAGGGCCTGAGCCACCCACTGGTTCTAGAATTCTCTCAGGAGAAGAGAGCCCCTCACGGCCCCCTTCATCACAGGCTGCGCGGCCTCAGCCTGGCCAGCCCCGAGACCCTTCTAGCTTGCGGATCCCCCTCCTGCTCCCCCGACCCTGACTCTCCCAGAGTGGACTGGCCAGGTCTGGGTCTGGTCTGCGGGCAGGAGCCCTGCCCAGGCGGCCCCCAGGGCCGGCCCTCCTCTCCCCGACTCCATGCACGTCTATAAACGCCCTGCACAACCCAGGGCCTTTGCCCGTGCATCCTCTGCCCGGGCGCCCTCTACACCATCTGCTGAACCCGGGTGTGCTCTCTGGGCCCCTCTGCAGGTGCCTCCTCTGCTCCTTTGGGAAAGCCCCACCTGTCTTGAGGTCCCCCACACCTGTGCTTCCCAGCACCTCGGAGACCCCAGAACCACTGAACAAAGAACACTGGGGTCCTGGGCTGCCACATGGAGGACCCCAGGGTGGCAGGCTCACAACAGCACAGGTGTCCTCCTACAGCTCCCAGGGCCGGGAGCCTGAAACCAAGGTGTCCACAGGGCCCTGCTGCCCCCAGAGGCTCTGGGCAGAGCCCTTCCGCCTTTCCAGCTCCCCCTGGTTCCCGTGCTCCTCGGCCTGTGGCCCCATCACTCTGGCCTCTGCCTTCATCTCATGTGAGTTTCTCCTCCTCTTCCATCCCTTATAAGGATGAGGGTCGTTGGGCTTAGGGCCCCCTGGGATGATCCGGGATGACCTCATCTCCAGATAACCTCTCCATGACAGCTGCAAAGACCCTTGCTCCAATTCTGAGATTCTGAGATTCTGGTTGGACATCACATATTGGAGGCCACCATTCCACCCACTACACAAAGAAACCCTCCCCTCCAGAACCCCTTTCCCTGTCCGACCAGCCCTTTGCAGCTTTCACACCCCCTGACAAATTTGGTTCTGTTCCCTTATTCTACCCCCTGCCCTAGGCCGAGATCCCTGAAGCGGGCCCAGCTCCGTTCACTGCTCCCCCGGCCTCCTGCTGTTTCCCACACGCAGCCATGGTACAGGGCAGCTCATCCCACCACCTCCCCAACCGCAGCCTCCAGGGATGTACACCCTGCCTCAGGGGCTGTGCCTGGGCCCTGGCTGGTGGAGGGCACAGCCGTCAGGGAAGGCCCTCAGCTGCAGGATGCCGTGCCTCAGAGACCAACCAGGCCCTCGAAGGCACTGTGGCCGGCCCAGATGTCAGCAGCTCCAGCAATTAGGCTGGGACAGATGGTGCCTGGTGACACAAGGGGACTGTGGGGGCCACAGGGGACCCTGCTCACCTGGACCTACCGTGGAGGCCAGGGAGGGAGATGGACTCGAAGGGCGGAAGGGCCCAGAGAAGGCACATTTGCAGAGCAGCGGCCGCATTTCCAGAGCTCGGGAGCCCAACAGGAATCCCGTCTGGCCATGGGACCACCGCCCTTGGGGCTGGGGGATGCCGCAGGGGACGGCAGAGGGCAGACAGGCCAGGAAAAGGGGAGGGCAGAGGGCAGACAGGCCAGGAAGAGCGCCTGCAAGTGCCCAAGGAAGGGACCAAACCCAGGCCCCTGGACCAGAGCGGCCGCCTGGTGGGGCAGGCTGGAAGGGGCCAAGGCCAGCGCCAAGGGGGAGCAGGTGAGGGACCCTGGTGGGCATCTGTGGGAACAAGGCCACGTTTCTCCCTGCGCACGCTTTAATCAAGGACATTCCTGTGGTTCTCCAAAAGTGTCGCACACTACATGGGTGTCGTGAGCTGGGCTCCGTGAGAGTGTGCGGGTGGCTGGGGGCAGCAAGGGAGCAGCAAGGCCTCAAACCCGGGCGGCGGCCTGGCCTGCGCGCCAGGATGTGCGGTGTGAGTTTCCCGAGCTGCAGGAACAAGGTCCACAGACTGGGGAGCTTCACACAACAGAAACTGCCTCGCAGTTCCCGAGGCCAGAGCCCATCGGGGTGGCTCCCTGAGGCCGTGAGCCCGGACTGTCCTGGGCCGCCCCCTCTTCCACAGGCTGAGATCATCCTTGGCGTCTGTTGGCCTGCGGCCGCCTCGCCCAACCTCTGCCCTCATGTCCACACGGGTCCTCCCTGTGTGCATGTTGGTGTCTGGATCTGCCCTTTCTACTGTGGGGCAACTGTCGTCGAGGATAGGGCCCACCACACAACACGGCCTCATCGTAACTAAGTATAGTCAGCAGTGATCCTATTTCCCAATAAGGTCCCATTCTGAGGTCCTGGACTTCAACATGTGAATTTTGGGGGCCACAACTCTACCCTGGCATGCAGAGAGAGAAGGGGGGCGTGGAGTCCCCCTGGGGGGAAGTCCCTTGGGAAGTCACAGGCCCCCTTGGTGGGGCAATTGGGACGTGGGTGTGAGGGTCCTGGGTACAGGGAGCCTGCCTACCAAGGCTCTGCCGACAGCTATTTCTAAATTCCTCGTGGAAAATACCCTGTGGCCCTCCTCATCTGGAGCGAGCGACGGGCTGGAGGGTGTCTGAGCCAGGCTGGTGCCGGGGAGCAGATGTGGGTGGCCCAACCCAGCCCCTTGTTCTTGTTCCCCACCTCCCAGGAAAGGGGGAGGGTGGGCGGAGCCGGCCCTCCTGGGCTCTCTCCTTGGGTCCCGGAGCCACCTGGGGAGGGGAGGCTCAACCCCCTACCTTGGCCAGCTGGCTGCAGGTCTCTCAGGGCTGGCACAGAACAGCTGGGCTTTGCCAGGTGTCCCCCATCCTGATGCACGGCCCGGTGGTGCGGTCTCCAGGCCTCCCAGGATTCTCAGCTGCGCCGTCTCCCCAGTCCCCAAACCCCAGTGGTGGCCGCCAGGGGACTGGACCGTCAGTCTGTGGAGCTGGGGCTGCAGCTGGTGGTGTTTCCAACAAGGGTCTTTTGGCTGCCTGGCTCCAGGGAGAGGCCTCTGGAGGCAAGGGGTAACCTACCGGGAAAGCCTCAAAGGCACCCCCATCCCCGCCCCGCACAGACTCCACCGGCCCCCCATGGTTCCTCCAGGCCCTCTTCAGTCATGACAGGCAGTGCCTGGGTGCCCGGCCTGCTCAGCACACCCTGGGCCTCAGCCCCACCCAAGCCTTGGCCTAGCATGGGAGCCACCACGGGAACACACACACGGGCTGGAGGGTGTCTGAGCCAGGCTGGTGCCGGGGAGCAGATGCGTCAGATGGAGGAGAAAAGCCCTGGGGCAGCGGCTTCTGGAGCTCTGGCCAAGGATGGGCTCTGAGCACACCCCTGCCCGGCCCAGAGCACCAGGCCGGGGCAGGGTCAGGAACAGCTTGAAGCCCCCTGCAAAGTCTGTCCCTCCTCCTGGAGCCTCAGCTGCCCCTCCAACACAGCCCTCTGTGGGAGCCTAGATGGCCCCCGTGTGGCCATGAGACATGGGCGGGCGCTGGTGGATTCCTCTGTGTCAGGTGACATGGTGGCACCCCGGCCGCAGGCTGTGCCCCGGCTGTGGCGTTAAGAAGGGCTATGGATCTAAATAAAATCCAGTCTCTTTGCTGGACCTGTTGTCAGTTTTATGGCTCTGGGGTTATAGAAACACGGGGAAGAGACCCCCAGGAGGCAGGGTGGGCTGGACGAGAGGCCACCAGGTAGGGCCCTCCCCTCCCTCCATGGGATACCACCCTGGGTGATTCTAAAGGTGGGGAGTCCGCTGAGAAAGGGAGATGGGAACCAGAGTTCCTAGACAATTCGGCACCCGAGCCCAGGTGAACTTTTAACTCCTGCCTGCTGGGGTGGTGAAAGCCCAGGCCCCCCTGAGGCTCCCCCAGCTCCCCAAGCCCACTGGGGCCCCAATTTGGATTCCGAGGGGCCGTCCTGGCCTTTGCTCACGCCCCCAGCTTAGAAGTTGGAGACCCAGGTGGGAGAGCGTAGGACTGCCCAGTAAGCAGTGCTCAGGAGGGGGGCCAGTCCTCACTGGGGCCCCTACACAGGACCTCCCAGAAACTGCACGGCAGACACCAGGGTTAAACAGGCTTCCAGCCGGCGAGGTGGCTCATGCCTGTAATCCCAGCACTTTGGGAGGCCAAGGTGGGCAGATCACTTGAGGTGAGGAGTTCAAGACCAGCCCGGCCAACATGGTGAACCCCGTCTCTACTAAAAAACCCCACAAAATTAGCCGGGTGTGGTGGCTGGTGCCTGTGATCCCAGCTACTCGGGAGGCTGAGGCAGGAGAATTGCTTGAACCCGGAAGGCAGAGGTTGCAGTGAGCTGAGATCGTGCCATTGCACTCCAGCCTGGGACACACAGATAGAGACTCTATCTCAAAACAAACAAACAAACAAACAAACAAAAAACCACCCAAAAACCAAAACAAAAAAACCAGGCTTCGGCTGTCGAGGGCACCTGGGCCATGCGGCTCCGTGGGCCAAGCTCTGCCCACCTCGGCGTTCCTGAGCCCGCCCACCTCCCCCAGGCATTCTTTCCTGAAGCAGGCCAGGGCTTGTAGGGGATTCCACCGCAGCTGGGGCCCCGCATTTCTTTGGTGGGAGTTGTGGGGCAGAGGGTGCTTGGGTGCCCGGTGTGGGAGGAGGAGGAGCCTCACCACAGACGTGCAGCGGGTGCAGCAGACCCATGCTCTTGGAGACTGAGGTTCCCAGAGACTGCAGAGGTCCGAGCCAGCCCTCCATCCCTCTTCCCAGACGGTGCCCAGGGCTGTCATCCCCTGTGACCTAATGGAAAGTTGCTGCCCTTGCAGCAGCCATGTCGGCGGTGGGAGCCGCGGAGCCGGCTCAGAGAGGTTCCGTAGCATGCCTGGGTGACATAGTCTTGGTGCTCAGGAAGCCAAGCACGGCTCCTGTGGGACAGTGATATCCCGTCAGTTCTGGCGATCACACTCGCGTGTGGGCATTGAAGCTGGAAGGTGCTGGCTGGAAGACGGCCACGGCGCTTCCTTTCTCCTCCCCTCCTCCTGCTCACACCTCATCCCAAAGCATTTAGGCTGGGCACGGTTGGGGGCAGCCCAGGGTTGGGTGCAGGAGCCCGAGGGAGGTGGGAGCGACGGAGTTACAAACCAGGAAGGGGGAGCACCAGGAGGAGCCCCGTGCCGGGACCTCTACAGGTATTTGGAGGTGTTGGTGCAAAGCCTCAGTGCACGTAGCCAGATGCAGAGTTACAGAGCTAGAGGTGGATGTGTGGTAAACACACACACATGCGTCCAACACACCATCCACCCACACACGCACCACACACACGTGCAACACACCATCCACCCACGCACACACGCGTGCAACACACCATCCACCCACACCACACACATGCATGCAACACACCATCCACCCACACATGCACCACACACATGTGTGCAACACACCATCCACCCACACATGCACCACACACATGCGTGCAACACACCATCCACCCACACATGCACCACACATACGTGCAAACACCACGCAGCCACACACCCACCACACACGTGTGTAACACACCATCCACCCACACACGCACCACACACGTGTGCAACACACCATCCACCCACGCACACACGCGTGCAACACACCATCCACCCACACATGCGCCACACACACCATCCACACACACACTAAACACACACACGCACCACACAATCATACACGGCCATACACACCACACACACTATACATAGACACACACACATTATACATACCCCACAAATGCCACACACACGCACACAACCACAGACACATGCACCATACACACACACCACAGACATAACACATCCCACACATACCACAGACACATCATACACACACGCCATAGACATAACACACCCCACACATACCACACACACATCATACACACACACCCCCAACATCTCTTCTTGCTCTGTCCAGAGGGAACCCAGGCGCCACAAGCACACCCAGCACCCAGATCTCGGCCGCTAACTCCCCCTCCCTCAGGAGGTTCCCTCTCCCAGAAACCAGGGCTCCTGGGGGAAATGGCGAGCCCAGCCTGGGCAGGAAAAGCACAAGAACATCCCAGGGAGCCGGGAAGCAAGAATGCTGGGATCACATCAGGGACACACGGAAGGACCCAGGGGCCAGCCGATAGGGCTCCCACAAGGCCGAGCCTGGGATACCCTGAGCATCTCAATAGTGAGTCAGGGGTCCTGACCCACAGAATAAGATAGGAACCCTGAGCCCATACTGCTGGAGGCTGACCGAAAGCTCACTAAGGCCCAGGATACTCAGCGTGGAAGACACCCCCATCCCCACAAAGCATTCACCAGGTCCACAGAAGAGGTGGCTGCAGCGGTGAAGCCTAGCCCAGCAGGCGACAGGAAACTCAAGAGCCCTGGGTCCCACGGCCACTGTGCACCACAGATGGGATGCAGTGTCCAAAAGGCTTCACTTCTGTGACAGGGACACATGGCCTGAATCTCAGCGTGACGGTGGCCGGCAGCATTGCGGCCCCCTAAGGTGTGCACCCCTCATACCGGAACCCGTGAATGTGACCTCACTTGGCAAAAGGGACTTTGCAGATGTGATTAAGGTTAGACCTTGAGATGGCAGATGATCCCAGATTATCCAGATGGGCTCCATCTAATCGCACGAAACCTTAGGGTTGGAAAACCTTCCTCAGCTGGGCCGGAGATGGGACAGGAGGACTGGCTCCTCTCCATGGGGAAGTTAGGGAAAGGGGCTGTGAGCCAGGGAACAGAAGGCCTTCAGAAGCTGGGGACAGCTTCAGGGGGCAGCCGGCAAGAAAACAGGAACCTTGGTCCTGCGACCCTAAGGGGCTGGACTCAGCCAACAACCAAAGAGCAGGAAGCCAGCTGTCTCCCGGAGCTTCCAGAAGGCAGGCAGCCTGCCGACACCTCGATCTGTGCTGGACTTCTGACCTCCAGAGCCCATGCGTAACGAATTTGTGTTGTTGAAGCTGCTTAGTTTGTGGTAATTTGTTTAATGAAAAACTACAGCAATGAGGAGACATCAAACCCGCATCGAAGGACACAGAGTTGGTTATTATCGAGCACCGAAATTCCTCAGAACGGCTAAATAGGAAAACAAGCAAAAATGAGTAAGCATTTCACAGAAGAAAAATGGACAATAAAAATATGAATAAATAATTCACCTAATTTGTAATAAGAACAAATTAGAGCCACAAAGAGATTCCATTTCATTCACCGGACTGGCCAAACTGACAATAACCAAATGTTGGAGCAGAGGCCCACAAGCTAAGCCCTGAGGCCGCACTGGGCCAGCTGCTGTTTTTGTAAATAAAGTTTTATTGGAACACAGAGATGCCCACTTGTTTACATATTGTCTCTGGCTGCTTCTGATCTGCCATGGCAGAACTGAATATTTGTGAGACCATTTGGCACTGCGAGAGACTAATGACACAACTGAATATTTGCGAGAGACCATTAGGCCCGCAAAGCAAAAAATATTTACTGTCTGACTCTTAATAGAAAGTTTGCCAACCTTTGCTGTAAACCAGGAAGAGCTCTTATAGCTACTTTGAAGAGCAATTTGGCAAGATCTAGTAAAGTCATTTAGGTATGCATACGCATACTCTGCAGTTCCACTTGTAGGTGTTTACCCTAGAGAGACTTGAACAAACACACGTTCAGGAGACAAATCTGTTCACTGGATCACTGTCTCTGAGGCAAGTGACTGGACACAACTCAGGTGCCCTCGGCAGGAGAATGGATGCGGATCTGGGCTATTTAAGTAACGGAGTTCCACAGAGCAGCAAGAATGAGACTCAGAGCACATGCAACATGATGGCAATTCTTGTGAACAAAGTTGAACTGGCCGGGTGTGGTGGCTCATGCCTGTAATCCCAGCTCTCAGGGAGGCAGAGGCAGGAAGACGGCTTGAGCCCAGGAGTTCGAGACCTGCCTGGGCAATACAGTGAGACCCCGTTCTCCACAAAAAGGAAAAAAAAAAGACAAAAAAAGAAATTTAAGTGTGACAAAGTTGAGTGAAAAAGAAAGTTGCAGAATAGCACATATATGTAATTCAATTCTTACAATAGTCCAAAATGCAAAGGTGCCCCATCCCAATACACTACTGAACTAGGTAGGCTACAGCTTTGGGTTCATGAAACAGAGTCCAAAATCATGGTGAGCGCAAGGAGCAGGTTTGTCTCTCCCTCCCAGAGCAGCTGGGAGGAGGTAGTCGTGGATGGGCATGGTGGCTTGGCTCCATGAGTTGTCCAGGGATCCAGGATCCTTCTAGCTTGGTGCTCCACTCTGCCACGGTATCACCCTTGTCTGCACTGTCCGAGATGGCTTCCTACCATCGTGTCTAGGTTCCAAACAGCATGATGAAGGAGCGGCAGACCCCCTCCTAAGAAATGACCTAGAAGTTTCTCCTGTCATTTCTGCTTCTTATTGTCCAAAACTTGGTCACATAGCCAGCCCTACCTGCAAGGGACACTGGCAAGTGTATTCTTTTTTTTTTTTTTTGAGACGGAGTCTCACTCTGTCGCCAGGCTGGAGTGCTGTGGCGCGATCTCGGCTCACTGCAACCTCCGACTCCCTGGTTCAAGCGATTCTCCTGCCTCAGCCTCCTGAGTGGCTGGGATTACAGGCACACACCATCACGCCCGGCTAATTTTTGTATTTTTAGTAGACAGAGTTTCACCATATTGGCCAGGATGGTCTCGATCTCCTGACCTCGTGATCCACCCACCTTGGCCTCCCAAAGTGCTGGGATTACAGGCGTGTGCCACCGCGCCCAGTCTTTTATTTATTTTTTTGAGACAAAGTCTTGCCCTGTTGCCCAGGCTGGAGTGCAATGGCACGCTCTTGGCTCACGGCAACCTCTGCCTCCCGGGTTCAAGCGATTCTCCTGGCTCAGCCTCCCAAGAACCTGGGATTACAGGTGCGCGCCACCACGCCTGGCTAATTTTTTGTATCTTTAGCAGAGATGGGGTTTCACCATGTTTGCCAGGCTGGCCTCAAATTCCTGACCTCGTGATCTGCCTGCCTCGGCCTCTCAAAGTGCTGGGATTACAGGTGTGAGCCGCCATGCTCGGCTGGAAGTGTATTTTTTATCCTAGGCAGTCATACGTGCAGGCCAATTCCTATTAATTTGGAAAATGGAATAAACGAATATTAAGAGACAGAGAGTCAGCTGGGCGCAGTGGCTCACGCCTGTAATCCCAGCACTTTGGGAGGCCGAGGTGAGCAGATCGATTGAACCCAGGAGTTTGAGACCAGCCTGGACAACATGACAAAATCCCATCTCTACAAAAAAAGTGAAAATTAGCTGGGCATGGTGGCACACACCTGTAGTTTCAGCTACTGAGGGCCTGAAGTGGGAGGATCACTTTAGCCCAGGAGGGAAAGGCTGAAGCAAGCTGAGATTGTGCCACTGCACTCCAGACTGGGTGACAGAGTGAGACTCTGTCTCAAAAAAAAAAAAAAAAGAGACAAATAGTCTTCCCCATAATTGTTTAGGGATATATCCATATATGGTAAACCTTTAAAGAAAAGTAATGAATTGATGGAATCTGGATTGTGATGTCTCAGGATAGCAGGGAAGAGGGGAAGAAGGTGCTGGAACTGGGGAGGAACTGAAAGGGAGGATCTAAGTCTTCGGTAATATTTTGTTCTTAAAGCTCAATAGCGGGTCCATGGTATTTGCTATTTGTGAAAACATACATGTAAATTGCCCAGCCTACCTCGCATGCATAACATTTGATGAAAATTACATAATAAAAAGGAGGTTATGGAATGTGTATGCCATTTCATTTATATAAAAGTAAATGGGCTGGGTGCGGTGGCTCATGCCTGTAATACCAGCACTTTGGGAGGCCGAGGTGGGCGGATCACCTGAGGTCGGGAGTTTGAGGCAAGCCTGGCCACCATGGTGAAACCTGGTCTCTACTAAAAATACAAAAATTAGCCGGGTGTGGTGGCGGGAGCCTGTAATTCCAGCTACTTGGGAGGCTGAGGCATGAGAATAGCTTGAACCTGGGAGGTGGAGGTTGCAGTGAGCCAAGATCACACCACTGCATATACAGCCTGGGCGACAGAGCAAGACTCTGACTGAAGAAAAAAAAAAAAAAGAACGCAGGCATTTGTTATTTTGCCTGCGTATTTAATTAGTCTTTACCCAGGCATTTCCTCCTGTTCTCCTGAAGGTGGGGCACAGCCTTACTTGGTGGCTGCACTGCCAGTGCCTGAGGAACGGGCCTCTGTTCTAAGACACCTGGTCCTGCAGGTGCTGCAGACACGGCCTCCTTTCCTCCGCCGTCCTCCCCCAGCAGCCTGGAATCACTTGCTGCTTCCCAGCCATTCGGTCTACGCGCTCATTCATTAGACTCAGAGTGAGCAGCTAGGTGCCAGGAATCCACAGATCTATCGGGACCCTTCTCTGTTCTCTCCTCTCCCCGGTCTCCATTTCTACCCGAGGAATTCTCATTTGTCCTTCAAGCTCCAGCCTAGAAGCCACCTCCTTCTGGAAGCCCTCCCGGGTTTCCCTGTTCATGTAAGCCTCCACCTCTCCTGTCCCCTCCAGGAATGTCCCTTGCTCTTTTCGTGTGAAAAGGTGAAGTTCAACATTGCCACTGATCTGGGCGCAGTTCGGCAGGGCACCGCCTCCCCTTGGAGCTGTGTGGCCTTAGCGGAGTGGCCGAGCCTCTCTGTGCCCAGCGTTTCATTCCTACCTCCTAGGTGCTAATTCCTCACAACAGACTATTTTTCGGCTGAGGCAGTCAGGGCCCCCGCCCCCGTGCCCTGGCGCCAAGCACTCGCCCCAGAATCGGTCCTGGGAATAAAGGTCAAAAAGGAACCCTTAAACCCGCTCCTCCCCGGAAGGCACAGCGCCTCCCCTTCTCTCCAGCCCGCGACTGCCCATCCAAACCGAGGCCTCGCGGGGCGAGTCCCTTGTCCTCCAGCTCGTTGAACTGGGGCCCCGGGCACAGGTCGGCTGGACCAGCTTGGCGAACCGGACAGCTGCGAGACCCTCAGGTGCCCACCGGCCCAGTTTCCGCCCGCCCCTCCGGGCCCGCCTCTCATTGGCTCGCGTCCCACCAAACCCTACCCCCTGGCCGTCACTTCCGGGCAACGGAGCCCGTGGAAGGCGGAAGTGTGAGCGCCGCGGCGGCAGCTGAGTTGGGCTGAGGTGTCCCTAGCTGGCTCTGCGGCTCTTCCGGGTCTGGGCTCGGAGATTCACAGGCGGCCCGCGAGGCCGAGCGAGGGACGCATGGCCCTGAGGCGGCCGCAGGGCTTGGCGGGGTCCGGAGGTTGACCTCGCCCCCGCAGCCGGCCTTCGAGGCTGCCTCCTCCAGGCAGCCTCTGGGGCCCGCGCCCGCGCCTGCTCAGGCTCCCGTGTTCAGGCTGCCCATCCCCTCCCCACCGGCGTCCCGGACGTTGGGACCTGTGACCGTGGCCTCGGGCTGGGCTTCCAAAGCCGGCCGCAGCCCGGCGACCCCCGAGGCCTCTCGCCCCGGGCCCCTAGACCTCTCACTATGACCGCGGCCGCCGCCTCCAACTGGGGGCTGATCACGAACATCGTGAACAGCATCGTAGGGGTCAGTGTCCTCACCATGCCCTTCTGCTTCAAACAGGTGAGTCCGGTGGGCCCGGAGATCACCGCCCTCGCCTCCCCCGCAGAGGGGGCGTCTGGCTGGGTCGTCCTGGTTAAAGTTCCCGCCGGGGCAGGGCTTCGCTGGGCGGGTGCAGGCGGCCGCGGGCGGGGCGACCCTCTGGGTCCCGGCGCAGTTCCCGTAGAGAATCCGTGGATGAGAAGCGCACGGCGTTGGCCCTGGCAGCCCTTGTCAGCCCGGGCCGGAAAGTTCCCCACACTCAAAAACTCGATACCGAAGCAAAGTGTAACAAAGCAAAATGATCCTCCAGAATCGGAAGGGAACGGTGGGACTCCGTATTTTTACATTTTATCGTGTTTTTAAAAACTCTGACCCAACTGCACCTGTCTTCAGAAGCACACAACTCACCACTCCCAGGCTTCGACACTAGATAGGGACCTTGGTTGCAAGGTGATTAAAAACATCCACCAGGTTATACACCTAAGATCTGCGTTTCACAAAAACCGCACATTTGGCAGGGGGTGGTGGCTCACACCTGTAATCCCAGCACTTTGGGAGGCCGAGGCGAGTGGATCACCTGAGGTCAGGAGTTCGAGAACTGCCTGACCAACATGCTGAAACCCCATCTCTACTGAAAATACAAAAATTAGCCGGGGGTGGTGGCACATGCCTGTAATCCCAGATACTTGGGAGGCTGAGACAGGAGAATAGCTTGAACCTGGGAGGCGAAGGTTTCAATGAGCCGAAGGTTGCAGTGAGCCGAGATCACGCCATTGCACTCCAGCCTGGGCGACAGAGGGAGACTCCGTCTCAAAAACAAAAACAAAAAACTGCACATTTGATCTAATGTGTGCAGACGTTACCACAGTTGGAAAAAATCTCAAATACAAAAAGTTTAGCGTCATTCCAGCATTGAATAACACATGAAAGAAAATGGCCATTTCTAAGTGTCATCTGTTTAATCTACAATAAACAAGCATTTAGTGCTTTGGAAAAGAAAGGCTGACTGAAACGTTACCAAGTAGGTAGAAAAATGAAAACAACATGTATATTTTGAAACAAAGTGGCACCAGTAGTTTAATTTTAGATTAGCTTAGCAAACACTGTGTTTTTCATATTCATTATCTTTGGAATAAAAATATCCAAAAAATTTTTTCAGCCTGGGCAACATAGTAAGACCCCGTCTCTACAAAAAAAATTAAAAGTTAGCTGGGCATGGTGGTGCATACCTGTAGTCTCAGCTGCTCGGGAGGCTGAGGCAGAAGGATCACTTGAGCCCAGGAGTTTGAGATTACAGTGAGCTATGATTGCACCACTGCACTCCAGCCTGGGCAACACAACAGTACCCCATCTCTAAAAAAAAAACAACTTTTTTTTGATCAAGGAATTTTCAAACCCTCCCGTGCAGCCCTCCAGGCTGTTGTGTCTGAGTTGTTTGCCTGATATGGTTGGTGAGCCTGTCAGGGGAAGACAGGGCTACATGCCTCCAGAGCCCCCCGGGCAGCATCTGGTCTGGGCGTGGAGAATCCCAGCTTTCTGCCAGCCACCTCTGGGTGTTTCTGGACTGACTCCATGTCCCAGTGTCCACTGTGACTTGCCTGGCAGCAGAACTGCATTCTGGCATGTGGAGCAGTAGCTGGTCCTTCTCCTGCAAGTCAAAGACTGTTATCTTTGTTTTTTCAAGACGGAGTCTCGCTCTGTCACCCAGGCTGGAGTGCAGTGGTGCAGTCTCGGCTCACTGCAACCTCTGCCTCCAGGGTTCGAGTGATTCTCCTGCCTCAGCCTCCCAAGTAGCTGGGATTACAGGCATGTGCCACCACGCCGGCTAATTTATTTATTTATTTATTTATTTATTTGTATTTAGTAGAGACAGGGTTTCCCCATGTTGGTCAGGCTGGTCTCGAACTCCTGATCTCAGGTGATCCACCCACCTCGGCCTCCCAAAGTGCTAGGATTACAGGCGTGAGCCACCGTGCCTGGCCCCAAATGCTGTCATCTTTGATGCCTGTCGGTGAAGTGCCACCGTGGAAGGGGCTCTGGTTTAGACACCTGTGAAAGTACATCTTAGGGCCCAGACGATCCAGCTATCTCGAGCCTTGGACCACCTGCCATGTGGTGGACATTAGGCCCCTGCCAGAGCATGTGCTGATTAGCCGGGCATCTGCACAGACCTGTCAGGAAGTGAAGGACTAGAGACGTCCTTCTGAGTCCTGAGGGCTGCCCAGAGGGAGGCCCAGTTGCTCTGATCTGGCCGCAGCGTCTCCTCCACGGCAGCCTTCTTGGACTGGGGCGCAGGGAGACGCCAGCAGGCGATTTGGGGATGTGTGTGTTTAGTGTTTGGCAGCCTTGGCATTGAAAAACTTTGGATTAGTGTTTTTTTTTTTGTTTTAGTAGTTTTGATATATTTATATATATACATAGCTGGGCGTGTTGGCTCACGCCTGTAATCCCAGCACTTTTGGAGGCTGAGGAGGGTGGATCACGAGGTCAGGAGTTCAAGACCAGCCTGGCCAAGATGATAAAACCCCATCTCTACTAAAAATACAGAAATTAGCTGTGCGCGATGTCAGGCGCCTGTAGTCCCAGCTACTAGGGAGTCTGAGGCAAGAGAATCGCTTGAACCCGGGAGTGGAGCTTGCAGTGAGCCAAGATCGCGCCACTGCACTCCAGCCTGGGCAACAGAGTGAGACTCTGTCTCAAACAAACAAAAATATATATCTATATCTATATCTAGATAGATATAGATATAGATCTATATAGATTATATATATAATAAACATTGAAGTTTGACATACAAAAATGTGTACACACTTCTTTAGATGTGCTGTTGATGAATTTTCATATGACGAGCAAACCCGTGTGACTAGCTCCCAAATTAAGGAGCGTACTCTGTGGCCGTGGCGGCCTACCCGGGGCACACTGCTGACCCCTAGTGTGCCACGGTGGTGCTGCCTGGTTTGAACTGAGGTGGGTGGGTCCTGCTGTGCAGGTGTCTAGTGCGAGTGTCTGGCTTGCGTTCTGGTGTCCGCTGCACCGCCATGCGTGTCTGTGTGTAGTTTACCCCTGTGAGGCATTTACGGTGTCTCCTATTGGGAGCTCTTGTGATGCCCTGAGGAGTTGGACAGGCGTTGGCAGGGGGTGGTTTCTGCTGGGTGCGTGCCTGTGTGGAGTGGCCGGGCCCCAGGGTGCGTGTGCTCCGCTCTGGAGCTGCCATGTGGGTGCAGTGGTGCACATGCCGGCCCGCATCCCCGGTAGCATTGGGTATCGTGTCTTTTCCGCTGGAGCCATTCTGATGAGTGCTTGGTGATATCTCATGAGTTTTTGGTATTAATAGACTTACTTTTTTTTTTTTTTTTTGAGATGGAGTCTTACTCTGTCACCCAGGCTGGGGTGCAATGGTTCAATCTCAGCTCACTGCAACCTCCACCTCCCAGATTCAAGCAAGTCTCCTGCCTCAGCCTCCTAAGTAACTGGGATTACAGGCGCCCACCACCAAGCCTGGCTAATTTTTTGTGTGTGTTTTCAGTAGAGGTGGGGGTCTCACCATGTTGGCCAGGCTGGTCTCGAACTCCTGACCTCAAATGATCCACCTGCCTCGGCCTCCCAAAGTGCTGGGATGACAGTTGTGAGCCAGTGTGCCCAGCCGGACTTATGTGTTTGAGCAGTTTTAAGTCTACAGAACAACAGACTGGAAAGTGCAGCGCCCCCGCCCCCCTCACCGTCCAGCTAGGTTCACGTGACTGACGTCTCGCACTAGTGTGGCGGTCCTTGTGTTTTAAGTGTCACCTCGATGGAGGTAGTGGACATGCAGGAAGATTCACTCTCTTTTTATTTTCTCGAGGCGGAGTCTTGCTCGGTCGCCAGGCTGGAGTGCAGTGGCGCAATCTCGGCTCAACTGCAACCTCTGACTCCCTGGTTCAAGTGATTCTCCTGCCTCAGCCTCCCAAGTAGCTGGGATTACAGGCACACACCACCATGCTCAGCTAATTTTTGTATTTTTAGTAGAGATGGGATTTCACCATGTTGGCCAGGAGGGTCTCGATCTCCTGACCTCGTGATCTGCCCACCTCGGCCTCCCAAAGTGCTGGGATTACAGGTGTGAGCCACCGTGCCCGGCTGATTGACTCTTTTTAGGGTGCAGGTCATGGGCTTGCTGTGTAACCACCACAGTCAAACAGAACACACAGCTTCATCCCCCAGAGGGTCCCCATGTGCCCCTTTGTCATCAGCCAAATCTCCACACCCCCAGCCCCTGGCAACACTGAGCTGTTCCCTGGCCTAAAAGTTTGCCTTTTCTGAGTTTCCTGTAAACAGAATGACACTGTTTGTAGCATTCAGAGTCCAGCTTCCTCTGCTCAGCATGGTGCGTTTGAGTCCCATCCGTGTCATGGTGGGTGTCAGTAGTCATCCCTTTTTCCTGCTGACTAATATTCCCTTATTCGAATGGACCACAGTTTGTATCCATTCGCTTGTTGAAGGACATTTGGGTTGTTTTTCCATTTTTGGGTTGTGGATAAACCTGCTGTAAACATTGGCATACAGGTTTTTCATGAACACGTTTTCATTCCTCTTGGTAAGTGAATACCTAGGGGTGCAGTTAATCCCCAGGTCACACAGTAAGTGTCTATTTAACTTATGAGAACGGGGAAAATGGCATTTTTAATCTCTTCCAGAATGTGTTCATTACTTGTAGCTGTGGACTTAAGTGGCTAAAGATGGTGCATGTAGGGTGTGTGCAGAGAACAAGGGGGTATTAGTTGGCAGCACCCCGCTGTCCATGAAGACTTGAGGTGGGGACTGGGAAGGAGATGGCACCCCTGTGCTCTGCGCATACAGCTTCATCCCTGGACAAGGCGCGCGGCCACCACAGCAAGGAAATGGCCCTTTCAGTGCTAGGAAGTGTCGCGTTCGGCAGGAGACTGGGATGGAGCGGGGCCTGGGGGTGAAGAGGGTCCTCATGAGCCGCGTGTGTGGGGTGAGGGCCTCTGGGGAGCACCTGCTGCTGTGAACATGTGTTCCTGTCTCCACCCTGCAGTGCGGCATCGTCCTGGGGGCGCTGCTCTTGGTCTTCTGCTCATGGATGACGCACCAGTCGTGCATGTTCTTGGTGAAGTCGGCCAGCCTGAGCAAGCGGAGGACCTACGCCGGCCTGGGTGAGGCGCCCTCTCCACAAGGTGGCTCTGGACCTGGGGCGGGGGCCTTATTCCATTTATTTATTTATTTATTTACTCTACTTGATTCTTCAAGAATTCCTTGGATAGCAGGGTTTTTTTTATTTTAAAATGTAATGCTGCAAAAAAATGAGCCGGGTGTGGTTGCACGTGCCTGTCGTCCCAGCTACTATTTGGGAGGCTGAGGTGGGAGGATCACCTGAGCCTAGGAGTCTGAGGTGGCAGTGAGCTGTGATCACGCCATTGTATTCCAGCCTGGGTGACAGAGCGAGACCCTGTCTCAAAAGAATTAAAAATCAAATTAAAAAAAAATGCAGTTAAAAAAAAAACCTGCCGGGCGTGGTGGCTCGTGCCTGTAATCCCAGCACTTTGGCAGGCCGAGGCAGGCGGATTATTTGAGGTCAGGAGTTCGAGACGAGCCTGGACAACATGGTGAAACCCCATCTCTACCAGAAATACAAAAAATTAGCCAGACATGGTGGCAGGCATCTGTAATCCTAGCTACTCAGGAGGCTGAGGCCAGAGAATCTCTTGAACCCGATAGGTGGAGGCTGCAGTGAGCTGAGATCACGCCACTGCACTCGAGCCTTGGTGCCAGAGTGAGACTCTGTCTGGAAAAAAAAAGAAAAACCTGTTATAATCACATGCTTCAAAATTGGAGTGACACAGAAGGGTATGAGGCGCCAGGTCTCCCTGTCACCATGCCCTCCTGCCCGCTCCCATGCAGGTCCACACAAGCTTCCTCTTCTAAACTCAGACCAAGACAGCCGTCCTCACCGTGCTGGTGCAGACCTGCTCTCTCTGTGTCTCTCCTGGACACCAGATGCCTTCCTGCGGAGCTGCCTGCAGAGAGCCTTGCTGTTCTCCCCAACTCGGAATTCCATGGAGGAAGCTCCTCAGGCCTGGGCTGTTGCTGGAGTTCAGTGGCTCCTCTCCCAGTGGCTGTGTCCTTCCCCTGATGCTGTTGGTTGCAGTTTTGTTTCCCTTAGTTCTTTCTTGCTTTAATGCTGTTTCAGCCAGGAGAGAAGGCTGCGCTTTCTGCTTCATTTCAGTGTGGAATATTTTCTACGTTGTTTGTCTTCGAGGGCGCCATCCCTCACCTTCCCGTCTGCCCACAGGCTGTGTGGCCCGCGCTGTCTCCCTGCCCGCCACAGGCTCGGCACCTCTCGGCTCCACGTTCCATTCTGGGGGCATCCAGCCTGGGTGTTGAAATTCCAGCATCCGTGTTCTCAGGAGTTGGCCCTGTGGGTTTTGGTGAAAACTCTGGCCTTGTGATGAAGGCTCTGGACCTTCCAGCCAGTGTGCGGCTGGGATGTTAGGTCCTCCCTGCAGAAGGCCATCCTGCCCCCCGGGCTCACAGCTCCCGCGGCAGAGTGAGGAGGTGGCGGGAGAGGAAATGGTGTTTAGGGGTCCAGGGGGCCAAACAAAATAAAAACACCTGCACGGTCCACACGTGGGTCCTGGCCTCCCAGCCTCCACTTCCTCCCAGTCCCCTTCATGTTGCCACAGAGAGTCCTGCGTTCGTTTCGGCCCTCAGAACCGGAGGGGATGTATTCCTTCTCCTCCCTTCCTGATGAGAATGGTGCTGTCAGAGTCTTTTCTTGTTGTTATTTGAGGAAGTGAAGTTCACTGTTAAGTTTGATCCACAGTGAGATGGCCTAATGCAACTTGGGCTGAAAGATGCCTACCGGATGCCAGGAGGCACCGTGCCTGGGCGGGCCCCTTCCTGGGTCTGCAGAGCTGTGGCCTGCAGGGCGACCCTTTTCTCCTCACTGAGGTCTCTGTATAGGGTTTCTGTAGCAGAGGCCCCAACTCCAGTCCTTGGCTGTGTCCTGGAAGAAGACCGGTGACCCAGGGCTGGGGAGGCCCCCATTTCTGATAGCCAGCTGTCTATTCATTCAAAGTCCCTGAAAAGTCAAACCAGTTTGGCTACATGTGAAGGACTGGAAGAAAATTGCCGGGTGGGTGCTCTTCTGTGCTGCCTGGAACTCCTGCCTGAGCTTCCAACCTTTACCTGCATGGGGTGACCGCAGTCCACTTCTGCCTGCCAGAAACAAAAAAGATTCCAAAACACCAAGTGTGTCTCAGGTTATGCCTTTGACACCAAACACGGTGGTTCCACTGCGTGAGCTCCGGACAGAGGCCCCTGGGCCCAGCTGCTCCGCGTCAGCTGCAGTGTGCCCTGGCTCGTCTTAGAAGTGGGGAGACCCGCGCTGGGAGAGGCGTCCCTGGGGAGGGTAAGATGAGACTCTCCTGGAGCTGAGGCGAGGCCCTTGTGCAGAGTGGACAGCAGCTCCACACTGCAGTCTTCAGGAGGCGCCGGGCTGGGTCCCGTCCTCGCACACAGACTGACTTTCCCTGGGACGGCTGGGTGGTTTCCTCCGAATGGCATCTGCCCCCACCCAGGCATAGGTTTGCGGTGTAATGGTTCCTCGGGTTGGTTAGCCTGGGGAGGTGGCCGCTGATCGCTTTACCCTCCCCGCTGTCCTCCAGTGCCATGTGCCAGCCTGGAGAGGTGTCGTTTTTTGTTGGTGTTTGTATATTTCCCTGTCCTATTTGCTGTTGCTGGTTGCAGGTGGTTTTTGTCGTTTTCGTCACCTTCTCACTTGCTGCTTCCTTGCCCTGCGTGTCTTGCTTGGACATGGACTTTTCTAAATCCCCTCTTCAGAAGACACACAGATACATCAGTCATTCAGCCTCCTTCAGCTGTCGCGGCTTCTCATGAAGCTGTTCTGAGCCCCAGACCCTGCCCTGTTGAGAGTTGTGCCTGAACCCTGGCATGCGTGGTCTGGGCTAGAAACCGCCTCCCCCAGCAGCAGGGACTGTTTGGCCCCCACGCGGCCTCTGAGTTCTCGGTTGTGAGCAGCGGTGTCAGGAGTGCTGCCCGCGTCCTTTCGTTGGGTGGTCCAGGCTTCTGTGGCTCCTGTGCTGGCTCTGGGGGAGATCTGACTGCACCTGGGGTAGGGTACACCCTGCATGGAGGCCGCGCCCTCAGAGCTCGCCGCTCACAGATACCTCCAGCCTGGCAGGGGCTGGGCCCGCACTGGGAGTCCACACTCGGGGGAGGGCTGGGTCCCCGGGACCTTGCTGGGCGCTTCAGCCTCTTCCTCCCTTTCTCTGTGCCAGTCCACGCAGGATGTGAAGGAGTGGGGTCAGTCCAACTGGGGCTGGTGTTTGAACCTGGGGAGGAGAAGTTGCCGAGGGATTGACACTGGGAATGGCGGGTGAGGGTTTGGCCCAGGTGGGGAAAAGAAGGCGCGTGGGGCCGTGTCTCAGCGTGGTGGGCTCTCAGGACGTTGTCCTGGGAACCAGAAGAGAGTGCTGCCCTGATTTCCTAGACAGCCTCCCATTTTCCCTTGCCAGTGGCAGGCATATTCCGGAACCTTCTTGGGCAAGGTGCGCTCGTGTTTGGAATATGCTGTAGAGACTCAGCTTCCTTTTGGAGAATGAAAAGGCACATTATGGCCAGGAGCAACTTCATGTTTGGAGCGCCGTGTTTTGTTGCTTCCGGGCTGTGCCGTCACTGAGGGGTGTGGAGGGCGTTCCTTGGTGACAGCAGGGCCCTGGGCTGTGGGCTGCTGAGGGGGCTCCTGGAGTTCTTAGTGTTTGAAACTCTCCACAGCCTCAGGTCAGCTTCTGGGGCCTGGCTCGGGTTTCCGTGTTGTGGGATGAACTCAAGGGGTGCCAGGCTTCTTCAGCGAGCCCATAGGCAGGTCCAGGAAAGGCCAGGGTGAGCCCTGGAGGTGGGGTCTTTGCTGCTCCCGGGCTCTGGCGTTTGGCAACGCTGTGCTTCTTCCTAAGTAGTTTAAAGTAATAAGGAGTGTTTTTTGGACCCATTCATAGTTACTAGCCTGTGTGTTTCCTGCTTTCCAAAGCTCATCAGAGGCCTGTAGCCCGTGGGAGGAAGGAAACCAGGGGCAGGAAGCTGGGGCTGCCGACGGGGCTGGGCCATCCTGCCACATGCACCGCATCTCTGGGTGCGCCTTGGAGCCGGGACTTCCCTTTGCCCTTCTCCGGCTGGGCCGTGGGGGAAGCGCGGGGGTCACCAGATGACCGCTCGGGGCCTGGGAGGGACCCTGCTGAGTCAGCGCCGTTTCTCATCTGCTGCAGAGAATCCCGCGGTCAGGGCGGAGAGAATGGCGGCTCCTTCCGCATTCGGCCGCCCCGTCGGGAACGCATGCTCCTCATCGGCAAGGCTCCTCATTAGCTGTCCACGTGGACACCACAAGCCCAGGGCTCTCGTCCCCTCCCTTCCTGAAGCACCATGCTCGAAAGGAGTCTCCATTTGTTTCTATAAATCCCAACCAAAGGGTGAAAATGAAAGCCCTCCGTCAGAGTCCCTCTGGTGCAGGCTGTGGCGCTCGGGTACCTGGGACCGGCACTGAACCCTCTGGGGACCTGCAAGCTCTGGCCAGCAGCACGGGGTTCGGCCGTGCTGGGCTGTGGGATGCTGTTTCCAGCCGGCCCCCAGTGGTCACCGGGTGGGAGGACTGCATCGCAGGGACTTGTCTCTTTGTCTGTTAAAAAATCTGATTGAGTGAAAGAAGAACCTGCCTCCTGTCCTTCCCTTGCTCTGTCTTTGTTTCTTGTAGTTTCATTTGCAGACAGTAGATCCAAAAATAACCTGGCAGCCAGAATTTGAAATACCCCTCATGCCCCGGAGAATCTGGGCCCGTGGGTTTCTGTGAAATCGCCCTTGACAGCTTGGCTCAGTACCTTTGTTCTGGACGAGCTTCTCACGCTGTTGGATTGAGTGTTCCTTTTTCTTTTGCACTAGCATTCCACGCCTACGGGAAGGCAGGCAAGATGCTGGTGGAGACCAGGTAAGCCCCGCCCTGCCGCTGCGCTTGCCCCCCACCCCCGCACCCAGACACTGGGGACCCTCCCGGTGGGAGCGGCAGTTTCATCCCCAGATTCACCTGTAACTTAGGTTTCTGAAGAGTCGCTAAATACATGAAAGTCCAATTACTTGTACCCTTCAGTGTTGTAAGAAAAATTTATGTATGGAAAACTCCAAGAACCTGGTAAACAGTCCTCCCTCAGTTGTAGTCTCTCAACACCATTCCTCAGCACCTCACCTACCCCTCAAACACCGCTGCATAAAGGTGGCATTACATTGCAAATGTCATATTTTTCTTCCTTTGGCATAAAATTTCATGAGATGAAAAAATTTATGAGATGAAAAAATCGCTGGGAGATTGCACTTCTAGGCTTCTAAATTAGGGAATTGTAAACTCAAACGAACAGCCTTTTTTGAAAGCAGTTGATTGTTCTCTTAACTTGACTAACATCGTGGGGCTTTTTCAATTTTTTTATTTTTTGAGATGGAGTTTTGCTCTGTCACCCAGGCTGGAGTGCAATGCTGTGATCTCGGCTCACTGCAACCTCCCAGGTTTAAGCGATTCTCCTGCCTCAGCCTCCGAAGTAGCTGAGATTACAGGCGCGTGCCACCAGGCCCAGCTAATTTTTGTATTTTTAGTAGAGACAGGGTTTTGCCGTGTTGGCCAGGCTGGTTTTGAACTCCGGATCTCAGGTGATCCGCCTGCCTCGGCCTCCCAAAGTGCTGAGATTACAGGCGTGAGCCACTGTGCCAGGCCCATCATGGAGATTTTTGTAACTTTTAGAGCCTCCGCAGAGGGGCGAGTATAATACCAGGCTGAGAAAAGCTGAGTGTCGTTTGGTGTGCATGCCAAGTGACATAGCGAGCGCCACAGAACCTGCCCGCGCCCTGTGAACTGGGGCGCGTTTGAAATCACATCTGTTGGCCAGGCACAGTGGCTCACGCCTGTAATCCCAGCACTTTGGGAGGCTGAGGCAGGCGGATCACAGAGGTCAGGAGATCGAGACCATCCTGGCTAACACGGTGCAACCCCGTCTCTACTAAAAATACAAACAATTAGCCGGGCGTGGCTACTCGGCTACTCCCAGCTACTCGGGAGGCTGAGGCAGGAGAATGGCGTGAACCTGGGAGGCGGAGCTTGCAGTGAGCCGAGATCTCACCATTGCACTCCAGCCTGGGCGACAGAGTGAGACTCTGTTTCAAAAAAAAAAAAAAGAAAAAAGAAATCACATCTGTCATTCAGCCCAGCCTTGGGGTAGTCCCTGGCGGCAGCCCAGGTGTGTGCCAGCTTGCCCTGATGGCATTTCCCGTACCCCCCGTCCCTGTGCAGCATGATCGGGCTGATGCTGGGCACCTGCATCGCCTTCTACGTCGTGATCGGCGACTTGGGGTCCAACTTCTTTGCCCGGCTGTTCGGGTTTCAGGTAAGGATGTGTTCAGGGTTCTGGGTTGTTCAGATGCTGACGGCTGCTCTGAGGCCCTCTGTGGGATCCTCCCGAGGACCGAGACCTGGGTGCTGGTCGGGAGAAGCTTCTGTCGAGCCTGCTGTCATTCTAGGGGCTTGGTGGAGTGCGGGGGCTTTGCTGGGTCACGTCTGTGAGAGGTACACGCGAGGAAGCAAGCCAGGCAGAGTCTGACACCATGTAGATGAGGGGCGGGTGGGGGAGCCTCAGACCCGGGCACAGTGCAGAGCAAGTCTCTGCCAGCCCGGGCTGCCCATTGGAGGGCAGAGGCGGCCAGGCCCTCAGGCATCCCCGGCCTCCATGGTCACCCAGAGCTTCTGGGGGCTGTGGACTCAGCACTTCTTGCAGGGACCTTGGGGTAGCCTCCTCCGTGCTTGCCCCCCACCACAGAGAGGCCCACCTGACGGGCCCACACACCTTTCCCTCGCTGCCGGGGAGCAGAGCCCCTCACTGGGCAGGGCAGGCATCACGGCACGTTAGGGTGCTAACAGCGTAGAAAGGCTTTCAAAGGCCACTGAGGCGGGGGTGTCCTCTCCAGGAGTGGAATGTACCAGATTCGCTCCTTGTCAGAGACAGTTCCAAGGAGCATCCAGGGAGCTAGGTCCCCTACTCTGTCTCCCCATTCGACCTTCCGTTTTCCGTGCTTCGTAGTGGCCTTTGTAGCTAGAGCTTTGGGCCCGTCCTGCCCACAGGGCAGTCTGCACCTTTCCCACCCCTCGCCCAGGGCAGCTGAGTCCGACTCACAGCCACTGTGTTGCCTCCCGTGTTAGGGGGGCTGCTGTCCTGCTCTGGCTGGTCTCGCTGTGGGGCTGGGCTGGGCTCCAGGGAGGGGAAATACCCAGTGTCCGAGGCTGCACACGGCACAGTGGCTGTGAGAGCGGCTTCGGGCGAGTGTGCCAGCCTCAGACCCGCCGGCGTCATTCACCTGGATGCCGTCGGCTTTCGGGCTCGGGGCGCTCCCACTCCCTGTCAGTGCAGAGAGCCCGGTGGTGAGCAGGCACGGGCTGTGGCCAAGACCCCCTGCCGGCTCCCCGCAGGTGGGCGGCACCTTCCGCATGTTCCTGCTGTTCGCCGTGTCGCTGTGCATCGTGCTCCCGCTCAGCCTGCAGCGGAACATGATGGCCTCCATCCAGTCCTTCAGCGCCATGGCCCTCCTCTTCTACACCGTGTTCATGTTCGTGGTGAGTCGGCAGCGCGCGTGGGTACCCGCTGAAAGGCTGCTCCTGGCCCATTCTTTCCTGTGGCCACAGCAGGCTCGTGCCCAGGTCTGGTGTGGCCGCCTGCTGCCTCCTGGGAATGTGTTGGAAGTAGCAGGATGTACCAGGAAGTGCCATTCATCTCATGGTCCCTGGGCACCATGGGGCAGACGGGGCTGGCTGGACCCAGGTGCGGTTGGCTGGCAGGAGAGGCTGGGGCTCAGGGCAGGGGTGGCTCTGAGGCTGGTTTCATGTCGTCCAGGCAAGGTGAAGGAAACTCCAAGTCCACTTGCTTTATGCAAAGATGTCTTATGTAGGGTTTGTGACCAAGGCTCACGGTGCCAGTGTTTTGACACAAGGTGGCAAGCTATTGTTGTTTGTTTGTTTGTTTGTTTTTTGAGACGGAGTCTCACTTTGTCGCCCAGGCTGGAGTGCAGTGGCGCAATCTCGGCTCACTGCAACCTCCATCTCCTGGGTTCAAGTGATTCTCCTGCCTCAGCCTCCCAAGTAGCGGGGATTACAGGTGCCCGCCACCACACCTGGCTAATTTTTTTTATTTTTAGTAGAGAAGGGGTTTCACCATCTTGGCCAGGCTGGTCTCGAACTCCTGACCTTGTTACCCACCCGCCTCAGCCTCCCAAAGTGCTGGGGTTACAGGCATGAGCCACCACGCCCGGCCGCTATTATTTTTCTAAATGAGAATTTATAATAGGATGGACTAGGGGCCAGCTGTGGAGTTGGCACTGAGAACACGGATACCACCCAGAGCCCCCAGCACACCCTCCATTCTCTGCCAGGCCCCTGCCCATAGGAGCCCCAGGACCCGAGCCCCTGGGACCTTCCTGTTCCCTGGCAAGGTCAGAAATGACCCTTCCTGAGTGGCTGGAACCTGGGTGTCTCACAGCGGGTTTGCACCAGGACGAGGCCAGGTGGTCATTGAAGCCAGGGTCTCCAGTGCTCCTCAGCTCTCCGAGTGAGGGCCAGCCCAGTGGCAGCTACCTCTTTACTCTTGAGACAGCCGCGTCCTGGTGGGCCAGTCTTTTGGAAAATGTCCATGTCTAACACAGTACAAGATGGGGAGGGACCTGCCCACGTGGGAAACCAGCCTCTGTAACCGACGGAAACTGGGGCCATGCATGCTCAGTGGTCTCCTCCCGTCTGCGCCAAGCAGCCCCCTTGCAAGAGCAGCTGCTCTGGTGCCCGCGGGATGAACCAGGGTGCTCTGAGGCAGGGGTTGGGAATCCAGAAAGGCGCGGGGTCTCCCTGCCTCCAGCTGGCGGCACAAGGCGGCACAGGGCGGCACAGGGTGGTGGGGGGCTGGGATGTGGGTGGGAAGAGCTGCACTCTCCTGCCACTCCTTCCTAGCGGCGCGTGGGCCGGGATGCTGAGTCCCGCCTGCGTCCTGACCTGCCCCGTGCTCTCTCCCCTCTCCCTCTGCAGATCGTGCTCTCCTCTCTCAAGCACGGCCTCTTCAGTGGGCAGTGGCTGCGGCGGGTCAGCTACGTCCGCTGGGAGGGCGTCTTCCGCTGCATCCCCATCTTCGGCATGTCCTTCGCCTGCCAGTCGTAAGTGTCCTGCTGTGGTCTGTGGTGGAGTTCTGTGACGGGGAGGGCGAGCTGCTGGGAGACGGGACCCTCTCTTTCTCGTTTACTGTGATCGCTCTTTGCTGGCTGCTAAAGAGTGATGTCTTGTTCAGTGATGACCTTTCCCGCCCCAGGTTGAGGGAGATAGTTATATTTTAATCGGGAGGTAAATCGGCTTCATTCCTGGGACATGTTTGGGACTAGCTGGTGAGAGTCCCTGGTTTGCCAGATCCCCACAAGCAGAGCATTGGCTGTGGGGGATGCAGCAGCAACCCAGCCATCTGACTGCACAGAGTCGAGCGCTTCGCCAGAATTTAGCTGTTCTGAGAATATTTAAAAGGAAATGGCACAAACATTGACTTCAGACGGCTGCTGGATGCATTTGGAGGCCTGCATGTGCGCGCGAGCCTGCTTTCTCTCTGGCACGCAGGGCTCTGTAAATGTGGATCGGGCTCTTCCATAATTCCAGCAGCATTACCTTCTCCACCAAAATGACAAGAGCGAGTGATTCGTGCCCGGTTGGAACATGGTAACCGGCTGAAAAGAGAGGCGTAAATCCGGCGCAGACGGGAAAAGACCATCGGCATGCGGGGGGCTGGCAGAGCGGCCCCTGTAGCGTTAGTGGGCATGCATTGAGCCAATCGTAAACTAATGTGACAGATGAAATTTGTTCATACCGCTGTGTTTACACCCACATGCGAGATCCAAATCGTCATTTCCCACTTAGCGTCTCTCTTGGCAGCTCCATCTCCACCAGAACGCGCCCCAGTCTTGCTGTTTAATATCCCATTATGATCGGTGACAGAAGCCGCATTCTTCCGCCACGTACCTAGTTACCAGTTGCCCTTTGTGTCTGCGTGTTTGCATATTTAGAAATAAATCTGCAGCTGGGGCTTTTTGGTGGTGGCCACGTAGCAGCCGGTGCACCTCGTTCGGGTCTGGTTCCGGAGTCAGGTGCTGGGTTGAAGCGCTGGAGCGTGCGGCTCAACAAGTGCAGCTTTCCTTCTGTCCCGCCCTGAGGATGTGCAGGCCCACGGATTCACCTGACATTCTCCCCAGCAGGGACATCCCTCCTTGTGCTGGCCGCTGCGCTGACCTCCCCACCCCTGTGCCGGCCGCCGTGCTGACCTCCCCACCTCTGAACCCAGGAATGTTTTCTGAGAGCAGAGACATCTCTTCCCTCCCACAGCGTCACTGCACCAGAGTGCCTGTCCCTGTTGGGTGGCGGGCCGCGCCCCCTGCCTGTGTGATTGGCCTGGATGCCAGCTGGGGCCAGGTCTCCCTTGTGCCTTCACTATCTGGCCGTTTTTGGTAAATGCATACCTGGTTATGCAGAATGGTTGTCCTAGGCCCAGAGAAGCAGCCGGGCAGCACTGAGCCCAGGAGGCCCTGGAGGTCAGGGTCTATCTGGAGACCAGGGTCCCCATCCTCACAGTAGGGCAGAGGGGCACACACCCAAGAGCTGCATGTGGATGGCTCCATTTGACTCTGGTAGGCCCTGAGGCTCAGAGGCTGCCTTGCAAGGTGGGCGGGCCAGGGATGCTCCGTCTGGGGCCATGGGCCAGCGCTCAGCATGTCCCCCATCTGTGGAGCTCCTTTGCAGGTGGCCAGGAGGTTTTGTGGCTCCTACCTTGTTTCTTTCCAGGGATGATCCCGGGGGTCCCTGGGGTAGGTGGTCAGGATTGGAGAGGAGCCTGGGGCTTGGCCTTCCACCCTGGCCACCCCGTGTGCGTGGGACACCCCTTCCCACAGTGTCCGTGGCTTCCTTGGGGGTCACTCCCCACAGGGTGTATTGGGGGCTGGGGGTAAGCACGTGTCATGGGGCACCAACGCTGGTCCCCTCAAGCCAAGACTCCCTGGTGTGGACTCAGCTGTGGCGAGAGGACAGTTTAGCACTGGGAAGTTCATGCCGCAACATGGCCTTCTTCTGTAGCTGTGGGTCTAGGGCCGTGGAGACCTCTTGGGTGTTTCTCCTGATTCTCTGCCAGCCTCCTGGGGCTGTGTGCACAGGCGTTGGCCACTTAGCTCCCTTCTAGCCTGGGCCGAGGGGAAGGCTCATGTCCTGCGGGGTCCCCTGACTGCTGCTGATGGCACTCCATGCTGAGGGCGGCCTGATGGGATGGTGTGCTAGGACCTGGGCAACGGGACACCAGCAGCTGCTGGCAGGACCTTCTCACTTGTCAGTCTGCTGGGTTTTCTTTTTTTTGGAGATGGGGTCCTGCTGTGTCACCCAAGCTGGAGTGCAGTGATGCGATCACAGCTCACTGTAGCCTCGACCTCCCGGGCTCCAGTGATCCTCCTGCCTCGGCCTCCCAAAGTGCTGGTATTTGGGTGTCAGCCGCTGTGCCTGGCCTGGTTTGCTTTTTAATAAAGTCAGGATGTCCTGTGTTTTCTTTCACTTTCTTCAAGGCGGTTTGGGATTTGGCTCCGCTGGCCGCTGTGCTGGTGATGTCCTGTGTTTTCTTTCACTTTCTTCAAGGCGGTTTGGGATTTGGCTCCGCTGGCCGCTGTGCTGGTCCATTTACTGGCTGCTGGCTTTCTGCATCCCGCCCTCCCCCGGCCCACCTAGCTTCCTTTGTGCCCTTGAGCCCCTGCCCTGGGACAGCCATGGCCATGGCCACCTGGACACCCTAGGAGCACCCCCCTGGACTCCCACTCCAGAGTCCTCGTTCAGCCCCATGGCAGAGCAGCTCTCACCTGTGCTCTGGCGTGTGCCTGGCCCAACTCCCTTCTCCCCGGCTGCACACAGATGCTCCATGGCCCCAGCCTCTCCCTTGTCGTCTCGCCCACCCCTTTCCAGAGGCCCAGGTCCCTGTGCAGGTCCCTCGGATGCGTCTGCTGCCTGTGCAGGGCTGTCATGTCCTTGCCTGGCTGGTGGCTTGGGTCCCTCCCACCCCTAGCAGCACCACACTCCTGGCACCAGGCTGTGGGACCGAAGCCAGTTTTCTCATCACACAAGTGAGAGGCTGCAGTGGGGAATCGCGCCCCAGGCCGCCTCCTTGTCTGTGCCGACTCTGATCATGCCTGTGCGGAGGCGCCGAGATGGAGGCGCCGAGATGGGCCGGCCGCCCAGGCCAGGGTGTGTTTGTTTAACTTTCCCTCCTCTTGACAGCGATTCTCTGAGCAGCCTCCTCCGGCTGCTTGCCCTGTAAACTGGCTGCTTTGACTCTCAGCACCCGCTCCCTGGCGTGGAGCAGCAGCCTGTCGTTCTGTAGCCTTGGGGAATGTTCGCATGGTGCACGCTCTGGGGGGTGTCCTGAGTGGGGGCTGCTGCAACGCTCCTGTCCTCAGCAACACCAAGTCCTGGCCTCAGCGCTGGGACTTCCAGTGTGCAGAGAATGTTGCATGAAGGAAGGTCAGAGACTCTCACTGGGCTGCAGAGAGGTCCTAGAAGTGGAGCCGCTGGGGAGGGCGTGCCTCTCTCAGGTCCGCTGTGAAATGGCCTGTTTCTATACAGCCAGGTGCTGCCCACCTACGACAGCCTGGATGAGCCGTCAGTGAAAACCATGAGCTCCATATTTGCTTCCTCCCTTAATGTGGTCACCACCTTCTACGTCATGGTAAGAGCCTTGCCACGCCCTCTCCGCCCCTGTGTCATGCCAGCATGATGTGCCGTGGTGCCCCGTGGGACTGCCACAGGCATGGCCCTGGCCCTGTGTGCTGCTGGGTTTTTCTCTCTGTTCCCATCCCAGTGTCTGGAGGCTGCGCGGGGACCTGGGGCAGCTCCATCAGCTTCCATCATTCCAGGACCAGCCCTGTGAGCCTGGGTCCACCCTGGGCCAGGAAGCTCTCCTGACCTGAGGAGCTGGGCACCAGGGCTGCTCCCAGAACCCTTTATCCGAGCCACTCTTACTCTCTCTCCAAGACCTCTGTTAATTCTCTGTAGAAATGGGCATGTTCCGGCCGGGCGCCGTTGCTCACACCTGTAATCCCAGCACTTTGGGAGACCGAGGTGGGCAGATCATGAGGTCAGGAGTTCAAGACCAGCCTGGCCAACATGGTGAAACCCTGTCTCTACTAAAAATACAAAAATTAGCTGGGCATGGTGGCACGTGCATGTAAACCCGGCTACTCGGGAGGCTGAGGCAGGAGAATTGCTTGAACCAGGACCGGGGAGGCAGAGGTACGCCGAGGCCAAGATCGCACCACTGCACTCCAGCCTGGTCTACAGAGGGAGACCCCGTCTCAAAAAAAAAAAAAAAGAAAGAAAAAGAAAGAAATGGGCATGTTCTTACAGAAACTAGAGATTTTTAGAAGGAGGAGGCGAAATGGTGCCTTGCCCCTGGAAGGCCATCTCTTGCAGAAGCTTCATTATGAAGTGGATTGAAGGCCATTCTGGGGGGCAGGGCACAGGTCCCCCCCATGCCCTGCCCACTGTGACAGGTGCCACTCGGCTAGGATGTCTGTCTGCCACGTTGCCATTTCTTATTCTCCAACAGGTGGGGTTTTTCGGCTACGTCAGCTTCACCGAGGCCACGGCCGGCAACGTGCTCATGCACTTTCCCTCCAACCTGGTGACGGAGATGCTCCGTGTGGGCTTCATGATGTCAGTGGCTGTGGGCTTCCCCATGATGATCCTGCCATGCAGGCAGGCCCTGAGCACGCTGCTGTGTGAGCAGCAGGTAAGACCCTCGGGGCACTCTCCGGATCGTAATAGCACAGGTCAGGCTCGCTTCCCATAAGCCCCCAGCTGTCCCGAACCAGAGATATAGCAGGAAAGTGGGGATTTGCGTCAGAGGAGTCCCGGGAGGGCGGAAGTTGGGGGAGCCTAGAGGAACCAGATTGATGGGCAGGAGCTGATAATGGCCAGAGTCTGGAGATGGGCACATGGCGTTCACTGCACAGTTCTCTTTTTTTTTGAGACGGAGTTTCGCTCTGTCGCCCAGGCTGGAGTGCAGTGGCGCGATCTCGACTCACTGCAAGCTCCGCCTCCCGGGTTCACGCCATTCTCCTGCCTCAGCCTCCCGTGTAGCTGGGACTACAGGCGCGCGCCACCATGCCCGGCTAATTTTTGTATTTTTAGTAGAGATGGGGTTTCACCGTGTTAGCCAGGATGGTCTCGATCTCCTGACCTCGTGATCCGCCCGTCTCGGCCTCCCAAAGTGCTGGGATTACAGGCGTGAGCCACCGCGCCCGGCCCACTGCACAGTTCTCTTGACTTTTGTGTAACTTTGAAAAATTTTAACAATATAGCAGATTTTTGAACCATAAGAGAGGCTGAGTTTGATGTAGGCCATATTGGTGGTGCCTGTGGTCCCAGCTCCTCAGGAGGCTGAGGCGAGGTTGTGTGAGTCCAGGAGGTTGAGGCTGAGTGTGAATGCATCACTACACTCCAGCTGGGGCAACAGAGCAAGACCCTGTCTTTAAACACATTTTAAAAATAGGCTGGATATGGTGGCTCACACCTGTAATCCCAGCACTTTGGGAGGGCGAGGTGGGAGGATTGCTTAAGCCCAGGAGTTTGAAACTAGCCTGGGCAACATCACTTGACTCCATCTTTACAAAAAATTAACAAAAATTAGCCACGCATGGCAGCGCATGCCTGTAGTCCTAGTGACTCGGGAGGCTGAGGCAGGAGGATCACTTGAACCAAGAGTTCAAGGCTGCAGTGGGCCATGACCGCTCCACCATACTCCAGCCTGGGCTACAAAGTGAGACCCTGTGTCTAAAAGAGAAAGAAAAATAAAAAGTGAGGCTGGGTTTTTTCACTGTAACACATGTAGGCCAGGCAGCTACTTAGTTCTTTCTAAGAAACTTTCAGCTGTAGGAGTTGAAACCAGAGGGCTGTCCTGGTTCTCTCCTTGTGGCAGAGTGAACCATGAAAGGCCCGCTGCGCTGTCTTTCGCCCCGAGCGTGGGGCTGTCCTGGTTCTCTCCTTGCGGCAGAGTGAACCATGAAAGGCCCGCTGTGCTGTCTTGCGCTCCGAGCATGGGGGTGCAGACGCCACTCTGCAGTGCTGGAGGAGCCCTGCCCCGTCCAGGTTCCCCTCCTGCCTCCCCTTGGGAGCTCTGCCCGGTGGCCCATCCATCTTCTGTCCCGCAGCCTGAGATCTGTGAGCCTGGTATGTCCCTTCAGCTGGAACTCCTGGTGGCTAGAGGCACACGTTCCTCTTGAACTGTTTCAGCCAAGGCGGGTTGAGTGGTCTCAGAGAATCCAGGGGAGAGTCCAGCAGCCACATTGGGGGCGGTGGGTCTCCCTGGGCCTTGGGAACGATAGCATTGGCTCACTGTCCATGTGGCCAGGTGTGCGGTCACCACAGCCTCCTGCAGACTTCCACCAGCCACGTGCCTCTGGCTTCGCAGCAGAGGCCAAGCACCAAAGACTGGGTGCCTCCCCCACGTGCTGGTGCTCCTCTCTTCTGCGGAGTTCAGGCACCTGGGCACGGGTGAGGCAGGATCGAGGAGGCAAGGCCAGAGCCCGTCATATGGCCGTGGGGTCCCTCCGCGCATCTGGCCAGGCCAACTTTCAGTGTTTGATGTTTTGTACCTGAGCAGCATCTGTATTTCTGTACGTGACCCATTTTTATCTTGTTAAAAAATTGACAATGGCGTTAAATGTATTGTGACTCAAGTAGGAAAGCTTACGCAACCCCCTTCATCCCAAGGTGGACCTGGCTGTTTCCTCCGTCAGCGCCCGTGGCTGCTCCTTTCCCGGAGGTGCGGCTGCGGCCATGCCACCTGCTTTCTTGTCTTCGGCCCATGTGCCGTGAGCGTTTCTCCACGGTCCCTACAAGCCTGCAGGGGCTCTGCTTCCTTGCTTCTCCACCTGTTGCGGGGGCCTGGGTGCACTGCTCCTTCACCCTTGACCTCTCGTGGCTAACCATCTCACGACAGTCTTCGTGCTAAAGTCCCCTCTCCCCTTCTCTGGGTCTATGTCATAGGTAAAGTTCTAGGACCGGGACTCTTGTGTGATGGACCTAACCCCCCACCTCCATGGCCTGTATACAAATTACCGCCCTGAGGCCGATAGGAACTTCTGGCTCCGTCTTCCACAGTCCATCCTATGTAAAAGTCCATTCTGAAAATGGCATGCTTCAAAACTAGTTCTAGAAAGTTCTGCAGTTGTTTCCTAGCCCAGGGAGAGTCATCACGGCCAGTCCGTCCTGTGTGTTAACTTATTTGGTCCTTACCACGGCTGGATGAGGAGATGCTTCTGTTGACAGATGAGGAAACTGAGGCACCGAGAAGTCACTTGCCTAGGGACACACAGGTGGGGCTGGTGAGTGGCAGAGCAAGGATTTGAGCCAGGTGGTCTGGCTCCTGTGTCCTGTACTAGAGACCACAGCTGGGGGTCCTGGGGCAGGTGGCGTCTGAGGCCATCCGTCCTTGGCTCTGCCGCCTCCTCCGGAATGAATGGCCCTGGCATCCCGGTGCAGATCAGTAGAGTCCTGGCTGCACACTGGGGCCAAAACAGGCACTTGAAATTAGGGCCTCATCGTGCCCTTCTCTCTTCTTCTTCCTGGACTTTGAAATTGCTCACTGCTTGTTGCACATCTGCTGGAGATAACACGGCCATGTGTGCGTGTGTTTGGGGGGGTTCTGCCTGCACCCTGAAACCTGTGGGCCAGGAGAGTCCTGGGGCATTTGTCAGGAGCGGCGCTGTGCAGCCTGTGTTTTGCTCTCCATACTTCCTGGCACTTAAAAAACTCTCGTGGTATTGCTCTAAAAGCAAAAAGGAAAACGGAAGGACTCGATACTCACATTTCAAAAGGAAGTTGTAAAATGTACGGTCTGTGCCTGGGGTGAGAAGCCCTCGTGCCTTCCTGGCATGCTGCAGGTTCCCGTTTAAGTTGCTCAGCCAGATCTGATTGTGCTGGTCAGGCTCACCTGCCAGGTGAGTGCGCGGCCGGCCTCACGTGGAGATGTGCCTGGTGTGCCTGGCAGAGCCCTTTCAGGCTTTGCTTTCTAGGAGAGTGGTGGAGGAAATCAGTCATTTCAAAACCTTTTGTTTTTCTTTTGTACAGCAAAAAGATGGCACCTTTGCAGCAGGGGGCTACATGCCCCCTCTCCGGTTTAAAGCACTTACCCTCTCTGTGGTGTTTGGAACCATGGTTGGTGGCATCCTTATCCCCAACGGTAAGGCGGGAGGGCTGCCCTGTTGCCGGGGAGTGGGACCCGGGGCTTCGGCATCAACCAAGACCTGCACAGTTACGAGACCTGCACAGAGACCATCTTCTCTGGTCTCTTAAAAAAGTCTAGAGACTTTGTCAGTTTTTCTCTGGCCCACAGAGAAAGGCAGGGGATAAAATCTGGCAACTTGAGCCAGGTGCGGTGGCTCACACCTGTAATCCCAGCACTTTGGGAGGTTGAGGTGGGTGGATCACCTGAGGTTGGGAGTTCAAGACCAGCCTGACCAATGTGGAGAAACCCCGTCTCTACTAAAAATACAAAATTAGCAGGGCGTCATGGTGCATGCCTGTAATCCTAGCTACTTGGGAGGCTGAGGCAAAAGAATCACTTGAACCCGGGAGGAGGAGTTTGCAGTGAGCCAAGATTGCGCCATTGCACTCCAGGCTGGGCAACAAGAGAGAAACTTCGTCTCAAAAAAAAAAAAATCTGGCAGCTTGCTGGGCGCAGTGGCTCACGCCTGTAATCCCCGCAGTTTGGGAGGCCGAGGCGGGCGGATCACGAGGTCAGGAGATCGAAACCATCCTGGCTAACACGGTGAAACCCCGTCTCTACTAAAAATACAAAAAAATTAGCCGGGCGTGGTGGCGGGTGCCTGTAGTCCCAGCTACTTGGGAGGCTGAGGCAGGAGAATGGCGTGAACCTGGGAGGCGAAGCTTGCAGTGAGCTGAGATCGCTCCACTACACTCCAGCCAAAAAAAAAAAAAAAAAAAAAATCTGTCAGCTTGATGGAACAGCAGGCACCCATTGACACCTGGGCAGAGAGAGACTGCAGTGCCGGGACACAGGCTCAATTTGTAGAACCAACTATTCTAGAACAGCGCATGCTGTCCTGTTGATTCTTTTGACTTCTGATTTTGGTGATGCATTACCAAGGGAAGCGTTGAAGGCTCTGAACATATTTATGTTACCCAAATGCACCCACTCCCTAGCAGACAAGACAGAGCTCGTTGTCATCAGAGGATGACATCACAGGGGAACTCGCACGCACTCTCCCCAGGGAACAGCCCTAGAGGCGATCTGTCTGGGCTCCTGGCAGGGGCTGCAGCCTGGCAGCACCCGCCAGGCCCTGGCCTCTACACCTGCCCTAGGATAGGTCCTGCCTTCCTAGGGCCACTCATGGAGCAGCAGGCAGGAGAGGCGGCGCAGGAGCCGTGCCGTGCGCAGCCAGCATCTGGTTTCGGCAGGAGGTCCCTAGTGTCTGACTCTTTAAAGATGAACCATCAGAGAATTCACCCCGGGGCCTAAATGCACTGTTGGAGGAATCAGCCGCGGTTGTCAGGCTTTCTGGGCACAGAGGGCGTCTCTGCTCCCGGCTCACGCCTAGACGGCATTTCCTTCAATGCTGGCTTGCTCACCCGTGTGCAGGGCAAAAGCTCAGGTCCCCTCCTTCCCAGAGCCCTTCCCCACTCATCCCTTCCTGTCACTTCTCCATCCTAGTGGAGACCATCCTGGGCCTCACAGGAGCGACCATGGGAAGCCTCATCTGCTTCATCTGCCCGGCGCTGATCTACAAGAAAATCCACAAGAACGCACTTTCCTCCCAGGTGCGTGCTGCTCGTGGGGTGGCCTGGACGAGGGCTGATGGGTCTGGGCTGGGGAGAGGTGGAGGCGGGAGGAAGCCCCTGGTTCAGCGTTTTCAGATGGGTTCTATCAAGAAACTTAAAACCCACAAAAGGGACTTGGTCCAGTCAGCCTGGGGAACCCTGGGTTCACCAGGACGCACGGTCTTTGCCCAGCAGGGCCACACTAAGCTGCTCAAGCTGTGCATCGGGTTTTCCTGAGAGCCGACTTAGCTGAGTCGTAAGCGCTTTCCCCATGGTGTTTCTGCGATGCCTGATTGCCCATGGACCTGCTGCCACCTCTGAGTCCCCTCCCCAGCCGCCCACCCCTGAGGCCACCACCCACCGTTGTTCCTGGTGCGACCCTCCCACGGAGATGTGCGTGCTTGTGGGTTTTTCTTTAACTGTAACACAGCTTCCTGCTGCTTTTGCTCAAAACCCTGTGCAGGTCAGGTTGCTCCACAGCCGTGGGCACAGAGCTGCCTCGCTATTTTTAGCCGTTTCATGGGTTCCGTGGTAGGAAGATTCCATAATCCCAGTCTCCGAAGGACTCACCTCTCCAGTCTTGCTATTGCAGACAGAATCGCGATGAATATCTGTGTTCATGAGCATGTCGACGTATTTGAGCACGCGTCTGTAGGAAGCCTTCTAGAAATGGAATCCTGTGTCAGGGGTGTGAGCATCTGTAAATGTGGTGGCTCTACCCAAAGTGCCTGCAGCGTCACTCCCAGCCAGGCTCAAGGCCTCTGTCCCTGCACCCAGGACCTTCCAGGCTTCATCATTCTTGGCCTCTCTGGCGGGAACTTGAGTGTCTTTTCATGGGTTTAGAAGCCACTTGCGTTTCTTTTTCTGTGAACTGCTTGTGTTCTTTGCTCACTTTTTATGGAGTTGTTGAGCTTTTTCTTACTGGAATATATTGATAATTTTTTTTTTCTTTTGAGACAGAGTTTCACTCTTGTTGCCCAAGCTGGGGTGCAGTGGCGCAGTCTCGGCTTACTGCAACCTCCGCCTCCCAGGTTCAAGTGATTCTCCTGCCTCAGCCTCCTGAGTAGCCACCACGCCGGGCTAATTTTGTATTTTTAGTGAGACGGGGTTTCTCCGTGTTGGTCACGCTGGTCTTGAACTCTTGACCTCAGGTGATCCACCCGCCTCCACCTCCCAAAGTGCTGTGATTACAGGTGTGAGCCAATGCGCCCGGCCTCAACCTGATAAGTTTTTACAAAGTGAACCACGTGGAACCACCATCCAGAGCAGACATAGGACATCCCGGCACCCCAGAGCTCCCTATGGATGCCTCACTGACATCCACCCCCACCCCAAAGGTCCTCCGGCATTCTGGAATGATCTTGCCTTGTCTTCAAGTTGCGGTAAATAGATTCTTACAGTGTACATTAGAATACACGTCCACGTGTGTCAGCCACTTCTTCAGCATCTTGGCTCAGGTCCACTGCAACTTCTGCCTCCTGGGTTCAAGCAATTCTCCTGCCTCAGCCTCCTGAGTAGCTGGGATTCCAGGTGTGTGCCACCACACCCAGCTAATTTTTGTACTTTTAGTAGAGACAGGGTTTTACCATGTTGGTCAGGCTGGTCTCAAATCCTGACCTCAAATAATCCACCCGCCTCAGCCTCCCAAAGTGCTGGGATTATAGACGTGAGCCACTACACCCAGCCCCTTATGGATTTTTTAATCATCTTGTTTATGAGTTGTGAGAAAGGTATGATAATTCCTACTGTAACTGCAGATTTGTTTATTTTTCCTTTTAGTTCCATCACTTTTTGCTTTTTAGTTTGAAGCCATGTTATTAGGAGCAGACAGATTGAAGTTGGTTATATCTCCTTGTTGAATTGTCTTTTATCGTGTTAAATACTCCTTTTTATCATTGGAAATACTTTTCTCCTTAAAGTTGGCTTTGTAGCTAACTTAGTTCTGCTTTGGGTTTGTATTTGCACAGGATAGCTTGTTTCATCCCTTTTCTTTTGATTTCTCTAGTCCATTATATTCATGGTATGTCTCTTATAACAGCATGCAGTTGACTTTTGTCTTGTTCTTATTCAGTCTGTGAATGGGAGTATTTAAGACTATTTACAGTTAATATAATAACTGATTTTTGAGGGAAAACTTTCAACTTATGTCCTATTATTTGTCTCATATGTCCTTTTTCTGTTTTTGCTTTTACTTTCTTTGGATCAATCAAACATTTTAAATATTTACTCTTTTTTTGGCTTGTTGGTACATTTCTATTCTTCTAATGATTATACTAGGCAGTTGATATCAACCCTTATTTAAAACTCCACAAGACATTGTTATTGTTGTTTCAAATAGTAATTATTGAGCCAGGCATGGTGGCTCACTCCTGTAATCCCAGCACTTTGGGAGGCTGAGGCAGGAGAATCACTTGAACCCGGGAGGTGGAGGTTGCAGTGAGCCGAGATAGCACCACTGCACTCCAGCCTGGGCAACAGAGCAAAAGACTCCGTCTCAAAAAAAAAAGAAAAAAAAGAAGAAGAAAAAGAAAAAAGTATTGATATTGATTCTTTGTGGCTTCTTGTTTTTTTGTCCTGGGGTCTTGTTTTCTAGTGTGCCTGGTATTTTGCAGATGTTGTGTTTGAGAAATCGTAGAAGTTCTGGGTGACATTGTCATTCATCCATCATACAGGGGATAGGCAGAAGGCCTGTGTCCCATTGAGGCAAATGTGTTTTCAGTTGGCCTTGTTCCTAGGGTACAGCCCTTCTGGGGTCTCAGCTGGGCAGTGACACCCTCAAATGGTGAATCTTCTGCTTGGCGTTCATCTTCTGCTTGGCGTTCATCATCTTGCTGGCTCCTCTCTGCATAGCTGATAGCTGGCAAGTGCTTTGGGGGAGATTTTTGCACACAGAATGTGGAGTGGCGTCCTTCTCCGAGGTTTCCTTCTCTCCCTCGAGCTCTGGCTGCTGGAGCGCCCTCATTCTTGCTTCTCGGTGCCCAGCCCTGTGAGTGTGCCCAGGCTCTAGGCTGTTGTGCTCTCTTGTCTTGTCTGCTTAGTCCCAATGATCGATGAGTCTCCAAGGGCAACAGGCTTGACCTCTCTGTGACTAAGGGCTTTTCTCTGTCCTCTGGGATCTGGACCTCTCAAGTCTGAGCTGACAGAGCTGTTTACCAGTGTCTTTGGTTGGGTGTTTTTATTGTTTTTATTCAGCTTTTACCATTGTTTTAAATAGGAAGACCAGTTTGATACCAGCTATTATGCCATAGCTTGATGAGGAAGTTTCTTGGTGAGTTTTAGGAGCTTAAGATAGCATGAGAGCCTCAGCCTCTGCTCATCAGATGGCACATGTCCTGCTATGCCAGGTCCCATGTTTTAGTCCATTGGGCTTCCTTAGAAAAAACATCTGTTCTGTGAGTTAGCAGGAGAAAGAAGGAAAGAAAGAAGGGAGGGAGGGAGGAAGGAAGGAAGGAAAGAAAGAGTCATAGTTAGAATTTCCACACTCCAGTACTATTTTAAAAGAAGAAGGAGGGGGAGGGCCATAGTTAGAATTTCCCCACTCCAGTATTATTTTAAAATAATTCCTCCCTCATTTTTTTAGTACTTTAATGACTTCATTTTTTTAATTTAAATCTTTGATCTACCTGTATTTTATTTTGGTGTAAGAAACAAAGTATGTATCCTCAGTTTATTTCTAGATGGTTCCCTAGTCGTCAGACATGATTTATTGAATAATCCATCACTGATGGGAAATGTTAGTGCTATTGTAGATTAAATTCTTATATGTATTCGGGCCTAACTTGGGACCTGTGTTTTACTTTATTGGCTGGTCTGCCCTTCCGTACTGTGTTAGTTGCATGTTAGTTGCATGTTAGTTGCGTGTTAGTTGCCACACCCTGGTAACACTCACGGAGTTGTGACTTGTTGCTCTTGGAACACTTTAATTCTCATCTCGCCTCTTGGCTGTTAATAATACATTTTCTGCATAGTCTTTGTTTTATTTTCTGTATGAATGTTGGAATCAGCCCATCTGACTCTAACAAAAAATTAGTCCTGCTTTTTATTTTTTGGTCTAACTGGGCTTATTGAAACTATAGATTAACTTGGGAATTGCCGTCTTTACACTGTAGCTGATGTGCAGATGTCCTTGCGAACTCTCCTGCTCAGCAGGAAGGCACTGCATTTGGTTTATCCAGACCTCACTGTAGGTCCTTCGTTCCCATCTGTTTCCCAGGTGGCTGTTGGCTGCACTGCATGCTATCCTGGGATCTCTTTTCCCGCTGGATTTTCTTTTTTTTTCTTTTTCTTTTTTTTTTTTTTGAGATGGAGTCTCACTCTGTCGCCCAGGCTGGAGTGCAGTGGCACGATCTCTGCTCACTGCAAGCCCCTCCTCCTGGGTTCACGCCATTCTCCTGCCTCAGTCTCTTGAATAGCTGGGACTACAGGTGCCTGCAACCATGCCCGGCTAATTTTTTGTATTTTTAGTAGAGACGGGGTTTCACTATGTTAGCCAGGATGGTCTCGATCTCCTGACCTCATGATCCGCCCGCCTCGGCCTCCCAAAGTGCTGGGATTACAGGCGTGAGCCACCGCGTCCGGCCCTCCCCCTGGATTTTCTAAGTGGCTGTTTGTGTAAAGGGAAGTTAGAGATTTCATAGGTGACATTTTCGCCCGTTCACCTTACTGTACTCCTGCTGGATCTCTTGGCTTTTCACCTGCAGCTAATGATGATGTCGCCTCCCTCTTTCCAATTGCTGCAGCGCTTCCTCCTCTCTTGCCCGTGTGTGGCGTCACACACCTGTGGCCACGGCGCTGCTGGTGTGAGTGGCTGGCGCGTCACTGACTCTGGGATGGCTTCTAGTGTTTACCCGTTAGCCCAGTGTCGGCTTTTGACTTGGTGTGTAGACATGTGTAGACACACACAGAATTGGGTGAAAGAAGCATCTCTCTGTGCCTGCTTTGCCATGTCTTTTGGAAGCTAGAAAGCGCACTGAATCACATTCACCGCAGTTTGGCTGTGCGTGGAGGAGACGGAGAGGTTTCTTTTTCCCTCTGACTTGGGTCTGGTGCGTCCTGTCCCCAGCGCTCCTACGGCTCCGCAGTAGGTCGTGGGGCCAGCGGACCACCGTGTGCCATCCGCTCAGCATGCCCTGTTTCCTTAGGTACGGAGATGTCAGCACCGCAAGGCCGTACCCTGGGCCTGTGGCGCCACATCTCGGCGTGGCCACTGTCCCAGGGGCTCCGGCTGCGCCCACGGAGGGGCACAGGCCTGGATCTGTGCCTTGGCCTGTCTGAGTACTCTCAGCGATATGGTGCCTGTACCCAGCCCAGGGACCTCAGGAAGAGCCACAACTGGTGATATGCTGGGGTGGACAGGGAAGTGGGGACACCTGTGTAGTAGGTGAATCAAGGCTGTGCTGGAGAAAGACGTGAAAAAGAAGGAATGTTCCAGCTCGTCCTCAGAAGATCAACCAGGGGACAGGAAAATAGGTCGGCCCTGAGGGAATCGAAAAGATACATTTGCCACCAAGTGTTTTGTTCTTTTTTTATTTTTTGAGACAGAGTCTCGCTCTGTCGCCCAGGCTGGGGTGCAGTGGTGTGATCTCAGCTCACTGCAAGCTCCGCCTCCTGGGTTCAAGTGATTGTCCAGCCTCAGCCTCCCGAGTAGCTGGGATTACAGGCGTGCGCCACCACACCTGGCTAATTTTTTGTATTTTTGGTAGAGACACGGTTTCACCATGTTGGCCAGGCTGGTCTTGAACACTCCTGACCTCAGGTGATCCACTCGCCTTGGCCTCCCAAAGTGCTGGGATTATAGGTGTGAGCCACCACGCCCGCCCTGTTTGGTTCTTTATTTTGAAAGTCAGAAAGTTGAGGGTCTCTCCAGTCCTGAGTGAGGCTGGGGCTTTGGTCCTGCTGCCCTGGAACCATGAGGGAGTGTAGCAGCAGGTGGCTTAGAAGGTGCCTGAGGGCCACTCAGAGGACAGATCCCTGGGGCGCGGGAGGCTGCCTCACGGGTGCGCCCAGAGGGCAGCAGTCCCTGAAAGGCCTGAAAGCTGGCCCCTGCTCTTGGAAGATGCAGTGAAATGCACACTGCGACTCTCAGACACGAGCCACCAGCGGGGCATCTGCTTGTAACCAGAGAGGACCCCCAAGGCCTGCTGAGGCTCGGGGCCTTGCTGGGTGGTGCCTGGATGCCAGCTGGGCTGCCCTGAGACCCAAATCGAGGCGCGTGGTGCAGAGCAGCCAGAGCCCCCACCTCCAGCTGTGCTTTTTATGGCTGAAGTGCAGAGCGTGGACTTGTGCACTTTCTACATGTGTGGAGTGAAAGTGAGTGTTTTCTCCCCTGCCCCTGGTGCTTCTCTCTGCATTTGAGTCAGCGACGCCTTGTGTGTCTGGAGGCCCTGATCACTTCTCCGGGGGAGGGTGCTACGATCCGGGCAGTGCGCGGCCCCTGGTCAGGCCCCTGGATTTTCCAAGCTCAGGTGAGACGTCTGGAGTGGGCTTGCATTCCTCCTGCTGGCCGGTTCTGCGGCTGTATTGATCTGATAACTGCCGAAATGAAAGTCACGGGGTGCTCTGAAACCAGGTGTCTGGCACGCTGGTCCGTTGAATGACCGCGTCCTCAAAGGAAGTTCTTAGGCTGTGCAGGAAGCTGTGCTGGAAGTACAGGGCTGGAGGCTGGGCTGGGGCTCCGTGGGCTTCCCCCGCCACTGAGGCTGGGCAGCCGCTGTGCTCCCCACAGGCCCCCCAAGTTCCCGGCCATCCCGTCTGTGCAGAACTCCACTTACGCCCTTATTCGGGATTCCGAGGGAACTACTGACCGTTCCCTTGTCTATGTCACACGTCCCGTGGTTGGATTCCCACACTCCAGTGGCAGGACAAGCACGGGGGAGCCTGGCACCCACCCTGTCCTCGGGGACTGCGGCGTCCACTCCGTGGTGTCTGTGGCCCAGTCCCCGGCAGAGTTCTCACAGCTGCCTTGGGGACTTCAGTGAATGCTGTGCTGCTTCCACATGCCCAGTGCCCGCTGCTGCTGCTGGGTCCGTGTTCCCGCCCTGGCTCTGGCACAGAAGTGAAAGGTGCTCACACACACTCCTGGCACGTGGCAGCCACAGACTGGGATTTGGTCACTGCATGCGCTGCCCCCTCATGGATGAGGCATGGACCCAAGGCGCTATCACAAGTGCCCATGCGGCCTCCTCGTTCCCACGGGTCCCCTCAAGCTGGGCAGTGCTGGTGTCTCTGCCAGGGTGTGTCTTAAAGGAAAGCCTGGGCATGTGGACTGTGGCATTGTCGGCCGGGCCAGCGGCTGCTTGTGCTCAAGGCAGTGGTCACCGGCAAGTGCCCCGCAGAGCCTGACAGCCTGAAAGTCAGCGAGCCAGGACGAGGGGTCTCAGCAAAGAGGGGATGGAGCCTTCCAGCCGGCAGGGGTGCGCCCGGGGCGTCACCATCTCAGTGTTCAGGGCTACTCTGCTGCCCTCACGCCGGGGGCTTGTCCCGAGTGGCGTTTCGCCGGCAGTAATGTGCTGTCTGGTGCATTGTGGGGGCCCAGGGATGGCTCTCCTGATGGGGACGCCTTGGGGTAGGAGGTGGCAGCAGGTGTGTACGTGGCAGCGGGCGGGGTTGGGTCTGCTTCCTGGACCCGCGTGTCTGGAATTGTCCCGCCCTTGTCCCAGCCCAAAGATTCCATGCAGGCTCCCTGTGTACGGTGACCTCAAGCCTCCACTTCTCCACAGTGTGTTTCGAGATGTTCTTGGACTTGGGGCTGAGTTCGGTCCCCAGGTACTGCCCTGGGAGGTGGCAGGTGGTGGGGGTCCCTGTGCAGCCGTTCGGGAGCCCCCCTCCCCTGCCGATCAGCTTCGCACTCAGGGCGCTCTGCAGGGCCTCGGTCGAGCGTGTTCTCCTCCCTGCGCTTGTGTCCTTTCCAAGGCTCGTCGGTCCTGGGTCTTCCTGGAAAGCTTGCTGTCTCCCAGCATGGAGTGAGTTCATGGTTTTGATTTTGCATGTGATTTTTAAGCTCAGAAAGTTGGGGGTTGAAATAAATCATTATAGTCATGGAGATGTTTCTTTGGCCCATCAGTCTCCATGGATGTTTTAGATGAGGTCCCCGTTAAAAATAACCTGACATAAAATGACCAACCAATGTCTTTATCTTTGGGTCTAAAGCGTTTGAGGCCTGGAGGGGCCGGGTCTTGCTGTGCTCCCTGGCGGATGGCAAACTCTGGGCTCCTGGGATTCCCACCTGGGGAGTCTCCTGTCCTGACCAGCCGGTGGCAAAGGTGCTTTCCCTTCCCATTTAGGTACTCTCACCAAGATCCCGTAATTAGCGTGTTGGTGTTATGGGAAGTCCAAGTAGGGAGATAAATTTTTTTTTGTAGCTTCTCTGCAAGGTCATTTCTGTCCACCCTCAGCTGGAGAAATGTGAGATGCACTTAGCACACGCCCAGTTAGAGAAATCCACCCGGGACGAGGCGAGGGTATGCTGCCTTGCGGGGCAGGATTCCCACACTGAGAGGAGCTTCCCAGGGCTTCCAGACAACACAGTCTCCTGTCCAGGCAGCTTCCTGGTGGGTCGGGTTGAATTTCCATCCGGACCCTTTACCCCAGGTAGCCCGAGCCTGGTCTCTGCCCTGTGCTGGCTGGCAGAGGCCTCGATGGGAGGGCAGGGCCTTGAAGATGGAGGTCCCGGGGCAGCTCTGGCGTAGGAGGGGTCACAAGGGCTGTAAGAGGCAAGGCCTTTCCTTCCGGCCTCAGGCCTCTAAGCCACGGCCATCCACACCACCCACTGACTGGGCGGGCCGTTCCACACCTGCTCCCTACACAGATCGGGCAGCCTCGCGAGAGTTCCGGTTTCTTCCTCTTTTTATTATCTTAAGACTGCTTTGGTCACCTTCCAGACACCACCACTGCCCTGGGACTCTTCCCTTCACTGCAAGGAAGATGTAACATGGCTGAAGGGGCATCTACAAATGGAGGAGAACATTCGGGGCCAGGGCGGGGCAGAGCTCTGTGGGCCGTCGAGCCTGCAGGCCCCGTCCGGACCTCCGGAACGTACATCAGACAGTGTCCCCGTGTGCACCTGGGGCAGGCCTGCCGTCACCGCTTGCTCCGGCCAGCTGTGGTTACTGCCAGAGGGGCTTTGGGCTCCCTGGGCATCCTACAAGCCCCGAGGCACATTGCGGCCGGGCTCCCTTCGGCGGAGCCCACTGACCCCAGAGCCTCAGCAGCACCTGGCGTCCGGAGATGCCGACACCAGCCCAATGTTTCCGGGTGGCAGAGAAGGAAGTAGAGGAAGCGGGCTCTCCACTAGGTTGTCTTTTTCAGCTGCCACCAGCTTCGGAGAGCACGAGTCCTTCCCTCTGGGGAGACCTCTTCTCTAATTGTATTGGACCAGGGAGGTCTCACCAGTTCTTCTGAACTGATTTTCTTTAAGAATCGACATACCTTTCAGAAAAGGATTTTGAGTTCTGGCTCTGAGACCACAGAGGGAATGGCACAGCCCCTTGGCTCTACAGAAGTCCGCCTTGCCAGTGCACACAGGCTCTGCCCAACCGGGAGTTAGCGCTTCCCTGGGGAGAGCAGCTTGTGCTGGGCCAGGCCAGGCAGAAACCAGCACCCGCTGCCGTGGCCCCGTGAATGACTGGGGAGGAGTGGGCCCAGTGTGTTCGCTAACATAGCAGGGGTGGCAGGAGCCGGGGTGGCGGGAGCCGGGGTGGCAGGAGCCGGGCCAAGCAGTGTACAGTTTGTCAGAGTCACCGAGGCGGCACGTGTGATGCTTACGATTGGCCGGGGAGCGGGGGAAGGAGGGAGGACTAGGTCACACAGGGAGAGCCTTCGGCAAAGAGTGCCTGGAGGTCAGCTCACAGGGTGACCCCAGTGGGCACCACACCACAGCTAAGGAGAGGCGAAGGCCATTTCTGTCCCCCGTGCCCATGCATGGTGCCAGCTGTGATGACTTTGGGGCAAGCCCTTCATGCGCACGGGCCTGCGTCTGCTGCACGGGGCCAGCCTTGCGGGTTGTGCAGGAGCACTCGCTTTGCGGACAGCATGGACGGGGACGCTCAAGTCTGCCTGGAGGTTCCTGTTCCTCTCCCAGGCAGGTTGGGCAGTGCTCAGCCTCTGCTCCCCTAAGGCTCGTCACGTACCTTCAGCTTCTGGAAGCCGCTGTCCCTCCCGCTCCGTCCTGAATGGCTGGCATAGCTCTGACAGGATTGGCCCATGACCCCAGCTGGCATGGAGGGCACGTCAGCCACAGGCTGGATGCCAGGAGTCCTGCCATGCTCTGGCAGCGGCGCATCAGGGCTCAGCCCTCTCCCAGTGGTCGGGAGCTTCGCGGGCAGGTGGGCCCGTCTCCCTGGGAGTGGACACCTGTCCTCAGGCAGGGCCGACTGCACGCCTGTCCCGTCCTCGGGGGACTTTGTCATGTCCACTCTCCTCGTGCCTCACCCCGTCCCTGAGCCTCTCTGCCAGGCCAGTTTTATACCCTGGGCAGGGGCGGGGGCCAGCTGTGACTCCCGCCCCTGGGGTCTTTGTCTCCTCAGGTGGTGCTGTGGGTCGGCCTGGGCGTCCTGGTGGTGAGCACTGTCACCACACTGTCTGTGAGCGAGGAGGTCCCCGAGGACTTGGCAGAGGAAGCCCCTGGCGGCCGGCTTGGAGAGGCCGAGGGTTTGATGAAGGTGGAGGCAGCGCGGCTCTCAGGTATGCCCACCCTGGCTCTCTGAGCCTTCTCAGGGCAAGTGCCCACTGGGTGTCTCCTGGGTCTGGTCCGAGGATTGTGCTTACCTGCTCAGTGGCCTCTGTCCTGTGTGGGTGCAGCCAGCAGGGTGGGGCCACCAGCCTCCCCTGTGAACATGCTCTGTGCACCATGGCTGGCTGTGGCATGGCTGCCTGTGTGCAGGGAACATGGGACAGGAGTGGCCACCTGTATGCAGGGAACATGGGACAGGAGTGGCCGCTGGCCTGGATGCCTGCCACTCGGTGGGCTAGGTGGGGTGTACGTTTCTGAGTGTTGCTCACGTGCTGTTATTCATTTGAGGATGTAAGTTTCTCCAGTTTTCTCCTGGACAGGGTCGGCGATCAGGCCTCAGTTTGGTTTGCTGCTTCAGGTTATTTATTATTTGTTCACCAGGACCGTGGGTGGAGTTAGGACCATGAGCCCTCAGGCAGCTAGCTGCAGGCCGCTTCAGGAGGGGCCCCGTGGCGCCCTGTAACCTCGACCCTCCGTCTGTGGCAGAGTCCCGGCCGCAGCGCCCCATAACCCTGACGCCTCCGTCTGTGGCACAGCCCGGGGTGCAGAGATGCGTGTTTCCTGAGTGTGGCTTTCCAGGTGCAGCCGCAGCTCCGTGGCCTGGGTGGCTACTGCCTCCCTGACCCTCCCAGGCCTAGAGAGGGAGTGCCACACAAGGCGGCCCTGCAGGCAGCAGACCTCCCCAGGCCAGCCCTCCCACGAGCTCTGAGTGGCACCAGGCAGGGATGGGCAGGTAGGTGCTGTCCACGATGACCTTCACGCTGGGGTCTTCTGCCTCTGACGACAGCTGGGTTTATGCATCCACACTGCCCGTGTGCCGACCATATCCAACACACCCCTCTGCAGAGGCCCCGGCTCAGTCAGATTCGCTGGGCGTCATCTGCCCACCACCCGAGGAGCCCCAGTGAGCAGTGCCGGCTCTGGCTGGGGGTCTCAGGCGGCTATGGAGGTGCTGGCCAGTGACTTCCGCCTCCAGGAGGGGCCTCCACTTCTGTAACAGACAGGAGGAGAGGTCCGTTGAAGGGAGCCCCTGGCGTCGGCTGAGTGCGTGGGGACGCCATCTCAGCCGTGACCCTGGGGCTTGTTGTCATCTCTGTTCTGAGCTCCGCACTCCTGTGCCTGGAAAGCTCCTTCCCAGCGTTGTCACCTCATACAAACTGCCCCGAGGGACACTCTCCGAGGGTCTTCCTGGATCCGCTGTGCTCATATTTGCCAAGGATGACTGTTCCCGGATGGCGAAGGTGGGCAGGGGAGCCCTGCCTTCTGGGTTCCGTGCAGCTGGCGGGGCTGTGCTTGGGGACAGTAGGGGTCACCAGAGAAGGAAACTGGGAGTGTTCCGAAGCAGCCGGTGGAGCTGCCTTGCGTTGGATTTGGTAATTCGGACTGGAAAAACGTCCACCTGGAGAGGGAGGTGGGTGTTTTGCTCCCACCTCAGCTGGTGCCCCAGGCTCGGTCCTGCCTGAGCAGGGCCACTTACTGCTGTCCAGGCCTCTGGGCTAGACTGGGCGCTGACATGGGAGCTGTCGGTGGGATTGTGGTAGCCTGGGAGCTAGAGTCCAGTGTGCTGAGACCCTAGCCCTGGGCAGTGAGGGGTGTCGCCCTCGTCCAGCAGGCTGCCGGGGAGTGGACTTCTCGGTGCCAGCCAGCAGGAGGCTCCCCGTCCCCTTAGCACTGCGCCGCCTCTGCCTGCGGCCGGTGCAAGCAGCTGTATCCCGTCATGAGGCTTGTGCGGGCCGTGGGCCTCCGGCTCACCTGGTGCCCTCCGAGGCCACATCTGGTTTCTGTTTCTTCCACGAGGCTGTAACAAAACACATGGCCCCTCTCAGAACCACATGCTGCTTGTTTTTAGCGTGTCTCTGATTTTCCAGCCCCCGGCTCCCCCGTGATAGATGGGCTGCCGGGCTGAGGCTGAGCTGGGGTCGAGGGTCCTGCACCGATGTGCGCTCCCTGTCAGACTGCTGAGCGGAGTTTTATTGGTCTCTTTGATGCTGCAGAGGCCAAAGATGGTACCTGCTGACTGGGTGAGAGTCCTGCGTGGCCCTGGGCTGTGGCCGTGAATCCCATCCTCATGCAGATGTCATGTGTCGTGGTTAGACGCGCACAGCCGGGGCCCCATGCACGGCTTCACAGGCCTTTGTGAGCATGGCTGAGTCCCTGCAAAGGCTCATGAAGACAGTTACCTTGAAAGCTGGGAGTCGGGCCGTTCGTACCTGCTCTCTCTAGCACCCTGAAGGCTAGGGCTGGGTTCGGGTTTTGTGACATCTGTTCCTTTCTTGGAGCTGCAGGTCCCCTGTCCTCCCGGTGCCTGCACGCCCCTCCCTTGCTGCATGGGGCAGCACAGCAGGGCCCGCACCCCTCGGGCACCCTCGTCCCCGCTCCCCCAGCGGGGCAGGCACAGCTGCACTTCCGCTCCGTGGGAAAATGAGGCAGGGGCCTGGCTGAGAAGGGACCCAGAATGCGGTGATGTGGGACAGAAGGAGGGTCTGCTGGGTGTCGACGGGTCGTGTGTGTTGGTGCGGGGGCAGAGATGGCCACAGTTCTGTGTGCTCAGGCCCAAGCGGGGACACACAGCCCCCATGCGTGGAGGCAGGTCACGTGGCTCAACACAGGCCAGAGGCTGCAGGAGGCAGGGCCCTTCGGAATTCGGCCAGGTCCTGCACGGATGGCGGGGTGATCTCAGACAATGGAATCAGCTCCCTGCCATCTCAGGACAGCAACAGAAACATGACACAAAATTATAAGAGGAGGAGAGGCGCGGGGGACACAGCAAAGGAGCTATCAGAAGCCTTCTCCGGGCCGGTACAGCAGCTCACACCTGGAATCTCAGCACTGTGGGAGGCCAGGGCAGGAGGATCACCTGAGGTCAGGAGTTTGAGACCAGCCCAGCCAACATGGTGAAACCCTGTCTCTACTAAAAATACAGAAATTAGCTGGGTATGGTGGCTGGATGCTGAGGTGGGAGGATCGCTTGAGCCTGGAAGGTCAGGGCTGCAGTGAGCCGAGATGGCACCACTGCACTCCGGCCTGGGTGACAGAGTGGGACCCTGTCTCTTAAAAAGAAAACTTTCTCAGTAGGGCATGCAGGAGAGCTCCAGCAGGGTGGCGTTGTCCCCACAGTCAGAGGAGAGAAGGGAGAAGCATGTGGCCCTGTTTCTCACGGACCATTCGGTGCTCTGTGGAAGGAACTGGGAGCCTCTCCCGCCTCCCAGGAGACAGCAGTGGTGCCAGCCACGGCGGAGGCAAAAGCAGTGGTGAGGAGGTTCCGCCTGCCGGAGGCTGTACCAGGGCCTGGCTGTGTTGCCAGCCCAGACACCCGGGTACCAGGAGCCAGATAGCCTGGGATTCCCCCTCACATTCGCAAAGATCAGACCATGAGGTCATTGGTCAGCTGTGTGCTCAAGATTGGGCTGTAAAGCCAAGCCCTTCATGAGTAATACTTTCTCATGGCAGCATCAAGGGAAAGTCAGAAATCAGCTCTTAGAAAAGTTGCCTAAAAGCAGGGACTAGCTTTGAAGTCACGTCAGCGGCCATTGTTCTCACCTCTTGCGAGTGTGGCGCCCTGGGATCCCGAGCCTCCTCCTGAACTTGGGGCGGCACTTGAGTGGATGAGGCACTCCGTCCGTGGGATGCCGGGAGTGTGTTTAAAAGTCACTTCGTCTGGGGGCCGTCTGATGTGACTGTCTCCACCTTTACTGATCACAAAGTGCACAGAGGGAGCCATGGCGGGTCCAAGCCGGCAGCCCGCAGAGCCACCTTGCCGACTCTTGGGGTCCGGACGGCAGCGTCGCTGGCCTCCCCGCCCGTCCGTGCTGGCCTCCGGTCTGGGGTGGACGCCAGCCTTGAATGTGGGGTTGGGGATGCATTAGATGTTGCCCCTTCCCCTCCAGGTCACCACCTCCAAGTCCCCGAGCATGTCTGACTCCAAAGACCGAGCCCTGAGCTGTGGCCTTGGCAGCCTTGGGGCCTCCATGCCCGACTAGACAGCAGGGAGGAAAGTCTGAGGGATCCGCCTCCGCCGTGGCTGAGTTGTGGCCTCTGTCACTTGTTAGGAAGGTGTGTGTTTTTGTGGGTGCCAGGAGCTGGGAACCTGCGTCAGCACCTGGCAGTGAGGAGCCGCTGGGACAGCATAAACACAGCATTCCTGGCACCACGTGCCAATGATGGTCACGGGTCGTGGTTTCTTGTGACTGGAGATGATTTTTTTTTTGAGATGGAGTCTCGCTCTGTCGCCCAGGCTGGAGTGCAGTGGCACGATATTGGCTCACTACAGCCTCCACCTCCCAAGTTCAAGCAATTCTCCCACCTCAGCCTCTGAGTAGCCGAGAATACAGGCGCGGCACCACACCCGGCTAATTTTGTATTTTTGTTGAGACAGGGTTTTGCCAGGATGGTGTTGAACTCCTGACCTCAAGTGATCCTCCTGCCTCGGCCTCTCAAAGTGCTGGGATTACCGGAGTGAGCCATCATGCCTGGCCTGGAGGCGATTTTTGAAGCCAAATGAGGGAGGATGGTTGCCCTGCGGCAGCACCCTCTGCTGGGTGTTCCTGGGGGCGTGCGTGGAGCCATCCCCCTTGGCCGTGGCCGCCTCTACTGTGGCTTAGCCGGGTGTGTTGCTGGCCTTCTAGGAGAAGAAATTCGGATGCCAGAGATCTCCTCCCTCCCGAGGAGCTCAGTCGTGAGCTGGCGGGGGCACTCCCCATACAGGGCCCCTTTCTGTCTTTGCGCAACCTGTGTTCATGTTGAGAGTGGAAGCGGCTGGCAGCACTCGGACGTTTTTCAGTTGCTGATTTTGAAGTTTTGTGTTAGTTTTACTGCAGCCAAGAGGCACTGCCGGCAAACTGTCCCTGACGCAAAGATGGGCTCCGTTGTGGAGAAGGCTGTGTGCATTGCCCGCAGACAGCTGCAGAGCGCCGGGCATGAAGGCTGTGAGTGCAGCCCTTGGCTGGTCAGCTGCTGCAGGCGGCGGGGAGCCAGGACACTCGCACAGCCTTCCTGCAGGTGCCCGTGCAATCCAGCAACACTTGCAGAACGCTGAGAGGCGTGGCGTTCCCGGGAGGTTCTCCAAAGGGACCTCTGGGGCAGCTCCCGGCTCACCGTGCTCACTTCCCGTCCCGCGGCTCCTGCACCCACACAGAGCTCCCCCTGGAGCCCCAGACTGGTCATTCACGGCCTGAGGAACTGAATTTTGCTCCTGCTGAGAAAATGACTGCTCTGAGGCAACTTGTCCTATGACAACGGAGATTTCCTTTGTTTTGCTATATTTTCCCTTCCCCTCCCCAGCCTCCCTTTCTTCACTTAGTAATCCATTGGACAGGCCCTCTTGATTGACAGTTATGGCTTGTTTCCGCATGGGGCCTCTGCCGAAGCCTAATCGTGTGATGGAGACCAGTATGTTTTCACCTGCTCAGGCGGGTGGCCATACGCTTATAGAATTGGTCACTTGGGCCAGGCGCGGTGGCTCACGCATGTAATCCCAGCACTTTGGGAGAATGAGGCGGGTGGATCACTTGAGGTCAGGAGTTTGAGACCAGCCTGGCCAACGTGGTGAAACCCTGTCTCTACTAAAGATACAAAAATCAGCCAGGCATTGTGGCAGGTTCCTGTAATTCCAGCTACAGGAGGCTGAGGCATGAAAATTGCTTGAACCTGGGAGGCAGAGGTTGCAGTGAGCCGAAATTGTGCCACTGCACTCCAGCCTGGGCGACACAGCAGGAGTCCATCTTAAAAAAAAGTTGAATTTGTTACTTTAACTAAACTGTAGAGCCTAGCGTCTGCTTTCTGTTAACTAGTTTATTACCCAGTAGGGTGGTACCTTCCCTCTACAGTTTGTCTAGGACTCTCAACTCCAAACTGACAACAGTGTAACTGTCTGTTTCCCTAGACTAACATATCAGGCTGCTCTTAGAAGGCTGGTAGAAAGCTAAGCTAATTGTCCCCATTTTCTTCTCCTATGGGAGCTGGTGAGGCCCCATCTGCTGCTCTGAACTGGACTCTGTGTGAATTCTTCCTCAGACAGCTTCACCTGAGTCCCCCTCGGCTGCAGCGCCTGTCTCAGTGGACATATGGCCTTGCTGGGACAGGGAGGTGGTGATGGCGGTGGTGGTGGTGGTGACGGAGGTGACGACGATGATGGAGGTGATGGCAGTGACGGTGGAGGTGACGGTGATGTAGGTGATGATTATGGAGGTGGTGGCAATGATGCAGCGATGGTGGTGGGGATGGAGATGGTGGTGGTGATGACGATAATGGAGGTGATGGCAATGATGGTAGGGTTGGCAGTGATGGTGGTGATGGTAGTGGTGATGGTGATGATGATGGTGATGGTGGTAGGGATGGAGATGGTGGTGATGATAGCGGTGATGGTGATGATGGTGACGGTGATGATGATGGTGATGGTGGTAGGGATGGAGATGGTGATGATGGTGACGGTGATGATGATGGTGATGGTGGTAGGGATGGAGATGGTGATGATGGTGATGGTGATGGTGATGATGGTGATGTTGGTGGTAGGGATGGAGATGATGGTGATGATGGTGATGTTGATGGTGGTAGGGATGGAGATGATGGTGATGATAGCGGTGATGGTGGTGGTGGTGGTGGAGGTGACGGTGATGACGGTGATGATGGAGGTGATGGTAATGGAGGGGACTGTGGGAGAGTGGGTCGGTGGGCTCGTGCCGCCATCTGGTGGTAATGACTGAGTATTACATGGAGTCTAGTTCTCCCTGCCCCCAGTTAGGTGTAAATCGCATTTTGACATATTTTTGTTGTGAATACACATGAAAAATGACAGTTTTCTGTGCTACTTAGCTGCTAATGATCGAACAGGAAAAAGAAACTGCTTTGACTCTGCCATTTGGCTGGAAAATATGGTAACAGTCCAGGGAGAGCTGCCCCGCTCCTGGAGCTGCTTGGCAGTGCAGTTCCCTAACTGTGCCCTGCTCCCAGCCCAGGATCCGGTTGTGGCCGTGGCTGAGGATGGCCGGGAGAAGCCGAAGCTGCCGAAGGAGAGAGAGGAGCTGGAGCAGGCCCAGATCAAGGGGCCCGTGGATGTGCCTGGACGGGAAGATGGCAAGGAGGCACCGGAGGAGGCACAGCTCGATCGCCCTGGGCAAGGTGCTGGGCACTGGCTGGGGGTGCGGATGGGGAAGGGCGGCCCCGGGTCCTCCTTTGCAGGCTGGACACCCTGCGGGGTGGCTCTCAGGGCTGTGTGTATCTTTTTCCCTTCAGCCCAGCCTAAGTTCTGGTCCTTTTTGTTTTCTCTGTCTTTCAATTCAGATGAATGTCCTGCCCCTCCCAGAGCAACTTGTTTGCAGCTGCCCCTGTTGAACTTTAGCATCAGCTGTGCTTGGCCAGGCAGCAGGGAGGCCGGCAGGGGAGGTGGTATCTGTTGGCCTGTGTCACACTGTTGGGAGCCAGAACCCAGGGAAGAACCCAGTTCTAATTCCCTGGGAAGGGAAGGAGGGGCCTCAGCCTGACCCCATCTGTCCCCCGTGCCCTTGCAGGGATTGCTGTGCCTGTGGGCGAGGCCCACCGCCACGAGCCTCCTGTTCCTCACGACAAGGTGGTGGTAGATGAAGGCCAAGACCGAGAGGTGCCAGAAGAGAACAAACCTCCATCCAGACACGCGGGCGGAAAGGCTCCAGGGGTCCAGGGCCAGATGGCGCCGCCTCTGCCCGACTCAGAAAGAGAGAAACAAGAGCCGGAGCAGGGAGAGGTTGGGAAGAGGCCTGGACAGGCCCAGGCCTTGGAGGAGGCGGGTGATCTTCCTGAAGATCCCCAGAAAGTTCCAGAAGCAGATGGTCAGCCAGCTGTCCAGCCTGCAAAGGAGGACCTGGGGCCAGGAGACAGGGGCCTGCATCCTCGGCCCCAGGCAGTGCTGTCTGAGCAGCAGAACGGCCTGGCGGTGGGTGGAGGGGAAAAGGCCAAGGGGGGACCGCCGCCAGGCAACGCCGCCGGGGACACAGGGCAGCCCGCAGAGGACAGCGACCACGGTGGGTGTCAGCCTGGGCTCGTGTCGGAAGACACTCCCCTCTTGGGCTGGGGAGGCTGGGCAGGGGCAGCAGAATCGATGGTTCCTCCCTCAGTCCCCAGTCTCTCTCCCTGCACCAGATTAGCATGCAAATGGAGCGGGCCCCGGCAGCTGGTGGGGACAGGAAGAGGCTGGTGGCTGACAGCTACTGTAATATCTGTCACACAGTTGTTTGCCAGACCACTAAATGTCAGGTGCCGCGCTGTGCTCGTGTGTCTGGGCGCACACGGGGGGCGGCGCGGGGGGCGCCTGACAGGTAACACGTTGTTAAGTGCCCGTCTAAGAGCTGCTTAGGACAGTTCTTGCATTTTAATTGCGAAGGCAGTTACCATTGGCTCATTGCCACAAGCCTATGAGGTTGTTAAATATTTTTTTATTGCTTCGCTAGTAATCATCAGGTTGAATATAAACTGTGCTGACGGGGGTGTCACTTTAGAAACATCTGCCACTTCCTTTTGTCCCGCCCTTGCCTTCTGTCCCCCAACCCCCCAAACCCTCCCTTGACTTTCCTGCAAAACCTTCTGAGTCTTCACCGTGTGTGCAGGTGGGAAGCCTCCCCTCCCAGCGGAGAAGCCGGCTCCAGGGCCTGGGCTGCCGCCCGAGCCTCGCGAGCAGAGGGACGTGGAGCGAGCGGGTGGAAACCAGGCGGCCAGCCAGCTGGAGGGTAAGGCCTCCGCCCTACAGCCGCCTGCCTCAGGCCCAGGGAGCGGCAGCCCCCTCCCCCAGCCCTGGGGTGATGCCCAGGTCATCCTCGGGAGCCCTGCCAGGCCCCCCTTCTCTTTCCAGCCGCCTGCTGAGCAGACCCCTCGGAGAGCTTTCTGCTCCCTTCCCATCAGCAGCTTGCTTTCTGGGAACCTTTTATCTGCCTTACTCCCCTTTAAACACCTGCGGCATCGTCACATGGCTTGTGATTACCGTTTTATCTCCCTTGCTCCCCTTTAAAACACCTGCGGCATTGTCACTTGGCTTGTGATTACCATTTCGTCTTTAAAGCAGGTTTGTTAACAGTTTTAACACTCGGAGTATTTAAAGCCAGCCAGGTGTGGGCGTGCCTGCACCCAGATGTGGAGGTTTATTTTAAGGCTGTGCCCCAAGGGGACCCAGTTTGGGGGTGGCTGTGCCCGCCCTGGTCCTAGCATAGCCCTGGCCCAGAGCACTGCTCCCACACCCTCGGGCCTCGGAGCTCGGCTGTGTTCATCTACAGGGATCTGTCACCTGTCCCTCCAGGAAAGCTCCTTACGCCTTTGCTCTCCTGAGAATAAAACTTGCTCTGAATCCTCCTCCAAACTTCTCGCCCCTTGGGTCTCAGCTGTTGGCTTTTTGCGACCCCTCCTTGTGGCCTCATGCAGTTGGGTAGCAGCAGCCCCGTCTGTGAGCCTGCTGGGGACAGGCTTCTGTGCCATGTCCTCTCCCAGGCTAGGGGTCCACCCGCCCTCTGAGGGTGTGTGGCTGGGCCCCCGCTCACCAAAAGTCACGTGCATTTGGTGGCAGTGTCCAAGCCTTCTCTCAAGATGGTCAACCCTGCCCCATGCGGGGTCCACGTGTGCCTCAGCATTGAGAGGGTCTGTTCCAGGGATCTGTGTGGGGGTCGCAGGGCACAGCCGCTCCAGCCTCCTGTGCCAAGCCCCTGGGAGCAGGTGTGGGAGCTCCGGGCCAGCCCTGGCACGGGCACCTCCCAGGATGTTCGTAAGACACACGCTTCCTGCCCGCGCATCTTGCCCTGTGGCCTCAGGACAGCCGGTCCGAGGGAGGGCAGGTGCAGCAGCCACGTCCCAGTCGCTGCGGCCTGGCTTCTCCAGGTGCAGCTCGCCCTCCTTGCACCTGCAGCGCGGAAGGCAGAGCCAAAAGGCGCCCCCTGGGCTCCCGGAGCTCTGAGCCACTTCAGGAGTTCGGGCATGTGGGGTTTTGTCTCCGGTTTTAGTCTGGCCATGTTTGTTGGTTCCAATTCCTATGCTCTGTTACCTGAACCTGTTTGATTCTTTTGATTTTCTTCTTTCTGAAAAAGACTTTTCACGGTTTCCTATTCTGCCTTTCTTCCGTATGCCTCTCAACGGGACGAGCAGCTGAAATTAAAAAGATAGTAGCAGGTACGAACCCAAAGGAGTGTGCTGAAGTCAAGAGCCTGTCTGGCGGGCCACAGACCTGAGCGCAGCCCCTCGGTGGCACACCTGCCCCAGGGACAGCCCTGCATGGGGACACGTGTCAGGCCCCAGACCTGCGCACGCACCCAGGCTCAGCCACAGCCCCTCAGGCAGGGTCCCGATGCCCACTCTGCTCCCTTGTGTTACAAATGCCGTGGTCCTTCTCAGCCCTGCTGTGGCCTTGCCTGTCATCAGAGGGCAGCTGGTCTCTGCAAGCGTCTGAGTGCAGGCTGCTTAGGGCACCAGCCAAGGGGGGACGCTGCCTGCACTGCTGCCTCATGGGCCACCTTGACAGATCTGCATGGGTCTCAACAGGTGGGTGGCTTCGTGCCTTCTGCAGCCCAGTCCCCGTGGTCTTGGTGGGCTCTGGCTGTAGGAACAGCCTGTCTCCTCCACGGTGCTTCACATGTGTCCCACGTGGCTTCTGGCTGGACGTGGCATGGCTCCTTCCCCCCTCCCCCTCTTTTTTCCTCCTCTTCCTCTTCCTTCCTCCCTCCTCTTCCCTCCTCCCTCCTTCTCCCTCCTCTTCTCTCCTCCCTCCTCTTCCCTCCTCCCTCCTCTTCCCTCCCTCCTTCTCCCTCCCTCCTTCTCCCTCCTCTTCCCTCCCTCCTTCATCCTCCTCTTCCCTCCCTCCTGCTCCTCTTCCCTCCCTCCTCCTCCTCTTCCCTCCTTCCTCCTCTTCCCTCCTTCCTCCTCTTCCCTCCTTCCTCCTCTTCCCTCCTTCCTCCTCTTCCCTCCTTCCTCCTCCTCCCTCCTCCTCTTCCCCCACCTTCCTTCTCCCTCCTCCTCTTTCTCCCTCCCTCCTCCCCCTCCCCCTCCTCCCTTCTGTCTCCTCTTTCCTCCTCTTCCCAGCACCAGGCCCAGGGCTAGTCCTTTGAGGAGCAAGTGAGGCCATGGTGCCTGCTCTTTCGGAACCCTGCCCTGGAGTATGGGGAGGTGTCACCAGCACATGGGATCTCGTCCTTGTACCATTGACATTCCGTGGTTGAGCCCCGCAGCACCCAGGGCGAGCACGTGGCCCACGGCCGAGGTGGCTGGTCTGCCACCTGCACTTCCTCCTGTGAAAGGAGGTGTGCGGGAGACCTGCTCTGCCCGTCATGGCCTTTCCCTGCAGGCAGGCGTCTGGCCCGGGGTGCTAGCAGGGAGCAGGGGCTGCTGCTTGAGGGCCGGCCCCATGGCCCTGATCTCCTTGGAGCCAGCCCTGTCCCCCACATCCAGGGGTCTGGGCGAGGCCCAGGGCTGCGTTCCTGGGAGAATGCTGACCCTGCACTTCTCTGGCTGGTCATGGTGTCACCACTGGGGAGGCTGGGCCGGCACGTCAGTCTATGCCTGGCATGCAGGGCCGTCCCTGAGATATTTGCTCTCACCACTCACAAAACATCCTTCTCGCTCCTGGATTGAACTTTTATGCCTCACAGCCCTAACCCATCATTTTTCAAAGCTTCCTATAATAATTTGAAAACATCTTGTAAAAATGACATAAGTCACAGCCGCTTGCGGCAAATAACTGGCCAGTGTTGAAGCGAGTCAGACCGGGTGCTCCTGCACCAAGTGTGTGCCAGCCGTAACCCGGGCAGGCCTGTCCTCTGGCCCTTGCTGCAGGCACCAGCTCTTAACACGGGGTGCACTGGGGCTCCCCATCACGCAGGACCTGCCCAGAATTTCCACAGTGGATGGTGTTCAGGAGCGGTGGTTAGGATGGCTGGCGGGGGCCTCACTGACGCTCCAGCTCCCATGCTCCCCTTAGAAGACAGCTTTTGGCCGGGTGCGGTGGCTCATGCCTGTAATCCCAGCACTTTGCGAGGCTGAGGTGTGCGAATCACGAGGTCAGGAGATCAAGACCATCCTGGCTAACACGGTGAAACCCCATCTCTACTAAAAATACAAAACATTAGCCGGGCGCGGTGGCGGGCGTCTGTAGTCCCAGCTACTCGGGAGGCTGAGGCAGAAGAATGGCGTGAACCCGGGAGGCGGAGCTTGCAGTGAGCTGAGATCGCGCCACTGCACTCCAGCCTGGGTGACAGAGTGAGACTCCCGTCTCAAAAAAAAAAAAAAAAAAAAAAAAGACAGCTTTTGTTTGTTTTTAAAATTCTCATCTCGGAGGAAACTTTCTAGAAGTACCAATATTCTTTTCAAAACATAGCTTACAGTTTTTCTTTTCTTTTTTTCTTTTTTGAGACAGGGTCTTGCTCTGTTGCCCAGGCTGGAGTGCAGTGGTGTGATCACGGCTCACTGCAGCCTCGACCTCCTGGGCTCAAATGATCCTCTGGCCTCTGCCCCCCGAGTAGCTGGGAGTACAGACGCCTCTCACCATACCCTGATCATTTTTATTTTTTTGTTTTTTTTGTTTTTGTGGAGATGGGGGTCTTGCTATGTTTCCCAGGCTGGTCTCTAACTCCTGGGCTCAAGCGATCTGCCTGCCTCCGCCTCCCAAATTGCTGGGATTACAGGCGTGAGCCGCCGTGCCCAGGCTTATTTTCTTACGTGCTTGTCCTAGAACAACTGAATGTGTAAAGTGGAAAAAACAAAAACAAAACCCCACCCAGCCCAGATAACCATCTCTGACATTCTGGCACATTCCTTTTGACTGTTGCTCTGGACACTCACTTCCATGGGCAACGAGCAGGCTTGCTGGGGTCCTGCCGGGTGCGCCTGGGGCACAGCCAGTGGGAGAACTGATGCGGCACAGTGGCTGGCTGTGCGGGAGAGGCCATCCCGGGTGGGCTTCCAGGGGCAGTCAGGGCGCAGCCTCTCCCGGGCCCTCAGGCCTGCGTGCATCACTGAGCTGTCCGGGCTTCACGGTCACAGTCATGATGGGTGTCACCAGTGGCCAGTGTTCGGGCACACTCCCTGCAGGTGACCTGTGCGTTGCCTTGCTGTGGGCCGCGCCGTCCCTGGCCCAGCACGGTGCATGAGCAGCCCGGGCACTCTGACTGTGTGCTTTCCAAACCCAGAAGCTGGCAGGGCGGAGATGCTGGACCACGCCGTCCTGCTTCAGGTGATCAAAGAACAGCAGGTGCAGCAAAAGCGCTTGCTGGACCAGCAGGAGAAGCTGCTGGCGGTGATCGAGGAGCAGCACAAGGAGATCCACCAGCAGAGGCAGGAGGACGAGGAGGATAAACCCAGGCAGGGTAGGCCGGGCTGGCGGATGGAGTGGGGTGGGGCCAGGCAGGGGGTCTCCTGCTGTCCTCATGCGGCTGGGTCTGAGGCTCGGTGGCCTCTAGACCTGAGCGTGAGTCTGGTTTTGGTTCCCAATGCTGTTGTTGCTGGTTCTTCTGAGCCCCTCCACTGGCAGCCTGTGTACAGTGCTGTGGCTAAATTGATGACCGACTTCATTTGCAGTGGAGGTGCATCAAGAGCCCGGGGCAGCGGTGCCCAGAGGCCAGGAGGCCCCTGAAGGCAAGGCCAGGGAGACGGTGGAGAATCTGCCTCCCCTGCCTTTGGACCCTGTCCTCAGAGCTCCTGGGGGCCGCCCTGCTCCATCCCAGGACCTTAACCAGCGCTCCCTGGAGCACTCTGAGGGGCCTGTGGGCAGAGACCCTGCTGGCCCTCCTGACGGCGGCCCTGACACAGAGCCTCGGGCAGCCCAGGCCAAGCTGAGAGATGGCCAGAAGGATGCCGCCCCCAGGGCAGCTGGCACTGTGAAGGAGCTCCCCAAGGGCCCGGAGCAGGTGCCCGTGCCAGACCCCGCCAGGGAAGCCGGGGGCCCAGAGGAGCGCCTCGCAGAGGAATTCCCTGGGCAAAGTCAGGACGTTACTGGCGGTTCCCAAGACAGGAAAAAACCTGGGAAGGAGGTGGCAGCCACTGGCACCAGCATTCTGAAGGAAGCCAACTGGCTCGTGGCAGGGCCAGGAGCAGAGACGGGGGACCCTCGCATGAAGCCCAAGCAAGTGAGCCGAGACCTGGGCCTTGCAGCGGACCTGCCCGGTGGGGCGGAAGGAGCAGCTGCACAGCCCCAGGCTGTGTTACGCCAGCCGGAACTGCGGGTCATCTCTGATGGCGAGCAGGGTGGACAGCAGGGCCACCGGCTGGACCATGGCGGTCACCTGGAGATGAGAAAGGCCCGCGGGGGGGACCATGTGCCTGTGTCCCACGAGCAGCCGAGAGGCGGGGAGGACGCTGCTGTCCAGGAGCCCAGGCAGAGGCCAGAGCCAGAGCTGGGGCTCAAACGAGCTGTCCCGGGGGGCCAGAGGCCGGACAATGCCAAGCCCAACCGGGACCTGAAACTGCAGGCTGGCTCCGACCTCCGGAGGCGACGGCGGGACCTTGGCCCTCATGCAGAGGGTCAGCTGGCCCCGAGGGATGGGGTCATCATTGGCCTTAACCCCCTGCCTGATGTCCAGGTGAACGACCTCCGTGGCGCCCTGGATGCCCAGCTCCGCCAGGCTGCGGGGGGAGCTCTGCAGGTGGTCCACAGCCGGCAGCTTAGACAGGCGCCTGGGCCTCCAGAGGAGTCCTAGCACCTGCTGGCCATGAGGGCCACGCCAGCCACTGCCCTCCTCGGCCAGCAGCAGGTCTGTCTCAGCCGCATCCCAGCCAAACTCTGGAGGTCACACTCGCCTCTCCCCAGGGTTTCATGTCTGAGGCCCTCACCAAGTGTGAGTGACAGTATAAAAGATTCACTGTGGCATCGTTTCCAGAATGTTCTTGCTGTCGTTCTGTTGCAGCTCTTAGTCTGAGGTCCTCTGACCTCTAGACTCTGAGCTCACTCCAGCCTGTGAGGAGAAACGGCCTCCGCTGCGAGCTGGCTGGTGCACTCCCAGGCTCAGGCTGGGGAGCTGCTGCGTCTGTGGTCAGGCCTCCTGCTCCTGCCAGGGAGCACGCGTGGTCTTCGGGTTGAGCTCGGCCGTGCGTGGAGGTGCGCATGGCTGCTCATGGTCCCAACACAGGCTACTGTGAGAGCCAGCATCCAACCCCACGCTTGCAGTGACTCAGAATGATAATTATTATGACTGTTTATCGATGCTTCCCACAGTGTGGTAGAAAGTCTTGAATAAACACTTTTGCCTTCACCCAGCCTCGGTGGATGCTGTTTGGTGTCCAGGAAGCACAGGGAGCAGGGGCCAGACAAGCCGGGTGTCCAGGGGCACTGGCCGGTGCCGCCCTTTGCACTCCTCATGGTTGGCCCAGCCCTCCATTGTCTGTGTTTTTCAAAATCCAATTGTGGCTTTTTTTAAAAAGTAAAAAACACCACTGATAACCTGATTAGTGAAGTTGGTCCTGGGGGAGTGACTGAAAGGAAAGCCTGAGGCCGGCTCAGGATTCCAGATGTGTAAAGCAGAGGCCAGAGGTCATGAGGGAACGGCGCCATGACCTGAGCGTCGCAGTGACTGGACACTAGACGCAGCACAGCCCCAGAGAGACCCTGTGAGCAGGCAGAGCCGCCTGGTGCCAGGAGGTGGTCCAGCCCCCAGGGCCAGGCTGACGGGCGTGCTGCCTCGTGACCAGGACACGCTCCACAGCCCTCTCACCTGGCGGGAGAGAGGAGGTGCTGCTGTGTCCACAGCATCCGAGTCTGCTTTGGCTCGTCCTCTGGGGAGCTTGCGCCCCAACCCTGCCACGAAACCCTGCCACGAAGGGCAGAGGACCAGGGCCTGGGTCTGGGGGAGGCCCGTGTTGGCGAAGGGTCCCTGCATGGAGGGCCGGCCTCAGCCTCTGGTGGTGTCTTCCTGCACCTTTTGATATCCTTTTGGCTCTTTATTATAGTTTCTTCCCTTGAAGGATGTCACTGGGCAGCCTGAAGACTGGAAATTTTTTTTCTTTTGAGACGGAGTCTCGCTCTGTCACCCAGGCTGGAGTGCAGTGGTGTGATCTCGGCTCACTGCAAGCTCCGCCTCCCGGGTTCACGCCATTCTCCTGCCTCAGCCTCCCGAGTAGCTGGGACTACAGGCGCCCGCCACCACGCCCGGCTAATTTTTTTTTCCGTATTTTTAGTAGAGACTGGGTTTCACCATGTTGGTCAGGCTGGTCTCGAACTCCTGACCTTGTGATCCACCCGCCTCAGCCTACCAAAGTGCTAGGATTGCAGACTTGAGCCACTGCACCTGGCCTGAAGACTGGAAATTAACTAGAGGGAAGCTTCTGGAGGCTGAGTGGTGACTCCTGCCGAGCCTTGGGGGCTGGGAGGGGGCCGGGAGGAGGCTGGGAGGGGGTTGCGGGGCCAGGGGCTGGGAGGGGGCTGGGAGGAGGCTGGGAGGGGGCTGTGGGGCCAGGGGCACCACTCAGCATTTGGGAGGTGCCCCGCCAAGGGGGTTCAGTCCTGGTCATTTCTGTCCTTCATTCTCAATTAAAACCAGTTCCAAATGAACCACTGCTCAGTGGTAAAACTCCTTCTGGACGTTCCCCTTGGATTGGAACTCCATTTGTTAAATTGCTCAGAGTGGGATTTTCATTCCGGCTGGATTTCCCCAAATATCTTACCGTGACCCAGTTTTCTTTTCCTTCTCTGGAGGTTATTCCACCCTCCCCGCTTTCTGTTGCTGGAGCGGGCTGCCCTTGGCCGGCACAGAGAGGCATCCATGACGGCCGTGCCTCTGCTGTCGCCCACCCCGCTGCACCCCGGAGTCCCTGCACCCCCAGCCACAGACAGGGTCACCTGCTCCCATGCACATGTGGTTCCTTATTCCTTCCCACCCCCACCCCCCAGCCCAGGTGGCAGCCCCTCAGGGAAGGAAAGAGAAACTTCTTTCCCCAGAAGCCTCGCAGACCCCTGGGTGGGGCTTCTCAGAATGTTACAGAGGGGCCCCGGGGCCAGGCTGCGCTTTCTGACGACAGGCTGCTCCTGTCTGGTCAGTCCTGGTGCAGGTCGCTGGGTTGTGGAGTCTGCCTCTGGGGGCTCAGTTCCAGAGCAGGGATAGCGCTGTCCCGTCGCCGGTGTGTACTTCTGCGCGGGAACAGACTTGCGCAGCACGCTGGCCCAGGGACGGATTGAGCGGAGCTGAGCCCTCAAAGAACTTTGGGTATCTCCTGAGAGCCAAGGCATTTGCTGTGGTTTGATGTGTCCCCTCCAAAATTCAGGAGTTGCCTAAGTGACAGTATCAAGAGGTGACTAGGCCGAGGGCTCCTTCCTCGCTCGTACGATTAAGAGCCTTATAAAAGAGGCTGCACCTCCGCCTTCTGCAGTGTGAGGACACGGCACAAAGGCCCTCCCCAGACACCAGTACCAATGCCTGGATCTCGGGCTTCGCAGCCTGCAGAGCTGTGAAAAATCAGGCCGTTCTTTGTAAATCACCCAGTCTCAGGTGCTTTGTTAGGGCAGCAGGGACGGCCCAAGGGCACCTGAAGCAGTTAGAGCTCCACACTGTCCCTGCGGTGCGAAAACAGCAGAACCCCCACAACCTCCCCTCCCCCTCCCCCCCGCCTCCCCCCCCCCCACCCGCCCAGCTTCCTGAGCTGTCAATCGATGTGGTGCTGAAATCCAGTCACTCAGGGAGGAAGGGCAGAGCAAAGGTGGGAGGTTTGCAAGGAAATTTGGGGTGGCAGAAAAGAGGGTGTACCCCGGAGGCCTGAGAGCTGAGTTTGGAGGTGTGGGCCACGCTGGGCCACAGGAAGTGGCAGGTCTGTCACCACCTCACACACAGGGTGAAGGACAGCGAGGGGGAGTGCTGGCAAGACAGGTCTGTGGGTGGGATGGGAGGCTGGATTTGGAGGGAGAAGATGCAGGAAGCTCTGCCAATGAGCTGCCAGAGAACGGAGAGGGCGTGACAGGGCTAAGAAAAGGACGTCTGCACACTGAGGCTCGCTCATGGATGAGTGCTGGGCACAAGAAGGAGGAAGGCAGGGGTGGGGGGCAGCCGGCCCTGCACGCTGGGGAGGCGGGTCGGGTGGTTTGTGCCAGCGCAGGGCATCTGAGTCTGGCATGCACAGGGATGGACTGCGGTGGCTTGACCCCAGGAGTCTGGTCTGGATTTCCGTGGTTCCCAAGATGTGACACTATCCTGGCCCTTGGGACAAAATCCAGCACTCTGGCCTGGCTCCTGCAGACCCACCACCCAGATCAGACCCTTAGGGGAAACCAGGTTAATTCTGGGGCAGCATCTGGAGGAGGAAACATGGAGGAACAGACCTCAGCCCACGGGGTCAGCCGCTAGCACGGGCCTGGGGGCAGGCGCAGGCTGCAGCCCCAGGAAAGTGCAGCCTCTGCACCCCGGAGCAGGGGGGCTCTCAAAGCAGTCCCCGCCACGCCCTGCAGGTGGCGCTCAGGCCCCATGGACTCCGGGGTCTCACCATCAACAAGTGCCCGGGCAGAGTCAGGATGTGGCCCTTCTCACCTTAGTTTTAGGTCAAGTGATGTGATAGGGAGGGGGAACGAGAGGGCAGGCGCCATCGGTGAAGTACCTGGGCTGCCGAGGGGGCGACCAACCCCACACAGGAGGGGCACTGGCTGCTGGTGCTCTACGCAGGCCCCTCTCGGAGACTCAGGCCCTTTTGTGAAGAGCCTCCGCCCTGCCCCGTGTCCAGGAAAGCCACCTGCGAGGACCCTGCCCCATGGAGTGTCCCCTCGTGGTGCTGACGTCCTTGTCTTTGGTGTGTGCTGTATACCCACAGCAAGGTCTGCAGGCTTCACCAGATTCACATTAAATACCTTAGTGAGAGTGTTTTAAAACGGGGACCTTGAGGCAGGGTGTCCCCAAGTCCCAGCCCTGCCAGCTTTGGGGGAAAGGCTCTGGGCCCCATTCCATCTCAGAGAGGCCAAGACCCACATGTTGCAGTCTGCACACAGTAAGCCCCAGGCTGCAGGATTTGACCGAGTCTTTATCGTGGCTTCCGTTACATCTTATTCTAACTCAGGTTTACGGACACAATGCTGGAAAACCAATTCCTGCTCTACCCACGCCTCAACTTGTTAAGAAAAAACAGGATCTAACACCGAGGAATGTCACATCTTCGCCATTCCCACTTCCTTTCTGCCCTAGGCATTCGATATGTGCCACCAGGGGCCATCAGGACTAGGGCTCTGCACCCATGGCAGCAGACAGGTGTGAAGCTCAGAGTCCCTCCTAACAGCCTCCCTCCAGCGTCTTCTTGGCCTGCAAGATAAAGTGTTTTGTCTGAATGGCTTGCTTCCAAGTTAGATACGCCTCAAAAGCAAGCTACCACACCACACGTTGTGTTCTACCAAATACCTTACAGAGAACTTGGGTGCTGGCATATGGTGGGGGCTCGACTGGTTGGAGCCTGGGGCCCCATGGGCAGGTTCTCTGGGTCACTTGTCCACGGGACAAGGGCCTCATGACACTATCACAGAACTCACTGCTGCCCCCTCCTCTGAGCCCCCACGAGATGCCACATTTGGTCTCAAGCTCTCATAGAGGGAAAGCAGGAGCCCCCCCCCTTTTTTTTTTTTTGAGATGCAGTCTCACTTTGTTGCCTAGGCTGGAGTACAGCAGCGTGATCTCGGCTCACTGCAACCTCCACCTCCCAGGTTCAAGTGATCTTCCCACCTCAGCCTCCCAAGTAACTGGGACTACACCACCATGCCTGGCTAATTTTTTTTTTCTTTTTTTTTGTAGAGACGGGGTCTCCATATGTTGCCCAGGCTGGTCTCAAACTTCTAGGCCTAAGCAATCCACCCACCTCAGCCTCCCAAAGCGGTAGGATTACAGGCACGCGCCACCACACCCAGCAAAAAGTGCAACTTCTGATGAGTTGTCCACCCCTGGATCCAAGGCTGCTGGGGCCGGGTAGGGATGAAGGCCGTGGAACTCTTGTTCAAATACCCTTTCTCTGGTCCAAATCTCCGGATTAACAGCTCCCAGTAAACAGAGTCAGCACTGGCATCAAGGCCTACCCAGATACACTGAGGTGGTACCCGGTGCGGCTGACACTTAGGGAACCAGCCTCAGAATGACTTAAAGCCCCACGGGCAAGAAGCCCTATCGTGCCAGTTGTGAGGGTGGCTGGGGGTTCCCCGCAGGACACGTGCTGAAGGAATCCACCACTGCAGGTGCACAGGGGCTGCAAGTGCCAGGGAGGTGAAGACCCGGAAGGTGCTGGGCACTTTCCGGGAGTCCTGTGTTGGGTCAATCCTGGCATGACACCCCCCGGCGGCAGTGCTAACACGAAAGCTTACGCGTTTTACAAGGCGCTTTTTTGCACACATCTCCCATCCTTTCTGAGGTTGGTGCCAGTCCCGCTTTACAAACATGCAGGGACAAGCCCAGGACGGCCGAGGTTTCGCGGGCTCGTCGATGGCTCGGTGATTTTGTCAGCCGGCGTCTAAAGCACGCGGCAGGCGCTCAAACCTTGAACCAACGGGAAAGCAAAGGAAAGCCGGGGCCCGCTGGCTCTTGGAGGGGAAGGGCTGGGAAGGGGGGAAGGGGCCCGCGCCCACCTACCGCAGCGGCGAAGCAGCTCCGCAGGGCCTCGAACTCCCGCGCGCAGAAGTCCTTACTCAGGCGGCCGCCCGGGGCCGTGGAGGCCTGCACGCACCTGCCGTACGCCGCGGCCTGCGGAAAGGACGGGCGTGGGTCGTGGGGTCCCCTGACCCCGTCACCGTCCTCCCTCCCAGCCACCTCCCCGCGCGGCTCCTCCTGCCCCGCAGCACTGGCCCGCCCGCGGCTCCTCACCTCGGCCCCGCAGGCGGCCAGCCGCTCGGGGAAGGCGCGGAGGCGGCTTCGCACGCGGCCCCACACCGCTCCGTTAGCCGACATGAGCGGCTATTCCCAGCCCCCTGGAGGCCGCCATCTTAGGTCCGTCCTCTTCCGGTGTCAAACAGCTTGATAGGTCGGCGCTTCCGCCCATAACCTTTCCTGAACTTCTTAATTGGCCAGGCTTTGCCTGGCCTCGAGCCCCCGCAATTGGCTCTTGTCCTAGTCTGTCTGTGCTCTGGGACTTCGGATTGGCCTAGGCTCCAATTGTTTACGAAGCCAACCTCAGGGCCCGCCCTACCGTGAGGGATTGGCCGGCGGACCCAGACCCGCGCAGTGATTGGAGGGCCCGGGCCTGGCGGAAGCGGGGCAGACCGGGAGGGGACCTGGATCATGGCTGCCGCGCCGCCGCTACGGGACCGCCTGAGCTTTCTACACCGGGTGAGTGAGGGCGGTCCGCCCGGGCCCCGGTCCCACGGCTCCTCTCGAGCGCCGCATTCCCCGGACTCGCCCCGGGCCGGAGCCATTGACCTTGCGTCTCCGCGCCGGGTAGCTGCTCCTGGCCCCTTCGCCCGCGCCGACGCCCCTGAGCTGCCCGCCCGCCGCGCCGTCCCGGGGCCTTCCAAGCCGGGCCTTCCAAGCCGGACCCGCCGAGCGCAAGGGCGATGGGCACAGCCAGACCCTGGGGGAACGAACAGGCCTCGGCCAGCATTCAGTGGCCTCCGACGGGAGGGAAGGAGCGGCGGACCCGGTGGACGTGGAGCCGCTGTGTCCGTGCTGCTGGCGCCCAGGTGGGCTGGCAGCCCGCCGTCCTCCCTGACGGTGGCGTTTCAGAGGACTCCGGTCCTGGAGAGGCACCCCTGGGTTGCAGAGAACACAGACGTCTCGAAGGGACAGAGAAGGACGCACCATTGTAAGCCCCTCTTAGTAAACCCTCTGAGAAGTAGAGGCCGGGGCGAGTTCCCAGGTGTCGTCCTGAGCAAACTGCCCTCTTTTGTCAGCCCTGAGCTTTCCTGGGCTGGACCTCAGAGGGGGCTGGGTGGTCCCAGGGCGCGACCTTGGGCTGCCAGAAGCCACGCTAGGGTTGGTCAAGGCTCTCAGTGCAAGGTTTCGACATAGTCGTTCTGTGCTGCGTTCTGCAGTTGTCAGCTGTCACCTGCAAACCTCAGCAGCTCCCCTTAGGGCGTGGTGGGCAAACAGTGTCAGTGATGCGTGTCCACAGCCTCGGGAAACACTTCAGGTCCACGTTTTCGTATGTTGTCACTAGATCTCGGCCCTTCCGACCGAAAGGCTTCGGCACCTCACGCGGTGGGTCCCATGCTTGTCCTGTTAAATACTCTTGAACTCTATTCTGTCCTGATACTGAATAATGCAAGAATGGGTGGTTCCAGTTTTCATCCCTATAAACCGTACATCTTTGTGCCAGTAAGTAAGCATGAAACAAATAAGTACGTCTGCGCTAAGCGAACGTAAAACACACGACATCAGTCGGTTCTCGGGGAGCGATGGAGCTAGTCACGCTGAGCGGCTGTCACTCTGCCATTCCGGCCTCTGGGGAGGTGGAACGATTCATAGTCCCCTGTGTGGAAAAGGGGCTTGCCTGGGCCTTGTTTGGCTTTGCTAGTCAGTAGGTAGGTACAGGAGAGGTACCTTCAAATAGCCTTACATGCTGGTAAGTGCAGGGAGGCTGGGGGCTGTGTCCCTTCTTAACCCAAGTGGCGCAGCTCCTCCGTGGAGAACCACCATTGATTTGCCTCTTCTCCGAGGCTGTTCATCCCTGACTGTTGAGAGAGGACCCTGCTGCAGCCTCCCTGTGGCCAGTAGCACAGTTCTCATCCCTTCCCAGTCCTCTCTCCGGCCATGTCAACAGTGAGAGGTGGGTCGTTTCCATCCCCTTTGGGGGGCTGCGGATTCACCCCTGTGGGAAATGGCACCTCATCATGGTAGGGGCTCTTGTTCCCTTTCAGCTCCCGATTCTCCTGAAGGGGACGTCCGATGATGATGTCCCGTGTCCGGGCTACCTGTTTGAAGAGATTGCTAGTATCCTTCCTTGATGTCCCCGTGTAGTGGAAAGAGCGGATGGCAGGGTCCCAGAGTGGTGCAAAGGGTTCCTGGGGATTCTGCTGTCCCTAGGGGGATGCACGGCTCCTTTATTATTGTAACCAGGCATGGGTGGGGTCTGAAGGCTGCAATACTGATGACACAGGGGACCCTAGAAGCCCAGGTGCTCCTGATGGCAGAGCCTCCAGTAGGCGCCTCCAGGGAGCGTGAACTGAGAGGCCCCATGGCCTGGTCTCCCTGCGGCCTGGCGCAGCCCTCATCATCTCGCCCTTCCCTAACCCGAGCGTGCCGCAGAAATCTCCCACGAGTCTCCGGGCAGCAGCCAGTGCCTGCTGGAGTACCTCCTGAGCCGCCTGCACAGCAGCTCCGGCCACGGGAAGCTCAAGGTGAGCCCCTGGGTGGTCAAGGGTCAGGCCTGAGGCCCGGCCCACGGTGGTGAGGATGGAGGAGCAGACGAGCGGCCCAGGGTGGCAGGCAGCTCTGTGCCCTTGGGGTGCCCCCGGGCCCTGCCCTGGGTGTCCCGTGTCCGGCCTGCCCAGCACTGCTGACCGCCCCACTCCCCAGGTGCTGAAGATCCTGCTCTATCTGTGCAGCCACGGCTCCTCCTTCTTCCTGCTCATCCTCAAACGCAACTCTGCCTTCATCCAGGAAGCTGCAGGTACAGGGGCCGCGCACGCGCTCAGGAAGAGCCAGGGCTTTGGAGAATGGGGGAGGGTGGCGGATCCTCCAGGTTTGAGAAGGAAGACTTCAGCCAGAGCCCTCACCTGGGCCGGGTCCCGATCAAAGCCCCGCCTTGCTGATCCTGGCCCATCTCTGGCCTCTCCACCTGCTGCCCACCCTCACCCCAGCTGGCCGGCTCGGCCTCCCCTGACGCGCCCTGCCCCCTCCCTCCGCTGGGTCCTCCGTGCCTCCTATGCGTCCCTGGGCCTTTGGCTGCGTCTGTCCCTGCGCTTGCTGCCCCGGGTGCCAGTTTGTTTCTCTGTGTGCCCCACGGGTCTTCCCCCTCCATCCCAGTGCCCACACATAGCAGACTCAGTGCCTGTTCACACATCCTTCCCAGGCTGTGGGTTCCCCTTCTGGGGCTGCTCCTCGGAGCCCAAGACAGAGTGAGGCCATGGGAGGGCGGAGCTGGGAGGCAGGAGAGGCGGGGCCCCGGCCAGTCGGTCTGTCCAGGCAGAAGATGGGTCTGGGGGAGCTGTCCCCGCAGGCTTGGGGGCAGTCCCATGTGCCTCTGCCTAATGAGGACTTGTGGGGGCTTGGCCTGAGATCTTCCATGGGGTGGAGGGAGGCCTGGCTCCAGGTGGTCACTGGGCGCACCATGTCTGGACCCCACCCCAGCCCCTGAGTGGGGAATTCTGGGGAGGGAGACTGAGTCTGTCTCGTGCCACTGCTTGCTTGTGGAGACCTCAGGGTGTACCATCCACTGGGCTCACCCCAAAACCGGTGTCGAAACCAGTGTTGTCCCACTTTATGGCAAGTGGGCATGCAGCTCTAGGTGTTCCGCAGGGGCCAGTGCCCTGGGCCGCCATAGACAGTTGTGACACATGACTTAGGCAGTAGATGCCCCTGAGGGGACGGCAGTGCGGGGGTGCTCTCGCCATCCTCACAGAGCTCCTCACAGCTTTGGGGCCAAGGCAGCACCAGCCATTTATCCTCACCATTCAGCGGGCCAGAGGGCCCCGGGCTCCAGGCCACTCCCGTGGCTGTGGTTGGTGCATGTACGTCGTGGCCTCAGTGGTCTCGGGGACACGCCCTGGGGTGGGGGCTGCAGCAGGTAGGGGGATGGGGCACAGCAGGACCTGAGGATGGGAAAGGCTCTTCTTCAGACCCTGGGTTCTTGTCGGCACCAGAGTCTCTCCTGTGCAGAGGCAGCTATGGATGATGGCTGTTGCCTGCCGTGCCTGGACACTGGCCCTGGGTGACACACAGGCTGTGGGAGGTGTCAGGACAGGCCCTGTGAGGAAAGTGGGTGCCAGATGCCACACGTGAGAGACGGGGCGCCCTGCTCCAGGTGGTGGGTGTGCAGTGAGGATGGCCTGCCCCACGCGCGCAGAGCGTCAGAAAGAGGAAAGAAAACGCAGCTGGCAGTTACAGACAGATTTTCTTTAGTTAAAACCTGAGAGGCACCCCCAGCCGATTGCGGTCAGGAGCACTTTATCTTACAGACTGAATGTTGGTTTTAGGATGAGAGGGCTTATCAGAAGCTCGGAATGTTTATGTGTGTGGAGAAGTTTATGGCAGGGTTGGAAGGAGGGAAGGTTATCTTGGGGCAGGCATCTTTTCAGCCTGGAGGTGGGTTTTCTCGAAGCTGGCATCTTCCCGGCTGGAGAAGGGTTATCTTGGGGCTAGCATGTCTCTGGTTGGGGAGGAGTTTGGAATGTTTCTGGTTGGAGATGTTATTTGTGGTTCATGGTCGTGCTGACCTTAGCCATTAGGCTGATGCCCTATGGATTTAGGCAGTTTTTGGTTAAGGTGAACTTTAGAATGAGGGGCTTGTCCAAGATGGTGATGCTCCTGCTCTGTCACAGAGCAGGGGCAGCGTGGGGTGGCAGGTGGGTGCCCTGGGCTCCTGCAGGGAAGATGGCAGCCTCAGGGTGTCAGTTCATCCAGCCATTGACTCAGCTTGTGGCCGCCAGCCCTGGGCCCAGGGACAGCCAGGAGCATCGTCTCCGAATCACGGGACCAGCCTGCCAGGGTGGAGGTAGACGGCCGAGGGGCGTGAGTGGATTCGCCTGTGACAGAGGCTCTCGAGGGGTTCTCAGAGGCACAGCTCTCAGCCTGAGCCCTGAAAGGATGCCGCGGCCCCAGGTGTAGGCTTGGGGGGCCCTGGGGCCGGAAGATTTAAGGAAAGAAGCCCCAGTTCATCATGACAGGAACTCTCAGAGCAGGGGAGCTCGAGGCGGCTGAGACTGGGGTTGGGTGGGGCTAGGTGGAGCTTTCAGGCTGTGATAAGAACGCTGGTTTCTCCCTCCAGGCCCCGGAAGCCTCTGAGGGGTCCCTGGTGCACCTGGGGCAGGGAGAGTGGGCTTCGGGGAGGCCACACCCGCTCAGGCACCAGGGGTTGCCGACCCTGGGGGAGACGAGGTGGTTGCTGTGGAGAGAGTCTCGCCTCTGTGGGGCATGGGTGAGGGGGAGCTGAGGGTCTGCTCAGGTGTGGCCTCTGCAGGGTCCTGGAGGAGGGCATCCCATTGGCTGTGACAGAAGGGCCTTGGTGGCAGGAACTTGCCACCCTGGAGTGGGCCCAGGGCACCGTGCTCCACAGGGAGCAGCGGTGCCAGGCTCAGCCCTGCCCCCGACTTGCCTTTTCTGTTCTGCAGCTTTTGCAGGGCCCCCAGATCCTCTGCACGGGAACAGCTTGTACCAGAAGGTTCGCGCGGCCGCGCAGGTGAGCCCAGGAGCAGTGTCGCTCTGCGGGGTGCCCCTCCTCCTGTAGAGGGGTGGGATTGGGGCCAGGATGTCAGCTGGGGGGTTTGCAGTTCTCCCATCCGGGACCCCTGCCTCTGCTCCTTGCTGGTGGACACAGAGCCTGTGTCCAGCTGAGTGGCTCAGGAGAAGTGTCCGGGGGACAGAACGGAGCTGATATGGGTGGCAGGGTGAGTACAGCAGGCCCTGGTGTGAGGACACTGAGGGCCTTCGCCTCCCCCTGTAGGACTTGGGGAGCACCCTGTTCTCGGACACCGTGTTGCCGCTGGCTCCCTCCCAGCCTCTGGGGACCCCGCCTGCCACAGGTAGGTGACTGAGGGGACCGTGTCCAGCTCTGGCACCTGGTTTCTGCCTCCTTGAGTGTCCTGGGTGTCTGTGCCATCCGTGGGCAGGGCCGAGGGTGGGGGCCGGCTTGCTGCTAACGGAGGACCCTCTGCAGGCATGGGCTCCCAGGCCAGGCCGCACAGCACCCTCCAGGGTTTCGGCTACAGCAAGGAACACGGCCGCACGGGTGAGTGGGGAGGGCCTGCATGGGCTCTGGCATCTCAGGGTGTGGGGATGAGGAGGTGGTGGGGGCCGGACCATGCCGCCCCATCTAGTAGCTGCTGTCCCCCGTCCCCTCCCCTACATGGCCTCAACCCTTCCTGGGGCTGTCCCCACTGTCTCTCTCTGGCTGCTGACGTGGGGGTGGGGCAGGTGTGGCCAGGGCTGCTTTATGGACAGATGAGAGAAACCAGGCCGAGCAAGAAGTCAGGGCTGGGCCCCGTGGCAGGGGTGAGTCCCACTCTGAGAGGGGCCGAGGGCTGTGCCCCTGGCTGTGGTGCAGGTGACTCAGGCAGTCCCGTGTGGAGCTGTTATGAGGTGGGGCAGTACCAGTGGACAACTGCTCACCAGCGCCAGGAGAGCCACAGGTGGCACCACTGCCTGCGGCTGGGACCCAGCCCCCAGCCCAGCTGTGCCCTGCTGCCGGGCCCTGGGCGGTGTGTAGCTGCTCACCGTTAGGCTGTGTCACGCCGTCCTGCGCACAGCCTGGGGCTCCTGCCGACACTTTGGTGTCGGGGCAGCTTCTACAGGGAACTCACACAGGAAAGGCCGGCCCCTCCCCGAGCCCTGGACACACCCTCCCTGAGCCAAGGCCAAGCCCAAGCCCCTTAGGACACCTTCACCCCCAGAGGACAGAGGGACGGAGGCATAACTCTGCAGTGAGCTTTGGTGTCCAGGCCCACTGGGAGTGGGAATGCCAAAGCGGAGTCCACTGGGAGCTTCCAGAGGGCCTGGGGCCCACCAGGAGGCCTCCCTACCTGCAGCATGTACCCCGACCTCTCCAAGCTTGAGCAGGGAGCCGATGCGGGCACCCTGCTCCCAGAGAACGCGGGTGGGGGCCGCACTGGGCGGCCGTCCCATCTCCCTCTCCTCGGGTACAGGCTCGGCAGGCGAAGCCTTCCTCTCCACCATCCAGAAGGCCGCAGAGGTGGTGGCCAGCGCCATGCGCCCCGGGCCCGAGAGTCCCAGTACCCGGAGGCTCCTGCCGCGGGGTGACACCTACCAGCCTGCCATGATGCCTTCAGCCAGCCACGGTCCCCCAACCCTGGGGAACCTACTCCCCGGGGCCATTCCAGGTCCCCGAGGTATCGAGGCGAGGGCTCCTCCCCTTGGGGTCTGGGTCACTCCTTCCTGTCACCGCTGGGGCTTTGCGGCCACGGAGGCAAATCCCAGGGCCTCCCACACAGCAGGAGGGGTGGGACCCGCGGCGGAAGCACATGCCCATGGGGCTGGTGTTTGCTGAAGCTGGAGCCAAGGTGGCCACCCATCCTCAGCTCAGGACTCAGCCCCCGAGGCCTCCTGGTCCAGGGCCCCGGGAGGTGGGCATGGGGCTGGCCTGAAGCCCCAGGGATCTCACCGGCTGTCCTGTTTCCTCCAGCTGTGAGGCATCAGCCTGGGCAGGCCGGAGGGGGCTGGGATGAGCTGGACAGCGGCCCCAGCTCTCAGAATTCCTCCCAGAACAGCGACCTGAGCAGGGTCTCGGACTCGGGCAGTCATTCCGGCAGCGACAGCCATTCAGGGGCCAGCCGGGAGCCGGGTGACCTGGCAGAAAGGTGAGCGGGAGCTGCCAGATATGTGGGAGAGGTCTCGGAGGCACCACACTGTCCCCCTCCCAGCGCGGCTCCTGCTCTCCAGGTTCTCCCCCATGCGAGACAGGAGTGGGGGCATGGCCTCCACTCACCCTTGACCCGGCCATTCCCCCTGGCAGGGTCGAGGTGGTGGCCCTGAGTGACTGTCAGCAGGAGTTGAGCTTGGTGAGGACTGTGACTCGGGGACCACGCGCCTTCCTGAGCCGCGAGGAGGCACAGCACTTCATCAAAGCGTGAGTGCGCCCGGACCCGCCCTGCTCTGCCTCAGCCCCAACCGTGGGCGAGGGAGGAGGGAACGGGCCGCACCCGCCACCCAGGTGTCCCCTCTGTGCAGGTGTGGACTGCTCAACTGTGAGGCCGTGCTGCAGCTGCTGACCTGCCACCTGCGTGGGACCAGTGAATGCACGCAGCTGGTGAGCTGCACACGCGGGCGGGAGGGCGTGACTGTGTGCATGTGCCTGTGTGCGTGTGTGTGCGTGTGCGTGTGTGTGCACGTGTGCCTGTGTGCACACCTGTGTGTGAACATTCCTCTGTGTGGCTGTGCGTGCGCACATGCCTGTGTGTGTGCGTGTGGGTGTGTATGCCTGTGTATGTATGCCTGTGTGTGTACACACTCGTGCATGTGTGCGGTGTGTACACACTTGTGCACGTGTGTGGTATGCACACATCTGTGTGTGTGTGTACATGACTGCATGTGTGTGGTTGTGTATGTATGTGCCTGTGTGTGTGTGCATGCACATGAAAGTGTGGACACGTGTGTGCGTGTGTCGGGGGGCGTGCGGAGGAATGAAGGTAAGGCAATCGGGGCAGCAGGTCACGTGCTTCTCGCTGGGGTCTGTCCAGGAGCCGGGGAGGACATGGCTCTGGTGTCCGGGAGCTGGGGTGTAAGGCGGTGAAGACAGGGCTCTGGTGTCTGGGAGCGGGGGTGTAAGGTGGTGAGGACAGGGCTGTGGTGTCTGGGATCCGGGGTGTAAGGCGGTGAGGACAGGGCTGTGGTGGAGCTGTCTCTGGGGCCTCCTGGCACTCCAGTCATTGATGAGGAGGAAGAAGAGGGAGAGAGATGGCCAAATAGGCCTCCCTGGCGTGGACCTGCTGCCCCATGGGTGCTGATGTCCCCTCCCTTCACCCGCAGAGGGCGCTGTGTGCCATCGCCTCCCTGGGGAGCAGCGACCTCCTCCCCCAGGAGCACATCCTCCTCCGCACCCGGCCGTGGCTGCAGGAGCTCAGCATGGGCAGCCCGGGACCTGTGACCAACAAGGCCACCAAGGTGGGCAGCTGCGGAGGCCACACGCACACCGGGGTCCAAGGGTACAGTGGGAGATACGCTGCAGTCCACGGCCACCCCGTCCCTGCCCGGCGCCTGGTCAGCCCTTCCCGGACCCCCTCTCAAGTCCCTGTCCCGCTGGCAGAGGGAGCAGCAGCAAGTCAGGGTCCTCACCTCCCCATTGCCTTCCCGCCTTCCACCCAAACTCTGCAGCACTCACAGTACACTGGCCTCTACCTATTCCTGGAAGCCCCCAGACTCCGCTGCCTTAATGTTCCTGCCCTTGTGTCTTGGCCTCACACTTACCTCTTCCAGGAAGCCCTCCCTGACTGCACATGCAGTTTGCCACCCATGACACAGCTCATGCTCAACTCCCAAGCTCCGGAGGGCAGAAATGGTTCCATTCATCTCTGTGCACTTGAACACTCTGAACTGCCTGGCGGCCACTGGAATCACACGGGGAGGCCTCTCCCGGCCGCCAGGCCCTGGCACCTTCCCTCTGCCTGTGGGCATTCCCAGCTTCTTTCTTCCTGTTTTCTCCCTGGCTGCTGGAAACACAGGTCCTCAGTCACCCATCCCCAAGTCATCCTTAACTGTCATTGGCCATCTGCTAGCTCACCTTTCAGTCAGAGCGACGAGTGAGCCTGGGGTTCGCACCACCGCAGGCGAACCTCATAGTGGGGTTTCTAAAACGGGCATGCTGGAAGAACCCTGCGTCCAACAGTTGGAAATGCCCAGATGTGCCAGGCCACGTGTTCACTCCCTCCGGCAGTGCCTGGCGGGTTATGACGGGGAGGGTGTCCATTTGTCTAGTAGTGAGTAAAGGAGCAAGATTCGAGGTGTGTATGTGACACCTGCCCCGTGTCGCCAGCACCAGCCCAGCAGCTGCTCTCGGTGGGATGACAACTGGGTGCACTGCCCCAGCCCCTCCCAGCAGCCGGTGTCCTGCCCAGAGGTGGCCCTGCCCTCTGGGTGGAGGGACTGAGGAGGTCCTAGGGAGAAGCGGGCCCTGGTCCCCACATTTCCCAGGGTTGCATAGGAACCTCCCTGGTTCCTCCTTCCTCTTTCAGATCCTGAGGCACTTTGAGGCCTCCTGTGGGCAGCTGTCCCCTGCCCGGGGCACCTCAGCTGAGCCTGGCCCCACAGCCGCCCTCCCAGGCCCATCTGACCTGCTGACCGACGCTGTGCCTCTCCCTGGGAGCCAGGTCTTCCTGCAGCCTCTGAGTTCAACCCCGGTCTCGTCCCGGAGCCCTGCTCCCTCATCTGGGATGCCGTCCAGCCCTGTGCCCACCCCACCCCCAGATGCCTCCCCCATTCCAGCCCCCGGAGACCCCAGCGAGGCCGAGGCCAGACTGGCAGAAAGCAGGCGGTGGAGACCTGAACGGATCCCAGGGGGCACGGACAGCCCAAAGAGAGGCCCCAGCAGCTGTGCGTGGAGCCGCGACTCCTTGTTTGCTGGCATGGAGCTGGTGGCCTGTCCCCGCCTGGTGGGGGCTGGGGCTGCTGCGGGAGAGTCCTGTCCTGATGCTCCCCGCGCCCCCCAAACATCGTCCCAGAGGACAGCAGCCAAAGAGCCTCCTGGCTCAGAGCCGTCAGCTTTCGCGTTCCTGAACGCCTGACCCGATGGCCTGGCCCTGGAGTCTTCAGCTTCAGCTGCTGTCTGGGGCGGTCTGTGCTTCCTGAGCAGCCTCAACCGTAGCTGCTACAGTCTCCAGGCAGCTTGACTTGAGAGGACGACCCTAGGGCTACCTCAGTTTCCCCCATCTCCTCTGCCAGAGGCTCTGGCTATTTGGACTTGAATCCCTACGAGGGATGGCAGGTGGCAGGGCTTCAGAAATGTCGATCTCAGGGCTCTCAGGGGGCAGTCCCTGCCTGTCTTGCTCTCAGACATGAGGTTTCTTGTATGAATGCGGAAGCGACTACCAGGTTCCTTATTTCATTTTGATCTCAGCTCCCTCCTTCCCCAGGAGGTCATGAGCAGCAACAAGCCACTGCTCCCCCGTCCCATCGGGGTGGGCTAGGTGCTGAGGCTGGGTTTGGTGCATGTGGGTTGAGGGTGTCTTGTCCGGGCTGCCTTGTGCTGTCTGGCCTGAGGCCATTTCAAGTCTCAGATCCCTACGTGATCCTTCCCTGGCTCTCACCTGCTCCTTTAGGCTGTAATTGCTTCCTACACACGAAGCCTCTGATTGGAGCCTCTGGTCCATCTCAGAAAAACCTTCCAAGAGCGCTGGGGTTTATGCTTTCTGAATAAACACTACTGTTTACATGAACCTGGGCCGCTTATTTTTCTTTTTTTGTGTATGTGCATTTTAATGAAAATACCATCAATAAGGGGCACACACAGAGGACTGCTTTCCTCAAAGGAGGGACAGGCGGTGTTCCTGAAACGTTTGGTAGAACTTCCCACTGGCACTGTCCTTGCAGTTCACCTTCTTAATGGCAAGGTTTTAAACTATGAAATTCAGTTTCTTCAATAAATAATAGACTATTTGGGTTATCTATTTCTAATTTCAGCAGTTTGTGTCTTCAGGGGATTGGTCCATTTTATATCAGTTGCTGAATTTGTGATTCCGTTTTTTGTAGTAGTCCTTTATTCTTCCGTTCATGCCTGTGGGGCTGTAGTCACACTATCACACTCTTCCTGTCATGCCTGTGGGGCTGTAGTCACACTATCACTCTTCCTGTCATGCCTGTGGGGCTGTAGTCACACTATCACTCTTCCTGTCATGCCTGTGGGGCTGTAGTCACACTATCACACTCTTCCTTTCATGCCTAATATTGGTCACTTGTTTTCCCTTTTTCTTGGTCAGACAGTTTATTAATGTTATTAGTTACTTCAAAGAACAAACTTTGGTGTTTTTTTTTTGTACTTCACTAATTTCTGTTTTTCAGTTTCCTAGTTCACTAATTTCTGTTCTTTATTATTTCCTTTCTTCTGCTTTGGGCTTATTTTTATTTTTTCAGTTTCTTTTTTTTTTTTTTTTTTTTTTTTTGAGACAGAGTCTCACTCTGTCACCCAGGCTGGAGTGCAGTGGCGCAATCTGGGCTCAGTGCAACCTCTGCCTCCCGGGTTCAAGCGATTCCCCTGCCTCAGCCTCCCGAGTAGCTGGGATTGATTACAGGCTCATGCCACCATGCCCGGCTAATGTTTTGTATTTTGGTAGAGATTGGGTTTCACCATGTTAGCCAGGATGGTCTCGATCTCCTGACCTTGTGATCCACCCTCCTCGGCCTCCCAAAGCACTGGGATTACAAACATGAGCCACAGCGCCCAGCCTTTTTCAGTTTCTTAAGGTGGAAGCTTAGATTATTTATCATGTCCTTTATTTTCTAATGTGAGCCTTGTAATGCTATAAACATTCCTGTGAACACTGCTTTGGCTGCATCCTATGAATTTTGGTACATTTAAATTGTTATTCAGCTCAAAATATTTTCAAATTTATCTTGAGACTTCCGTTTTGTCCAATGGGTTATTTTAAAGCATATTGTGTTATGATTTAATTCTGATATAGTCAGAGAACATATTTTATATGATTTCTGTTATATTGTTTAAAGATTTCAAGCCTAGGCAACATAGCAAGACCCCGTTTCTACAAAAAAAAAAAAAAAAAAAATTTAAATTAGCCAGGCATGGTCGCAGCTACCCAGGTGGCTGAGGCGGGAGGATTGCTTGAACTCCAGAGGTCAAGGCTGCAGTGAGCCATGATTGTGCCACTGCACTCTAGCTCTGTCACCTAGTGCAGTGGTGCAATCACAGCTCACTGCAGTCTCAACCTCCTGAGTTCAAGCAGTCCTAAGCAATCCTCATGCCTCAGTCACCACACATGGCCTTTTTTTTCTTTGGTAGAGATGGAGCTCTTGCTATGTTGCCCACGCTGGTCTCCAACTCCTGGCCTCATGCAATTCTCCCACCTCAATCTCCCAAAGTATTAGGATGACAGGCATGAGCTGCTGTGCCTGGCCTCACACTTTTGTTAAGGATTTCAAACTTTTGTTAAAGTTTGTTTTATGGCCAAGAATATAGTTTATCTTGGTGGATGTTCCATGTACACTTGGTCTAGAAAACTAGAGATCAATATCCTTCTGGAATATAGATGCAAAATTCCTCAAGAAAACAACAAAATGAATCCAGTAATATATAAAAAGTGTAATACATCACTATAAGTGGAATATATCCCAGGAATGCAAGGCTGTTTCAACCTATGAAAATCAGTGTAATTCAATCCATCATATTAACAGTAAAGAAAAATCACATGATCATTTTATGCAGAAAAAACAAGAAACAAATTCAACATTCACTCATGACCCAAAAACCCTCCCAAATTTGACAAATTAGAAATGTAAGAGATCTTTTGGGTGGCAAGGGGTTTCTGCAAAAACCCCTCAGCTGACATCATACTTAATGCTGAAGGACTGAATGCTTTTCCCCTATGATTGGAAAGAAGGCCATGGTGTGCATGCTAACCATTTCTGTTCAGCATTACACTGAAGCCCTGGCCAGTTCGATAAAGCAAGAAAAAACTAGAAAGCCAGACACATTAGAAAGGAAGAAATAAAACATACTATTCACAGAAAACAGGATTGTAGAAAATCCCGTGAAATCTACCAAAAACTTCCTAAGACTAAGAAGTGAGTTTAGCAAAGACACAGGCTCCAGGGTAAATATACTAACATCAGTTACACTTTTGTAATAGCAATAAACAATTGGAAATTAAACCATAAAAAACTACCATCTGTAATGGCACTCCAAAAATGAAATGATTAGGTATAAATTAGAAAGATATATGTAGGATGTGTATGCTGAAAACTTCAAAGTACTGATGAAAGAAATCAATGAAGATCTAAATAAGTGGAGAGATATACCATGTTCATAAATTCTGGTGTCAATTCTTCCAGGTTACAGGTCTACAGATTTAATGTAATCCCCATCAAAATCACAGCTGGATATTTTTTAAGATAGTGACAAGCTGAAACTCAAATTTATAGGAAAAGTCAAAAGAATTTGGATAGCCTAGGTAATTTGGAGAAAGAAGAACAAAGGACTCAAAACCTGATTTCAGGATTGACTCTAGGCCAGGTGCAGTGGCTCATGCCTGTAATCCCAGCACTTTGGGAGGTGAAGGTGGGAGAATTGCTTGAGCCTAGGAATTTGAGACTAGCCTGGGCAACATGTGAGACCCCATCTCTGCAACAACAACAACAACAAAAACACTAATCAAGACAATGTGGTAGGCCGGGCGCGGTGGCTCACGCCTGTAATCCCAGCACTTTGGGAGGCCAAGGCGGGCGGATCACGAGGTCAGGAGATCGAGACCATCCTGGCTAACACGGTGAAACCCCGTCTCTACTGAAAATACAAAAAAATTAGCCAGGCGTGGTGGCGGGCACCTGTAGTCCCAGCTACTCGGGAGGCTGAGGCAGAAGAATGGCGTGAACCCGGGAGGCGGAGCTTGCAGTGAGCTGAGATCGCGCCACTATGCTCCAGCCTGGGCAAAAATGCGAGACTCTGTTTCAAAAAAATAATAATAAATAAATAAATAAATAAGTAAACAAATAAAACCAATCCCTGACAATACCAAGAGCTGAGGAGGATGGGGAGCAACTGCAACACCTGTGGCACTGGTGGGAGCGTAGAGCTGTACAACTTCTTTGGAAAATAGCTTAGTAGGCCGATGTGGTGGCCCACGCCTGTAATCCCAGCACTTTGGGAGACCGAGGTGGGTGGATCACCTGAAGTCAGCAGTTCAAGACCAGCCTGGCCAATATGACAAAACCCTGTCTCTACTAAAAATACAAAAATTAGCCTGGCATGGTGACATGTGCCTGTAATACCAGCTACTCGGGAGGCTGAGGCAGGAGAATTGCTTGAGCCCAGGAAGTGGAGTTTGCAGTGAGCCAAGATCATGCCATTGCACTCCAGCCTGGGCGACAGAGGGAGACTCCATCTCGGAAAAAAAAGGAAAAAAAAGAAAAAGAAAATAGCTTGGCGGTTTCCTTTTTTTTTTCTTTTTCTTTTTTTTGAGATGGAGTCTTGCTCTGTCGCTCAGGCTGGAGTGCAGTGGTGATCTCCGCTCACCGCAATCTCTGCCTCCTGGGGTCAAGCGATTCTCCTGACTCAGCCTCCTGAGTAGCTGGGATTATAGGCAGACGCCACCAGGCACGGGTAATTTTTTTGTATTTTTACTAGAGACGGGGTTTTGCCATGTTGGCCAGGGTGATCTCGAACTCCTGACCTCAGGTGATCCGCCCACCTCAGTGTCCCAAAGTTCTGGAATTACAGGTGGGACCCACTGCGCCCGGCCGGCAGTTTCTTATAAACAATCATTTGATCCAGCAACCCCACTCCTGGGTATTTACACAAGAGAAATGAAAAGTTGTGTCCACACAGAAGCCGATGAGTGAATGTTTATGGCAGCGTCATTCATAATTGCCAAGCACCAGGAACAATCTCTGCGTCCTTCATTTGATGAATAAAACCATCAATAAATAAAACCATCTGAACCGGTGGTTCACACCGGTTACAGGATACCACTCAGCAATAAAGAGGAACCAGCATGAATCTCAAAATGCGAAGTGGTAGAAGCCAGACCCACAGGCGCGCTGCGCGACATCCCTTTTGTGTGACATTCTGGAAAAGGCTGCCTCTAGGGATGGAGAACAGAGAGAACTGAGCAGCCGCCACCAGCAGTCAGCAGGTACGGGATCCGGAGGGAGAATGTTCTGTAACTAAAGTTACACAACTCCACTGCACACCAAAAAATGTGGATTTTACTGAAACCAAACTTTTTATTTTACAGAGCACTGGACTTTTTAAAAAGCGGGGGCAGGGGAGACCAGTGTGCTGTGACTTTTAGGGGAAGGATGGCTTCCCTGGAGAGGACCTGGGCGGAATCCCCAGGGCTCCCGGAGAGAGGGGGAGTCACAGAGCGGCTACGCACGGGGCGCAGCGTTAAAACTTTGGAGAAGGAAAAAAAACAACAAAGCAGCGCGAAGGGAAGGAGGTCAGGGAGGTTAGCAAGGCGCCCACACGCCCTCGCAGTCGTACTGAGTAACGAGGGGAGTCGCGCACGTGGGTGGGGACAGAGCGGCCTAGGACACTGGGGGAGCCCCGGGCCGCGGGAGTGCGGCGGCCTGGGGGTGTCGGGGAGCCGAGCCGAGGCCGCGTGCTCCTCGCGCCCTCCCTGGTGTCTCCTCCCCAGGCCCTGCGTGCCCCGCCCACACCTGCCTTGCCCCGCCCACATCTGCCTCGCCCTACTCGCCCATCACACCCCCACCTCACGCCCCGCCCACAACCGCTGGGGCCCCGCCCCTGCCCGGCCAGCTCCTCCCGCCGCCCTCGGTCCCCCGCCCCCTATATGACCCGCCCCTTTCCAGCCGCGTCCAATCGGCCGCTCTCTGTAGTCGCGTCCCTCAGCCATCCGCCGCTCCTCCCACGCTTGAACTTCCCGAAGGACAGCCGAGCGGCCCAATGAGCTCCCGGGACGGCCTGAGCGGGAGCGTGAAGGGCCAATCCGGAGTCGGCGCGCGCAGGAAAGGCGGGCCGGCGTGACGGGCTGGGGAGGTGGTGCCAGGCTGGTTGCTAGCTGCCGCCGCTGCTCACCCCGGCCGTCCGGCCGCTTCATTGTCACCGGGCCTCGGGGCAGTGTTGGGGGTGGCGGGGCGCCAGGTCGCCGACCCGAGGTTTGGGCGCGACTGGTTCCGCATCCCCTCCCCGCCGGCCGAATCTGCAGGCCCCGCGCGCCAGGCAGGCTTCGCGGCTGCGCCCCCGGCCCGCGCAGGTGAGGGGGGCCCGGGCAAGGGAGGGGGTTGCAGGGCGCACGGAGGTTGGAGGGGTCCGGAGCCCGCGCAGGTGGGAGGCCCTGGTCCAGTGATGAAGTGATGGGGATCCGGGGCACGCACAGGTGAGTGGGGGGATCTGGTGCCCGCGCAATTGAAGGCGGGATCCGGGGGAAGTGAGGGGGATCCAGGGTGCGCACAGGTGAGGGAGGTCCGGGGCCCGCGCAGGTGAAGACAGGCTCGTGCCTGAGGGTGTGGGTCCCCACCTCCATCCCCTCCACCCTCTCCACCTCCCTCCACTCCCCTCCGGTCCCCAGGACAACATGGAGTCCAGTCCCGGCATCTCTGGCCCGGCTGCCTTAAGCCCTGGGGAAAATGGGGAGATGGGAGCTGCCCTGAGGACAAGTGGAGGGCTCTGCTCTGCGCGTGGGCTCTGGCCTCTCTGTCCAGGGTCAGGGTCAGGGTCAGGGTCAGCCCACCCTGGGAACCAGGTCCTGGCGCTGGTCATCAGTCCCCGCCCCTTCAGGTCCTGGGAGGGACACAGTTTTATCCAAGATGTAGTGGCCTCCCAGGCCTCCCTTCTTCTGGCTTGGAGGTTTCCATGGAGAGGCCCCGTTCGCCATCCCAGAGCCGCTTGCAAGTGTGGCTGGGAGAGCAGAGTCCTGGGCTCCAAGGGCTTGCATGGGTCCAGCCAGGGGTGGACAGTGCCCTGCAGGAGGAGGGTGTTAAGTTTCTTCCGCACAGCCGGAAGTGCATAACTGAGGACTGGGACCTGGTCAGTGGCAGGGTCAGCCTCTAGGGAGTAGGGGTATCCATCGCTCCGTGGAAGGGACCTTGGGGGACCTGCTGTGGGGTGCCGGGCTGAAGGAAGCCCAGGGTGACCTTGGGCGATAGGCTGGGTGCCTGCTGGCCTACTGGAGGCCACCGTGGCAGGGAGGTAATTCTCGAGGTTGGTCCCTGGCGCCAGCTTCTCCCGTTCATCTACGGGTTCAGCTGAGTGCCTTTCCCTGCAGGTGCTGGGGTTGCTCAGGAGCCACACAATTCATAAACCAACTGTGTGCGGCCACAGGAAGGGAGTCCGAGCCGGATGGGGAGTGAAGAGTGATGGGTGCTCAAGGAAGGCCTCTGAGTGCAGGGAGGGAGTGTCCTGAGACCTAGAGGCAGGGGACTGGCCGGGGCCAAGCTGGCTGAGTTTGAGGAGAACCAGGGAGGCTGTGTTGGCTAAAGCCACAACAAAGGGGCACAGCAGGGGAGCTGGCGAGGTCACAGAGAGTACAGGGCCAGATCTTGCAGGAGTTGGATGTGTAGACTTTATTCTCTGTGCCTAGGAAGCTGTTGCAGGGTTTTTGGCAGGGGCACATGCACGAGCTGAGACCCGTTCAGAAAGATCAGAAAGACTCGTTCAGAAAGAGGTGCCATGTGGGGACGGGCTGGGGGCCGGCAGGGTTTGCTCTGAGAAGTTCCAAAGTAAGGAAGCCAGCATCCCCAAGCTAATCCCCTCGATCGATCGTCAGAACCCCCGTCCCCTGCTGGAATAACACATTACCCAGGGAGTGTTTGCCCGGTGCAGCCTTGAGGCCTTGAGACCAGCATCTTGTCTGGACCTCACAAAACCACTCCCGCGTTTTTTTTTTTTTTTTTTTTTTGAGATGGAGTCTCGCTATGTTGCCCAGGCTGGAGTGCAGTGTCACGATCTTGGCTCACTGTAAACTCCGCCTACCAGGTTCAAGTAATTCCCCTGCTTCAGCCTCCCAAGTAGTTGGGATTACAGGCGCTCGCCACCACGCCCGGCTAATTTTTTGAAGTTTTTAGTAGAGGTGGGGTTTCACTGTGTTGCTTAGGCTGGTCTTGAACTCCTGAGCTCAGGCAATCTGCCTGCCTTGGTCTCCCAAAGTGCTGGGATTACAGGAGTGAGCCACTGTGCCCGGCCAACACGCAACCCCTTTTTAAAATGTGTATTTTTACTTAGGGGCCGGGTACGGTGGCTCATGCCTGTAATCCCAGCACTTTGGGAGGCCGAGGCAGGCGAATCACCTGAGGTCAGGAGTTCGAGACCAGCCTGGCCAACATGGCAAAACCCCGTTTCTACTTCTACTAAAAATACAAAAATTAGCCAGGCGTGGTGGCGGGCACCTGTAATCCCAGCTACTCAGGAGGCTGAGGCAGGAGAATCGCTTGAACCCGGGAGGCAGAGGTGGCAATGAGCCGAGATCGCGCCACTGCACTCCAGCCTGGGTGACAAGAACGAGACTCTGTTTCAAAAACATAATAAAATAAAAAATAAATCAAATGTCCCTTTTACAGAAGAAAACAGTGGGGCTCGGGGCAGTGACTTTCTCAGAATCACGGTGTGGGGTAGATGGCAGAACCTGGCTCACATCGACAATGGCCTGTGGCCCAGGCTCCCTCTGGGGTGCTGCTGGCTTATTCCCACCCACGGGCCTTGCCCTCGCCACCCACCTGTCCATCATCCAGGGCCCTCCTGCCCTGGCATACACTGACATTGGGCTCAGAACAGCTCCCTCATGTTCCTGTCGAGGAGCCTGCCACCAGCCAGAGGGGTGCATAGGTTGTGACAGGCCTTCCCAGGAAGTTTGGTGGCCAGTGGACCCAGCTGAGGCTGGGCTGGAGATGGTGGGTGCAGGGGACTGTAGTTCCCCCACGGCATCTCATTGCAGCTCTTGCTTCCCCGCTCAGGACCTGCCTTGTCCACCATGAAAGGCACCCGGGCCATCGGCAGCGTCCCGGAGCGCAGCCCAGCAGGTGTGGACCTGAGTCTGACAGGTCTCCCTCCGCCTGTGTCCCGGCGTCCTGGCAGTGCCGCCACCACCAAGCCCATCGTCCGCTCTGTCTCCGTGGTCACAGGCAGCGAGCAGAAGAGGAAGGTGCTGGTGAGTACTGTGGCCTAGGAGTCCGGGCCCCTGCCTCCTGGAGGGCTGTTGTTCAGTTGGCATCTGACCCCTGGGTCCAGCTCCACAGGTGAACAAGTGCCTCACATCTGGACATGCTGGATCCTCGTGGCTGTTCCAGGAGGCAGGTAGGACTTGAGTCTTACAGGCGTGGGTGCTGAATCACTAGAAAGTCAAGCCAGAGCTTGGATTCTTTCAGCAACAGCCCCAGGCCTCCTGTGCCACCGCCCTTTGGATTTGTTTGAATCCTCAGGAAATGGGGTTGGCTGGGCTCGGTGGCTCACGCCTGTAATCTCAGCACTTTGGGAGGCCGAGGCAGGCGGGTCATCTGAGGTCAGCAGTTCAAGACCAGCCTGACCAACATGGTGAAACTCCGTCTCTACTAAAGATACAAAAAAAAATTAGCCGGGCATGGTGGTGCATGCCTGTAATCCTAGCTACTCGGGAGGCTGAGGCAGGAGATTTGCTCGAACCCAGGAGGCAGAGGTTGCGGTGAGCCGAGATCGTGCCGTTGCACTCCAGCCTGGCGACAGAGTGAGATGCCATCTCAAAAAAAAAAAAAAAAGAAAGAAATGGGGTTGACCTGTGGGGAGGGGTGATGAGCTCCTGGTGGCCTTGGAGAAACCTAGACGGGTGTGTGGGTGTGTGGGCAGCAGGACAGCCGTGGGAGCTTCGGGGTGAGAGCTGCCTTTCCTGCCCACCTCTGGGAGTAGGGAGGAGGGTGGGTGGTTCCCAGATGGGGGCTGTGAAAGGCAGGCCGGGCCTGCTGCACCCTGAGTTGGTGTCTGCCAGGCCCAGTCTTTGGGGCAAGGGAGGAATCGAGCCGCTCTGTGGGGGTTGGGGCAGAGCCTGACCAGAGTCTGGCCTGAGCTTCCGAATAGCAAGGGCCTGGGGGCCTTGGCTTCCATGCGGCAGCCGGTCTGGGGCTCCCTGCCTGAGGTCCGTGCCAGGCAACATAGCAGGGCAGAGAGAAGGGGTCTGGAGGGCAGTTGAGGCTTCCCACAGGAACCCCTGGCAGGCCCAGGCCAGGGTTCCACTGTGAATAAAAGGCTTGGACCTCCCCCTTCTCCTTGAAAAAGTTATTCCTGTGTCTGCCCTAGAAGCACCCCCAGGTGGGCAGGGTGTGGCCCGCCAGACGGCTAGCCGAGTTCCGGGGTAAGGGCAGCCGGGCCAGTAGCGGACCCTTGGACCAAGCAGGTTCCCAAAGCCTGGGCCAGCAGGGCGGGGACCCGGGATGTCCTGATGTGTCATTGTGGCCGGCAGGTTGTCTAAAGATGTGGTACGCCTCTAGGCATTTACAGACGTAAGCTGTGAAAATAAAAATATGCTGCACTGTTTTAGCAGAGGGGTAACCAGCTTGGGCTAGAGCCGTCTCTGAGCCTGCTGCCTCTCCTGTCCGCAGCCCTGCTCCTGCGTCACTGACCCCCTCGCCCACCTGCCTTGGCCCCTCCCGCTGTTTCTAAAGCCCTAGGTTCATGGCACATGGGGCGGGGAAGACGCACTCGAAATCGCAGATCTGGGCTGGGCGAGGTGGCTCACGCCCGTGATCCCAGCACTTTGGGAGGTTGAGGCGGGTGGATCACCTGAGGTCAGGAGTTCAATACCAGCCTGGCCAACATAGTGAAACCCTGCCTCTACTGAAAATGCAAAAATTAGCCGGGCGTGGTGGCGCGCACCCTTAATCCCAGCTACTCAGGAGGCTGAGACAGGAGAGTTGCTTGAACCCGGGCGGAGGAGGCTGCAGTGAGCCGAGATCATGCCACTGTACTCCAGCCTGGGCGAAAGAGCAAGACTCTGTCTCAAAAAAAGAAAGAAAGAAAGAAAGAGGGAGGGGGAGGGGGAGGGAGAGGGAGAGGGAGAAGGAGAAAGAAAGAAATTGCAGCTCTCTTGTTGTGTGGAGACTGTTGTAAAAGTTTCCGGGCTTTCTAGTAGATGGTCTTTCGGCGGCATGGCCAGGCTCTATCCGCGGCCGACCCAGGCACCTAACCACACTCCCAGCCTTTCTGCTGGGAAATGTTCTGTTGCTGAGTAGAGGTTCAAAGCCACAGCGAGCGCTACTCATATCGATCCCTCCTTTCCTCGGCTGGTACCATTGCCCGCTCCCGCAGTGTTGAGTGGCGACTGCTAACAGTCCCCTCGTTCATGGAATGTTCCAGCTGTTCACTTCAATTCTTTGAGGCCCTCGCTCGATCCGAGACGGCCCCACCCCTGCATGCCTGTCTGCCTTCTGTTGTGCCCATGGTGGGAGCTCGGGAACTGCTGGTGGAAGAGGAACCCCCGCCAGTGTGTGACGTGACCTCAGGGGTTTCTGTTGTGCCCGGTCCCCATCCTCTCGGCCACCTGCCCTGCTACCACTCAGTCTCATCGGGATTCCTGGAGAGCATTTGTTTTGGCCAGGCATGGCTTCACACCTGTACAAGGCGGCACGTGATTCTCTTCCTCCTGGTGTTTGTGGGTGGGGTGGGGTGCTGTCCCCTGGCTCGGAGACCTTCTCGGTGGCCATTGGCCTGGGGTTTCCACTCTACCCCTTGTCTCTAAAGATCTTCCTGCGTCCACGGCCTGCTGTCCCGGGATTCCCCATCCAGGATGTAACTGCAGTTCCTGCTGGTCTTCTGGCTCAAGAGATGTCGGTGCCAGACTGTAGAGGGTCCCTCTTCCTTGCCCCAGCTGTGTGCCCACCTGATCCTCTAGCCCCCTAGATCATTATTCACTCTGGTTCCCTTCCCCTTAAAGAAAAGAGGTCTTTAAATCCCAAGAGCACAAGCTCACTGGGGAACAGACATCACTGTGCATATGTGTCATGGCCATGGGGGCCACCTGCCCCTCCCTGGGCGATGTTGCCTCCTTCTTGCAGGTGGAGTTTAGGGTTTTTAGTCCATGACTTGATTTACCATCTGAGCATGAGTGGTGCCTTTCCACCGTGGTGTCCGTCAGTGAGTGGCAGCCCCTTCATCCCTCCCCTGACATCCCTTATCTTCCTCTTGGAGGCTGCGAAACTGACCCCAGGAAAATGGAGACAGGATGAAGGGCACCCATAATCCCATGGCCCTGATGCAATGACTGGTGCCATTTTGGGGGATGATTTCAAAATTCCTACCATGTGTTTTGAATAGGCCATTCACACCCACCATTTGGGAAAAGGGGGCTCATTGAGCAGTGAGCCTGTCCTGCCCGACCTTGCGGGCCTCTCCTAGGCGGCCACTGTTCTGTTTCTCCTGCACCCACACTTACTCTGGGCACACAGGCATCAGTGATGCTGGAGATGTGTTGGAACAAGTGCCGTATCCGTCAGCTGCGTGGGGCTCCTGCATTCTCTTTTCTTTTTCTTTTTAAGACGGGGTCTTGCTCTGTTGCCCAGGCTGGAGTGCAGTGGAGAAACCACAGCTTACTGCAGCCTCCACCTCCCGGACACAAGTGATCCTCTTACCTCAGCATCCTGAGTAGCATGGATTACAGGTGCTCACCACCCTGCCCAGCTAATTTTTAATTTTTTTTTTCTTTTGAGACAGACTTTTGCTCTTTTTGCCCAGGCTGGAGTGCATTTGTGAGATCTCGGCTCACTGCAGCCTCTGCCTCCCGGGTTCAAGGGATTCTCCTGCCTCTGCCTCCCAAGAAGCTGGGATTACAGGCATGCACCACCATGCCCGGCTAATTTTGTATTTTTAGTAGCGACGGGGTTTCGCCATGTTGGTCAGGCTGGTCTTGAACTCTTGACCTCAGGTGATCCTCCTGCCTCAGCCTCCCGAAGTGCTGGGATTACAGGTGTGAGCCACCACACCCAGCCTACTAATTTTTAATTTTTTTGTAGGGACAGGGGTCTCACTAGGTTGCTGGTCCTTAACTCCTGGGCTGAAGCGATCCTCCCACCTCGGCCTCCCAAAGTGCTGGGATTACGGGTGTGGGCCGCTGCACCTGACCCTGCTCCCGCTTTCCTTACATTGTTTTGTAGCAGCTGACAATAGTTCATCAGATGATGCACCAGAACTTCACCCAGTGCTCCTCTGGATTTTCCTTATCATAGTACCAAGAGTGGCACAGCAAATACCCTGTGTCTTTGCCATTTTGCATACATGTAAATACGCCTGTAGAATAAATCCTAAAGGATAACTACTGGGTCAGAGCATAAGTCCATTTAAAATTTTGAAAGGGGGGCCAGGTGCGGTGGCCCGTGCCTGTAATCCCAGCACTTTGGGACGCCGAGGTGGGCAGATTGCTTGAGGTCAGGAGTTCGAGACCAGCCTGGCCAACACGGTGAAACCTCGTCTCTACTAAAAATAGAAAAAATAGCTGGACGTGGTGGCAGGCACCTGTAATGCCAGCTACACAGGAAGCTAAGGCAGGAGAACTGATTTAACCCGGAAGCTGGAGGTTGCAGTGAGCCAAGATCGCACCACCACACTCTAGCCTGGGTGACAGCGAGACTCCATTTCAAAAAAAATTAAATAAATAAAAAAATTTGAAAGGGGGCCGGGAGTGGTGGCCAATATCTGTAATCCCAGCACTTTGCGTGGCTGCGGTGGGAGGATCACTTGAGGCCAGGAGTTTGAGACCAGCCTGGGCAACATAGTGAGACCCCTGTCTCTACAAAAAAATTAAAAAATTAGCCGAGTGTGGTGGTGCATGCCTGTAGTCCCAGCTACATGGGAGGCTGGGGCAGGAGGATGGCTTGAACCCAGAAAGTTTGAGGCTGCAGTGAGCTATGATCATGCCACTGCTCTCCAGCCTGGGCAACAGAGTGAGACTCTATCTTTTAAAATTAAAATTAAAACTAAATTGTAAATTTTTGGCCAGGCGCGGTGGCTCATGCCTGTAATCCCAGCACTTTGGGAGGTTGAGGCAAGCAGATCACGAGGCCAGGAGATTGAGACCATCCTGGCTAACACGGTGAAACCCCATCTCTACTAAAAATACAAAAAAAAAAATTAGCCGGGCGTGGTGGCAGGCACCTGTAGTCGCGGCTACTCGGGAGGCTGAGGCAGGAGAATGGCGTGAACCCAGGAGGCGGAACTTGCAGTGAGCCGAGATCGCGCCACTGCACTCCACCCTGGGCGACAGAGCGAGATTCCGTCTCAAAAAAAATTTTTTTTTTTGATAGGCATTGCCAAGTTGCTGTCCGTAAAGATCATTGCCCTAAGTCACACTCGCATCACAGGGTGCCACGGGGCCTGCTCCCTCGTGCTCTGGTTGGCACACGTGCAGCACAGTTTTGGCCTTTACAGGATCCATATGTAACAAAAGATATCTGACTGTACTACCTTTTAGTTTACTTTTTACTTTTTATTTTATTTTTTTCTTTTTCTTTTTTGAGATGAAGTTTCACTCCTGTCACCTAGGCTGGAGTGCAATGGTGTGATTTCACCTCACCGCAATCTCTGTCTCCTGGGTTCAAGTGATTCTCCTGCCTCAGCCTCCCGAGTAGCTGGGATTACAGGCGCCTGCCACCATGCCGGGCTAAGTTTTGTATTTTTAGTAGAGACAGGATTTCACCATGTTGGCCAGGCTGGTCTCAAACTACTGACCTCAAGTGAATCCGCCCGCCTTGGCCTCCCAAAGTGCTGGGCTTACAGGCGTGAGCCTCCGGCGTGACTGTACGATTTTTAAAAATAAACCTTTTATGTTAGTATAGTTTTAAATTTATAGAAAAATTGGAAAGTGCAGGGTGTTCCCCTGTACCGCACCCAGTCTCTGCTATTTGAATATCTTACATTATGATGGGACGTGTACAATTAACAAGTCATTATTGGTAAATCACTGACTAAAGTCCACACTTGATTTGTATTTTTGCAGTTTTTCTTTTCTGTCCCAGGATCCCACATGATTTTTGGGCTGTGGGTCTCAGGCTTGTTTGGGCTGTGAGTTTCTCAGACTCTCCTTGTTTTTGATGACCTTCGAGTTTTGGGGAGAGCTGGTCAGGGATTTTACAGAATGGCCCCCTGTTGGCCCTTGCCTGATATTTTTCTCGTGATCAGACTGGGTGGTGGATGGGTTCTAGGAGGAAGGCCACAGAGGTAAAGTACTCTTCTCACCCCATCCTGTCTGGGGTCCACACTGTCCATGTGACCTCTCACTGGTGATGCTGCTGGCCTTGGTCCCCTGGCCAAGGTGGAGGGTCAGGCTTCTCCACTGTGAGGTCGCCCATCCCCTGTGCTCTCTGGAAGGAAGTCGCTTTGTTCAGCCCACATGGAAGGGGTGGGGAGTTTTGCTCCCCCTCCTTTAGAGAAGAGCATCTATAGAAGTTATTTGGAATTCTTCTACACAGGAGATTTGTCTGTTCACCCTCATTTATAATTTTTTTTTTTTTTTGAGACAGTGTCTCACGCTGTCGCCCAGGCTGCAGTGCAGTGGCATAATCTTGGCTCACTGCAATCTCCGCCTCCCGGGTTCAAGCGATTTTCCTATCTCAGCCTCCTGAGTAGCTAGAACTACAGGCGTGTGCCACCACACCTGACTAATTTTTGTATTTCAGTAGAGATGGGGTTTCACCATGTTGGCCAGGCTGGTCTCGAACTCCTGACCTCAAGTGATCCTCCTGCCTTGGCTTCCCAAAGTGCTGGGATTACAGGCATGAGCCACTGCACCTGGCCCCACTTATTAATTTTTTCAATCATTTATTATAATGGACTCGTGGATATTTATTTTACACTTCAAGTTATAATTCAATGCTAGTTTGCTTATTTTGTTGCTCTCATTGTCACAGCTTTGGCCACTGGGAACTTTCAGGTGGCTCCTGGGTCCCTGTGTCATTGCCCATCACTTTGTCTTCTGAGCACGTCCTTATTTCTGGCCCTATAAACTGCTCCAGCCTCATCTTGTCTATTTCCTCCTCCAGTCCTAGAATCAGCCATTTCTTCAAGAAGCCCCGGTTCTTTTTCTTGGAGAGTGGTCTCAGAGACCAAGGTCTGGGAGCTGGGTGTGCTTGTCCCTACTGGGCTGTTTCTGGTCTTCTCAGCCAACAGAGCAAGGAAGTATGTAGTGTACGCCAGTTGGTGTGTAATATACACACTGTCTATAGATAGTAACCTACCTAGTAACCATTGGTGTTGTGCGTCCTACTGATGTCTCTGCCGCTAGTGGCACCTCTCGCCCCCCCGACGCTTGCTGATTGTAACCTCCCCTCCTGCAGTGAGGATGCGGCCCCATCGTCTGCTGTCCCTGGTTTAGCTCCTGTGTGTGTGTAAGGTGTGTAAGGTGGTGTCACAGTGGATAACCCAAACCCCATGGGAAGAACACCACCAATGCTGTGCTATGCTCTGGGACAGCCCCTCTGCACGGGCCCCACTCCTGCCCACGGCTCCTCGGGACAGCCCCTCTGCACAGGCCCCACTCCTGCCCAGGGCTATTAGGAAGAGCCCCTCTGCCTTTAGGCTGACAGGCCCCACTCCTGCCCGGGGCTACTCGGAACAGTCCCTCTGCACGGGCCCCACTCCTGTCCAGGGCTGCTTGGACAGCACCTCGCCCTCCACCTCTGATTTTATTTCTAACTTAACATCTGTGAGTGAGGCTGAACATCTTTTCTTTTCTTTTCTTTTTTTTTTTTTTTGAGAGGGAATCTTGCTCTGTCGCCCAGGCTGGAGTGCAGTAGCGCAATCTCGGCTCACTGCAACCTCCGCCTCCCAGTTCAAGTGATTCTCCTGCCTCAGCCTCCTGAGTAGCTGGGATTACAGGTGCGTGCCACCATGCCCGGCTAATTTATATATATATATCTTTTTAGTAGAGACAAGGTTTCACCATGGTGGCCAGGCTGGTCTCAAACTCCCGACCTCAGATTATCCGCCCACCTCGGCCTCTCAAAGTGCTGGGATTACAGGCATGAGCCACCGCACCCGGCCACATCTTTTCATATTTTTAAGAGCCGTGTATATTTCCTTTTCTATGAATTGTCCATGTTCTTTGCTGATTTTTCTATTTTTTCTTTTTTTTTTTTTTTCAGAGACAGGGTCTCACTGTGTTGCCCAGGTTGGAGTGCAGTGACACTATCATAGCTCACTACAACCTCTAATTCCTGGGCTCAAGTGATCCTCCCACCTCAGCCTCCTGAGTAGCTGGGACTGTAGGTGCATGCCACCACGCCTGGCTAATTTTTTTATTTTTTGTAGAGATGGGGTTTCACCATATTGCTCAGGCTGGGCTTGAACTACTGGGATCAAGTGATCCACCCGCCTTGGCCTCCTAAAGTGTTGGGATTATAGGCATGAGCCACCACGCCTGGCCACAAATCACGTATTTAGACCCTCAGGCTGGCCCAAGGCCCCTGGTAAACAAAGGCACTTTCCTCAGGGACTTGGCGTCTGCCTCCCAGGGGTGGAGGGCTTGCAGTCCCTGCCGCATGGGTGGCTTCTGCCTGCTGCCCCTTCTGCGTCTCTTCAGCTCCTCCAGCAGCCTCCAGGTCACCAAGCCTGTGCTCAGCCCCTTGTCAATCCTCTCCTCACTGACCCCTTTTCAGGGTCTCTCTTTTGGGCACTTGCTGTCTGATGGGCACTGCCCAGGCTTCCCAGAAGGCATCTTGTTTCTCCTAGAAGGATGGAGGCCTCCATGGGGCCCTTCCTCTCCTGCTGTTGTGCTCCCCACACCCTGCCTTCTGACCTCCCGAACACCTTTCCAGCGCCCAGTTTGGGGCCCTGGGAGCACAGCCCAGCAGGGATTGAATGAGGAATTGCACAGGGCCTCTGTGGCCCCAGCGTGGAGAACGGGGCGGCGGCTGTGTCTTGTATTGGGTGTTAGCTTTTGCTCTCTGGTAGTCACTGTCTGTAGCCTGGTCTGGAAGGTATGACCAAGCCCGTGAGTACTTTCTCTGGAAGAATGGTGGCGCCCACGCGCTCGTGGGATTTCCACCCCCAGACCTCACAGTGGCCTCTGTCTGGCCTCCTTTAACCGGCTCTGCTGCCGCCGAGCTGGGCTCCCTGCCTGCACTTTCTGTTCAGCTATTTTAGACCATGGTTTCCTGACCAGGAAATGCCCGTAACAAGTGATTGGGGTGTCCTGGTGGGGTGCATGTGTGTGGCTGCTTTCCTGGAGCCTTTTTTTTTTTTTTTGGTCTTTTTTTGAAGTTGGGTTGTTTTCAGCTTAAGGATTCAGATTTAAAAATAATTCTGAAAGTTCATAGGTCTCTTTTCCTGGGAAACTGGAGACCCGAGGTCCCATCCTGTGGTGGCATGGGCACCTGGCCAGGATCTATATCACTGGTCGCCGTGGCATCCAGTGGCATCCGGTGGTGTTCCCCAGACCGTTTCCCACTGGACTGTGAGCCCTTTCCCCTGAAATGTTTGATTTGGAGGGTTTTTTGTTTTTGTTTTTTGACGGAGTCTCGCTCTGTCTCCAGGCTGGAGTGCCGTGGCCCAATCTCGGCTCACTGCAACCTCCGCCTCTCAGGTTTAAGCAATTCCCCTACCTCAGCCTGCTGAGTAGCTGGGACTACAGGCACCCGCCACTATGCCCAGCTAATTTTTGTATTTTTAGTAGAGACGGGGTTTCACCATGTTGGCCAGGATGGTCTTGATCTCCTGACCTCGTGATCCACCCGCCTCGGCCTCCCAAAGTGCTGAGATCACAGGCGTGAACCACCGCGCCCGGCGGTCTCCATCTCTTAACCTGGTAATCTGCCCACCCCGGCCTCCCAAAGTGCTGGGATTACAGGCGTGAGCCACTGCATCTGGCCGATTTGGAGGGTTTTTAAGCCTACAGGAAAGTCAGGGAGCGTAGCGTAAGGTACTTATGAGTGCCACTTTCCCGAGCGCCACTTCCCCAAGCGCTACTTCTCCGAGCGCTCTGATCCTCGCTTAGCGTCCGCTTCTCCGAGCGCTCTGATCCTCGCTTAGCGTCCGCTTCTCCGAGCGCTCTGATCCTCGCTTAGCGTCCGCTTCTCCGAGCGGTCTGATCCTCGCTTAGCGTCCGCTTCTCCGAGCGCTCTGATCCTCGCTTAGCGTCCGCTTCTCCGAGCGCTCTGATCCTCGCTTAGCGTCCGCTTCTCGGAGCGGTCTGATCCTCGCTTAGCGTCCGCTTCTCCGAGCGCTCTGATCCTCGCTTAGCGTCCGCTTCTCCGAGCGCTCTGATCCTCGCTTAGCGTCCGCTTCTCCGAGCGCTCTGATCCTCGCTTAGCGTCCGCTTCTCCGAGCGGTCTGATCCTCGCTTAGCGTCCGCTTCTCCGAGCGCTCTGATCCTCGCTTAGCGTCCGCTTCTCCGAGCGCTCTGATCCTCGCTTAGCGTCCGCTTCTCCGAGCGCTCTGATCCTCGCTTAGCGTCCGCTTCTCCGAGCGCTCTGATCCTCGCTTAGCGTCCGCTTCTCCGAGCGCTCTGATCCTTGCTTAGTGTCTGCTGCGCAGCCTCCCCTCCACCCCTTTCCACGGACCTGGAACCGCTGGGCAGTTGGCTGCACTCACTACCAGGTCTTGCAGCACCTGGTCTTGGTTGCGTCTCCTTAGTCCTCATCGTGACCCCACAGAGTCGCTCTGGGTGCCCACCCTGCTGACGGAGGAGACCGCGGGGTGAAGGGTCCCCAGGGGTTCTCATCCACTGAAGGTGGGAGCTCGCGGTTCCTGGGAGCTGGTGGGTGACAGTGAGCAGCTCCCTTCCCGCCCTCCCTCTGCCAGGGGTGAAGGGCTCCTGCTTGATGCGGGGACGGGGAAGCTCTTAGAGGTCGGGCCTGAGCCCCCCTCGCGCTGCCCTGCTGTCCAGTGCTCCTGCCCCTCTGACCACCCACTGCCTTTGAGGCCACTTGGGCCACCTGTAACCCTAGGGCCACCCCTCTGTTCTCTGACTGCGTTTCTCCAAAGCTGGCGGAGGCTGAGCAAACTGGTGAGTGAGCCTTTGCTGCATAATTAACTGTTTTCTCCCTTTTTGCAGGAGGCCACAGGGCCTGGGGGCTCCCAGGCCATCAACAACCTTAGAAGATCCAACAGCACCACGCAGGTCAGCCAGCCTCGGAGCGGCTCCCCCAGGTAACCCCTAAGGCCCTTGGATAACCCTGGCCCCTTCCCGGGACCTCAGGTGCCCCACCCTGGCCTGCTCCTCCCTGCCTCTGCTCTGCCCTTCCTCCAGCCTCCTGGGTCCCGGGCCCTTGCTGGCTAGTGAGGCCTGGAGTGACCTCACGGGCCAGCTTTGTGTCCCAGGCCTCCTCTCGCATTGGGGCGGGAGGCCTGAGGCAGACACTCTCCTGCACTGCATCCCTCCCTTCCTCCTTGCTGTCCCGGCGGCTGCTGGGACCCTGCCTGAGGGCTCCGCTGAAGCCCTTTCCACCTGCCCTCTGAATGTCAAAAGCTGTCATTTGCGAGAGGGGCAGCACTGTGACCCTTCTGAACCCCCACGCTGTGCGCCCCTGTTCCCACCTTTGCCCACTTAAACCCTGCCACTGTCCCTTGCGGCCTCCAAACCAGCGGGCTGGGGAGGAGCTGCCTCAATGGCCCCAGTGGGGGTGTTGTGGGGAGTGGAGCCGGTGGTGGCCAGCAGCCTCCGGGGGGACATCCTCTAGCCCAGAGTGGTGGGCGAGGTCCTGACACCACCTCCCACCAGGCATTGTCCCCGAGCGAGCAGGGTGCTCCTGTGGGGCCGTGGACCTAATGAAGGCTGAGTTCTGGGTCACCAAGGGCCCCGGGTGGACCCTTCCTGGGAAGACCAAGAACTGCGGCCACCACACCCTATCCAGTGCAGCCTCCGGGAGCCGCTCTTAGCTCAGCAACTAGCTTCGTGGAGTCCCACCAAGCAAGGGACTGCCAAGGCCAGCTGGTGTGTGTGTGTGGTATGTGTGTGGTGTGTGGGTGTGTGGCATAAGTGTGTGTGTGTGGTGTGGTGTGTGGGTGTGTGGTGTGAGTGTGGTGTGTGTGGGGGGTGTGTGGTGTGTGGGTGTGTGGTGTGAGTGGTGTGTGTCTGGGGTGTGGTTTGTGAGTGGTGCATGTGTGGTGTGTGTGTGTGTATGGGGTGTGTGTGGTGTATGGTGTGTGGTGTGTGTGTTATGTGGTGTGTGTGGTGTATGTGTGTGTGTGGTGTGTTTGGTGTGTCACCACCCTCAGCCAGGCCACGGTTTTGATCCCACCTGATCAGTTGTGTTCGGCGCAGCTGTGGCCTCCCATGGGGCAGGGTGGCAGTGGGGATTGGCCACCAGCCCATGCCTTCCAGCTGTGCTTCCCCTTCTGCTCTGAGCAGCAGCAGGTGTGGCTCTTGGTTCACAGGGAAGAGGGTGGCAGCAGAGGCAGCCACGGTATTTAAGGCCCTCGGTGGGCAGCCGGGTGTGCAGGCTCACACCTGCAATCCCAGCACTCTTGGAGGCCAAGGTGAGAGGATCTCTTGAGCCCAGGAGCTCGAGACCAGCCTGGGCAACATAGCCGAAACCCTATCTCTACTAACATAAAAAAAAAAAAAAGAAAAGAAAAAACAAATAAGGCCCTTGTCCCCAGAAACTGTGATCGGTGTGACTGATGAAGCTTCTGATGGAAGCTCACCCTGAACGCCCAGCTCCACTGAGGAACCCTGGCCAGGCACAGTGGTCAGATGGGGGCTTTGGGCCTAGAAACAGAGTTGCTGCTAGTGCCTCAGCCCCTCTGTCCTCGCGGGACCTGCCTGGTCTGTGTGCCTAGCGTCGGCTTCCCGGCTGGTGACTCTTTCCTTGTGTGCCGCCCTCTCTCGGATGCAGGCCAACGGAGCCCACAGACTTCCTGATGCTCTTCGAGGGCAGCCCCAGTGGGAAAAAGAGGCCTGCCAGCCTGAGCACAGCCCCCAGCGAGAAGGGAGCCACCTGGAACGTCCTGGTAAGGTGGTGCATGCGGCCCCACGTCCTGGTCTCTGTGATGGGATTGTGGCCTGGTTCCTAATTTGTTCTCACTGCCTTTGCAAAAGGGCACTGCAGGGAGGGTGTCAAGCTTAGATCTGACATGGCAGACCCCAGGACATCCACCTGTCTGTATGGGAAGTTGGTGGCTCCTCCCGTTTGTGGGAGAGGCAGGGAAGGGATGGGGTGTCTGGGTGTGTGCGGGCGGTGTCATGGGCTGAGCTGTCTGACAGGATGACCAGCCCCGGGGCTTCACCTTGCCATCCAATGCCCGGAGTTCCAGTGCCCTTGACTCACCAGCGGGCCCGCGGAGGAAAGAATGCACCGTGGCCCTGGCCCCCAACTTCACTGCTAACAACAGGTACGACCTGTGCAGGTGCCCACGACGGGCACCAGTGGGAAGCTCCTGGAGTGGAGACTGTGTGTGTCTTTGTCTTGTTTATGGCTCGTTCAGGGTGCTTTGGAATGAATGAATGAGTGAGTGAGTGAAAGAATGGCTTTCATTCCCAAGGGCATAGGCAGGAGGCTGCCAGGTGGCGTCTTGCACATAAGGGGCTCTCGGCCCAGGCTTTGCTCTTAAAGAGTTTCAGGCCTTGGGGAGGCTCACATGGGGCTGAGAGGGTGGGGCCTGGGGAGGGGCCTTGGCTGAGGAGGCTTGTAGGGGGTCCTGGGGAAGCTCCAAAAGAAATAGACTCCAGGCAGCTGCCTCTGAGCCTTCAAGGAGAGTGTGGGCTCCTTGGGCTAGGCCTCAGGGGACCCATGAGTGGAAGGGATTGGGGACACATTTTTCCTCCGGCATTTAGAGCCTTTGCCAAGGGAATAGTCTCAGGGGAGAGACCGTGTGGTTATTCTCCAGGGTTGGCACAGGAAGAATTCTTGCCTTTTTTTTTTTGAGATGGAGTCTTGCTCTGTCACCAGGCTGGAGTGCGGTGGCATGATCTCGGCTCACTGCAACCTCTGACTCCCTGGTTCAAGCGATTCTCCAGCCTCAGCCTCCCGAGTAGCTGAGATTATAAGCACGTGCCACCACGCCACCACGCCCGAGTAATTTTTGTATTTTTTTCGTAGAGACAGGGTTTCACCATGTTGGCCGGGATGGTCTCGATCTCCTGACCTCATGATCCACCCGCCTTGGCCTCCCAAAGTGCTGGGATTATAGGCGTGAGCCACTGCACCCAGCTCAATTCTTGCTTTTTAATTTATTTTTAAGTTAGAGGCAGGTTCTCATCTGTCACCCTGACTGGAGTCCACGATCATAGCTCACTGCAGCCTCTACCTCCTGGGCTCAAGAGATCCTCCCCCTTCAGCCTTCGGAGCAGCTGGGACCACAGGTGCACAACACCACTCCTGGCTAATTTTTAAATTTGTTGTAGAGATGAAGTCTCGCTGTGTTGCCCAGGCTGGTCTCAAACTCCTGGGCTCGGGCAATCCTCCTTCCTTGACCTCCCCAAAAGCCCTGGGATTACAGGTTTGAGCCCCCACACCTGGTCCTAAAATTTACCTTAGTATTTATCAGTTATATGTTCATACACAGCCAAAATGTCAAACAGCACCATAGGCTTAAAATGTGCTGCCCCTCCTACCCTCCCCACCCCTGCCCCTCCTACCTCCCCTCCCGCTGCCCCTCCTACCCCCGCGCCGCCCCTCCTACCCCCCCACCCCTCCTACCCCCATCCCGCTGCCCCTCCTACCCCCCACCCACTGCCCCGCTGCCCCTCCTACCCCACTGCTGCCCCTCCTACCCACACTCTTGCCGCCCCTCCTACCCCTGGCGCCTGCCCCTGAGGAGCAGCATCTTTTCAAGCTATTTCTTCTGGTGTTTTTTTGTTTGTTTGTTTTTGTTTTTGAGACGAAGTCTCGCTCTGTCGCCCAAGCCAGAGTGCAGTGGTGTGATCTCGGCTCACCGCAACCTCCGCTTCCCGGGTTCCAGTGATTCTCTTGCCTCAGCCTCCTGGGTAGCTGGGACTACAGGCGTGTGCCACCACACTAGGCTAATTTTTGTATTTTTAGTAGAGACGGGGTTTCGCTATGTTGGCCAGACTGGTCTCGAACCCCTAACCTTGTGATCCACCCGCCTCAGCCTCCCAAAGTGCTAGGATTATAGGTGTGAGCCACTGCGCCCGGCCATTTAGTGTTTTATTGAAAACATTTATGAATACATGCCATGCTGCTCATTCCTGAACAGCTCAAAATCAGTCCTGGTAGGTTATTCACACCACCCAAATTGGCAGATGAGCCGCGCTCCAAGAACCAGCTGTTGAACGTTTGTGAGTGCAGGCTGGTGCCAGGTGCAGGCCAGGCTGGTGCTGGGCGTGGGCTGGTGCCTGGTGCGGTCCGGTGCAGGTGTGGTCCGGTGCAGGTGTGGTCCGGTGCAGGTGCAGGCTGGTGCAGGTGTGGTCCGGTGCAGGTGCAGGCTGGTGCAGGAGCAGGTTTCGTGCATTGCTCTGCTCTCTGCTTATCCTCATTCCCATCATGTTCTGTTGGTTTGATTTTGGGCCTCTGACATGTTGGTCTTTGCCCAGATGTCTTGGTGGTTCTTGTTAAAAGGGAGGCCCTAGGAGTTAGCTGGAAGCCTATTGCCTGGTGGCTTCACTTCGGGGCACTGGTGCAGAGAGCAAGGCATTGTTGAGTATCCCCACCTACCAGTGTCTGTGGGACCCTCCTCACAGGCTGAGTCTCTCCAGAGACAAACCCCCAGCCCGCCCCAGGGTTCGAGTCCTGGCTGCCCGGTTGCACTGCTGGGGAGGGGTGGCGGTGGCTGTCCTGGGTGAATCACCCATCTCTGCCCCACCTGCAGGGCCAGCTGGGGAGGGCAGGGTGGATGCTAGCGGCTCAAGTGAGGGAAGGGGCTTTGCCGAGCAGCCAGATTCTCCCCTTTGCCTCAAAGCCTGTCCATGCCTGTGGGAGAACAGTGTGTCTCCGTGGGGGCACGGGACCTGCCAGCTCCTCGCCCTCCCTCCCCACAATGCCTGGACCCTCCCTTGTGTCCCAGTTGCTCTCTGCTGGCCCTTCTGTTTCTAATCCTCCAGGTCTGCAGATGCCCCTTTCCTGCAGTCTCCCCATCCCTCCTGTCAGCCTCGGTATTGGTCCTGTCCTCCCGCCTTCCTGCGGGTCTGCGGAGGGGCAGAGGCAGAGAATGTGGCTTCCATCCGTCGTGTGGGATGGGGCTTCGCTTCTGTGAGTCTGCTCTGGAAGCTGATTGTGAGCTGCTGGCCTGAGCTGCTCCCCCCGTCTTGGGCACGTCCAGCGTTCATGCCTCGATTCTATCCCCTGCCCCGTGGGAGCCCCTGGTCCAGCTTTCCTGTCCTGGGAAGAACCCCATCATCAGGGCGCAGGCTGTGGAAGGGGCCTGGGGACACTGGACGACAATGCTGCCAGCACGTAGCAAGCACTGAAGGCCTTTGTTCCCTCCCAGCCCGTGCTGCGAGTGTAGCTCTGAGATCTCAGGCGTCCCCTCCAGAGGCCTGACCATTCCTGTCTCTCTTCCGGCCTGGCAGGAGCAACAAGGGAGCAGTGGGCAACTGCGTCACCACCATGGTGCACAACCGCTACACCCCCTCGGAGAGGGCGCCTCCGCTCAAGAGCTCCAACCAGACTGCCCCCTCCCTCAAGTAAGGTCTTCTGGGGAGGCCGCGGGGCTGCGGGGTCCGACCTCAGTTAGGGCATGTAGTCAGTGCACCTGGGGTCCGACCTCGGTCAGGGCACGCGGTCAGTTCACACAGGGTTCTACCTTGGTCAGGGCATGCGGTCAGTGTGCATGGGGTCCAACCTCGGTCAGGGCACGTGGTCAGTGCACGTAAAACCGCGTGGAGCAGCTGTGAACCGGGCTCCCCATCCACGTCCGCCGCCCTCTTCTGTTCTTGGGTCGGCAGCTTCCCACAGAGAGAAAACAGCCCAGATGTGGCACAGTGAGGTCTGGGGCTCACCCTGAGGTGGGGCCCCCAGGAGGAAGCCAAGGCTTGTGCAGAGCCCAGAAGGCGTCACAGCGGGGGTGGACCGAGCGGGGCAAAGGAGCCCCCGAGTCCACCACCACATGGTCTTGCGGGGATTGGGGATGGCCTTGGGGTTGCTCAGGGGTCCCTCAGGCTCTGGACTCCTGTGACTTTTGGGAACTTTCTCAATGGAATTTTTTTTTTTTTTGAAATGGAGTTTCATTCTTGTTGCCCAGGCTGGAGTGCAGTGGCATGATCTCGGCTTACTGCAACCTCTGCCTCCCAGGTTCAAGCGATTCTCCTGCCTCAGCCTCCCGTGTAGCTGGGAGTACAGGTGCCCGCCACCATGCCGAGCGAATTTTTTTGTGTTTTTAGTAGAAATGGGGTTTCACCATGTTGGCAAGGCTGGTCTCGAACTCGTGACCTCAGGTGATCCGCCCGCTTTGGCCTCCCAAAGTGCTGGGATTACAGGTGTGAGCCAGGGCACCCAGCCTCTCAATGTAACTTTAGTGAGAAGTTTTTAAATGCAAAGAGCTCATTATCCTGGGTACCAGTGAGTGGGACCTTGTCAGGGCACAGGTGGTCCAGAGGCCAGGATGTGGCACGGGAGAGCCGGCCTCGCACCTGCCGCTGTCCCCCTCTGCCCCGGCTGCCAGCCTGCCAGCACCACTTCCAGGCTCAGTCCTGGGACTTCCGGGAGTGGGCACCTGCTGCCTGTGGGCAGAGCTGTTCCCCTGGGCGGTGAGACGAGGGTGTTTTCTTCTTACCTGTCAGCAACATCATCAAGGCAGCCACCTGTGAGGGCAGTGAGAGCAGCGGCTTTGGGAAGCTGCCGAAGAATGTCTCCAGTGCCACCCACTCAGCCCGGAACAATACTGGGGGCAGCACGGGCTTGCCCAGGCGGAAGGAGGTGACGGAGGAGGAGGCTGAGAGGTGACCGATCTTGGGGCGGTGGGGGGGGGCCTGAGCCTAGAACACAGAGGTGGGCAGGCATCAGGGTCTGGGGGGCTCACACCTCCGAGGATAGAAATTTCCATTTAATAATTGTTTTAATTTAATTTTTTTTTTTTTTGAGACAGAGTCTCGCTCTGTCGCCCAGGCTGGAGTGCAGTGGCGCGATCTCTGCTCGCTGCAAGCTCTGCCTCCCGGGTTCACACCATTCTCCTGCCTCAGCCTCCCGAGTAGCTGGGACTACAGGTGCCCGCCACCACGCCTGGCTAATTTTTTGTATTTTTAGTAGAGACGGGGTTTCACCGTGTTAGCCAGGATGTTCTCGATCTCCTGACCTCGTGATCCGCCCGCCTCCGCCTCCCAAAGTGCTGGGATTACAGGCGTGAGCCACCACCCCCGGCCTGTTTTAAAATATTGAGACCGAGCAGACCCCATGTGGTGTGGTTCTATTTACATAAAACACCAAGCAAAGGCAAGTTTATCACAGGAGGTCGAAGGCTGGTGTAGGGGTGGCAGAGAGGGCTCCTCCAGGGGCAGTGGAACATTCCAGAACTGCACTGTGCTGATGGTCACACAACTCTAGATTTGCTAAAAATCATTGACTTGTACACTGAAAATGGGTAGATTTTATAGTATGGAAATTGTACCTCAGTAAAACTGTTAATTAAAACAACATTAAAGGCAAAGAAGATACAGAACTGAAAAAAGCCAACAACACCCAAAGCTCCAGGGGCTGTGGGCGGAGCCTCCTGTGATGATGACTGTTGGGGGCTGTGCCCCTGCCGCTTGCCCCTGGGGAGCTGGAGGGGCTGTGGGCGGAGCCTCCTGTGACCATGACAGTCGTTTCTTGTCAGGACAGTCGCGGGGGTACCTCCCTGCCTGGACTTTCGGAGCCTGCTCCTGGCGGAGCCGTCACCTACCCTACCGCCCAGTTAGGGCTAGGGAGACCAGGCCTGTAGACGCGGTGGGTGGCACGAGGGAAGGGGGACCAGAAGCCCGCAACCCCTTGAAGCCCCCCAGTTCTGCCCGGGGCAGACTGCTCCCGAGCTAGGGCTCACACGTTCTGGGTTCTCTGTTAGTGCCTTTGCTGAGAGAATCCACACATGGTCCCGAGAGCCAAGGTGAAGCATTTTTTTTTTTGCTTAATCAGTTTTACTTAGTATAATTTGTATACAATAGAAGGTGCCCATTGTAAGTGTGCAGTTCCATGAGATTCCACCAGGGTGTATAGTGCTGTCTGTGGACACAGCAGACCAAGATAAGGAAACGGCCCAGCACCACCAGGCTTCCCTCGAGCTCCTTCCCCGCCCAGATGCCAGCAGCCACCAGTCTGTTCCCTCATAGCCCTGCCTGTTCCGACCACCCTCTCTGTGGAGCCACGGCCTGTGGTCTGCACTGGCCTGAGTCCCGGGCCTGTTGCCTGTGGGTAGGGTCCCGCCATCCAGTATTCACGCTGTAGCCAGGTCATGGGCATTTGAACTCTTCCCACTTCCTGGCAATTGTAAATAAGGCCACACAGGCCTGCGTGGGTAGGCGTTTCCTCTCCCCTGGGCACCTTCCCAGGAAGAAGGTTTTGGGTTTTAGTGGAGCTGGTCCAGGCGGCTGGTCCTGCCATGTGAAAATGGTCCAGGTGGGCTGGTCCTGCCTTGTGAAAAGGGCTACTTGAGTGCAGCCGCCGGCTTCTCTCTTCCCCGGCTCGACCTTCCACCAGCAGCCAGCTGGGTCCTGCCGGGGCGCTGGTCCTGTCTTGGCCCTGAGTCCTGCTCTCCGGGCAGGTTTATCCACCAGGTGAACCAGGCCACTGTCACCATCCAGCGCTGGTACCGGCACCAGGTGCAGCGGCGCGGAGCAGGAGCTGCCCGCCTGGAGCACTTGCTTCAGGCCAAGCGGGAGGTCAGTGTGGGCGTCTCAGTCACTCCATGCTCCCCCGGGGGGTCTGGCCCAGAATCCCAGGGGTTTGAGTTTCTGGGACAGGTGGAATCAAAGCCTAGGATTGCTCGTGGGCCCCGTCTCTGGGTGCAGCATCCTTCTTGACCCTGGGTCCCCGCGGACAGTCAGGGTGGTCCTCACTGGCGGTCCTCAGGGCCTGGGTGTCAGGAAACGCCTGCTGGGTCCATCCCAGGCTGGAGAGTCTCAGGAGGACGTTCTGTGGGGGCAGAGCTGTCTCCCCCACGCCAGAACTGTTGGCCACCTGCGACGTAGGGCTCATCCTCTGTAGAGCAGAGAAATGGCAGGTTCAAGGTCCTGGTGGGGTTTCACTTTCCCTGCTGGCCCTGAGATTCCACGAACTCTAGGGGACTCCAGGGCGTTGTGGGGAAACCTCTGGTCTGGGTCTGGATTCCGTCTTCCAGATGTAAACGCCACATGGCACCGGCTTCTTTGGCAGGAGCAGCGGCAGCGGTCAGGCGAGGGGACCCTCTTGGACCTGCACCAGCAGAAAGAGGCAGCCAGGAGGAAGGCCCGGGAGGAGAAGGCACGCCAAGCCAGGCGAGCAGCCATTCAGGTGCTGACCGCGCAGGGACCACTGAGCAGCACCGTGGCCCAGGCCTGACCGTGCGGGGCTGCTGCTGGGGCTCCCTGGGCCCCGGGACACTTAGCCTCAGGGCAGCTTGGCTGTGGAGCCTGGGGTCGTCCTCTCCCAGGGACAGTGCTCAGCGATGCTCCCACTGCAGGAGCTGCAACAGAAACGAGCCCTGAGAGCCCAGAAGGCGAGCACTGCCGAGCGTGGGCCACCTGAGAATCCCAGGGAGACCAGAGTGCCAGGAATGCGGCAGCCTGCTCAGGAGCTGTCCCCCACACCAGGCGGCACTGCCCACCAGGCCCTCAAGGCCAACAATACTGGTGAGAGTGGCTCCACGCCCGCCCTGCTCTGGGGGGTGGACTGCAGCCAGGAAGGAAGTGCAGCCCTTGTGGACCTCCTCTCGGCCTCCTGTGCTGCTGCCCATGTTGGCGGCCCCAGTCCTCGGAGTTAGGGGCCTTGGCCCCCAGCTGACCTGACGAGGGTGCCGAGACCTTGACAATCAAATGGTCCTGGACGTAGGGATCCCTACAGAGTAGAAGGCCCGGAAGGGAGGGGTGGCACTCATCCTCCACAGCTCCACACCCAGAAGGCCGTGGCTCCCCAGCGGCTCCTCTGCTTCTGGGGTCGCCTCCGCCTCCCCCATGCCTGGCTCCTTCCCGGGGGTGCCTCCAGAGTTGCTGCCCGCCCCGGGATGCTCCCTGTGGAATGGTGCTGTGTTCTGCTGTGCAGGTGGTGGCCTCCCTGCTGCAGGCCCCGGAGACCGCTGCCTGCCCACCTCCGACTCATCCCCAGAACCACAGCAGCCTCCAGAGGACAGGACGCAGGTCTGAGCACAGCTGTCCTTCACTCCATCATGGTTTTTGGCTTTAAGGGCCATGTCTGTGCCAGGGGTGTCCTGAGCTGAGCTTCTCCCAGCCCCTCCTCTGCTCTAGGGGCCACTTAAGCTCAGAGAGGCCACCCAGGAGGTGTCTTCTTGCTCTGATGCATGGTGCTGGCTGCCTCTTGGGGAGCCTTTGCTGGGGTGGATCCAGTTGGGTTTTTGCAGATGTCCTGGGGTGGGGGGCCTTGCATCCTCATCCACAAAAGAGGAGCTTCCGGCTCTGAGGGGTGACCTGACAGCCAAGGCTCCCAGGCTGCTCAATGGTGGGGCCAGGTGGCTGCACTCCTGTTTTCCTGGAGTGGGGCACTGGGAGGAGTCCCCTGGTGGCTGGAGCTGCTCTGGGTTTGAGCAGCTGCAGAGACCGGGTGGGAAGGTCTGAGCCCTGGCCTCACCTTCCTGGGGCTGAATGTCGGGACTGGGGAGCTCCCGCGGCGCCTTTGGGGCTCTGCGGTTGGCCTCCTATGTGGGGGCTGCTCTCAGCTACCAGCAGCCTTGCTGCATCTGTCTCCCTGCTCTTTTGCAGGACGTTCTTGCCCAGGATGCAGCTGGGGACAACCTGGAGATGATGGCCCCGAGCAGGGGGAGCGCCAAGTCCAGGGGGCCACTGGAGGAGCTGCTGCACACACTGCAGCTGCTGGAGAAGGAGCCGGACGTGCTGCCCCGCCCCAGGACCCATCACAGGGGCAGATACGCCTGGGCCAGCGAGGTGACCACGGTGTGCGCCCGCCCTGCACAGTCTGTCCACCCACGCCATTCACACAGAGCATGCGGTGGCTGTGGGGGTTGGGAAAATGGGGATGCCACAGGCTCCTCCTGGCTTTAGTCACAACCCTCCCTCCCAGAGCCCAGCCTCAGCTGCCACCTCTGCCTTTGGGGAACCCAAGTCCTCAGGCTGCCCTGACAGCCCCCGATGCTGGGCTCCTGTCCCACAGGAGGATGACGCCAGCTCTCTGACAGCTGACAACTTGGAGAAATTTGGAAAACTCAGTGCGTTCCCCGAACCTCCTGAGGATGGGACGCTGCTATCGGAGGCCAAGCTACAAAGCATCATGAGCTTCTTGGACGAGATGGAGAAGTCTGGGCAGGACCAGCTGGACTCCCAGCAGGAGGTGGCCCCTCACCAGCCCGCACCCGGCCCCCAGTGGGAGGAGGCCCCTCACGAGCCTGCACCTGGCCCTCGGGGGAGGAGGCCCCTCACCAGCCCGCACCTGGCCCCCAGGGGGAGGAGGTCTCTCGCCAGCCCCCACCCGGCCCCCAGCAGGAGGTGGTCCCTCACCATGTACCCACCTAGTTATGCAGCACCCCCCACGGGTCTCTCAGGGTGGAGGTGGCAGGGCCCGCATTCCCCATACTGCCCCCACCTACCCGCTGCCCCGAGCTGCCTCCACGAGCCCATATGTGTGGATAGTTCAGCCCTCTGGAGCCCTGCTGTCCTCTGGGTTGGTTTGTCCTGGGTGAACACTAGCGGCCAGGCTAAATGGAGCAGTGACGTGAACTTTATTGTCACAGGGCAGGAAGCTGGGCAGCATAGAACTTTTTAAATGGTTTGTTTTTTATTCCTGAGGCCACGGCCCCCATTTCCTGTACTGAGCAATGAAAACGACCTCTGCTGGGCCGCCTGCCACCTGCCCTCCGGCTTCCCACGGGCTCCCGTGTGCAGCAGCCCCTCTGTCCCCAGAGGGCAGGGCCGCAGGGGCATCGTGTCAGGTCCTTGGCTGCCCCCCGTCCTCTGCCGCTTCCGCCTGACGCTCGGCTGTGTCTGCAGGGGTGGGTGCCGGAGGCGGGGCCGGGGCCCCTGGAGCTGGGGTCCGAGGTGAGCACGTCTGTGATGCGGCTGAAGCTGGAGGTGGAGGAGAAGAAGCAGGCCATGCTGCTGCTGCAGAGAGCGCTGGTAACGCTGCTGGCACTGCTAATCCCGGGCCCTGCTAGCCTCCTACCTGCTGAGGCCAGGCCCACCGGTCCTAGCGCTTCCCTCCTCTGCCCACACCCTGCAGGCGCAGCAGCGAGACCTCACGGCCCGGCGGGTCAAGGAGACAGAGAAGGCGCTGAGCCGGCAGCTGCAGCGGCAGAGGGAGCACTACGAGGCCACCATCCAGCGGCACTTGGCCTTCATTGACCAGGTGAGCGGCCCGGGGAGCGCAGAGGCCCGGACCCAGCGCGTGGCTCATGGAGACTTCCAGAGCCAGGGGCTTCCCACTGCCAGGGAGCTTCTTCCTCTGTTGGGTGTCACACGGGTGTCCGCTGGACGCATTCCAAGCCTTTCCCATGCCATTCCCAGCCATGCATGCCCTGGAGAGGGCACTCCTGTCTTTATCCAGAGCCGCCCCGTGTGAGTGTAGTGGGGTGTCCTGCCGGCCCCTCAGCTCAGTCGCAGCCCCGGTTGGCTCCTGTTCTGAAGAGAAGAGACCTAGAGTTGGTCTGGGGTGTGTGAGAATAGGGGCCTCCAGGGCTGCTTGATAGTTGTCACAGGTGTGTCCTGACCTGGGGTCTGGCCTGGGGCCGGCAGTGAGGCTGGTGTGGTCCTGACACCCTTTGGCAGACAGTGAGCCTCCTCCAGGGCTGGGTGATGGCCTCGGCAGAGCTACCCTCATCCCAGGAAGACCCTGACATCACTGCAGGGGGTGGGCTGGGGCTTCTCTGACATTCGCCGGGTCCCCCAGCTGAGGACAGGACGGCGGATGCAGGCCTGGGCCCGTGTTTGCACACGTGCCCCCCCACTGGCCCCAGGGTCCATCCACAAACCTAGGAGGGGCAGCCCCAGGGGAGGGCTGCTGTTAGCCTCCCTCGGAGGCTGGGAGGGTCTCCTCCATCAGGGGTCCTGCTGGGCTGGGGCCTTGGTGTAGCACCTCACCTCCGGTCCCCAACACAGCTGATTGAGGACAAGAAGGTCCTGAGTGAAAAGTGCGAGGCTGTGGTGGCCGAGCTGAAGCAGGAGGACCAGAGATGCACCGAGCGTGTGGCCCAGGCACAGGCGCAGCACGAGCTGGTGAGGCTTTGCTCCCTACTGCACGGCGTCCCAAGCCCGGCTCACAGGCCAGGCTCAGCTGGCACAGCCCCCAGAACAGGACCGGACTTGGAGTCCTCATTCCTGTCTCGGTGTGTCAGGGCCACAGCGGTGGGTGGGGCTGTCTGGGGGAGCACCGTGGCACCGAGCTGGTCCACTCCTGCCTCTCTAGCTGCCAGGCTCTGGGGCGGGGCCGTGGGCCTGCTGTCACAGATGTGGACGCACAGTCCCTGCCCGGCCACAGCACGGTAGCCGTGGACCCAGGAGCCTCTGCCTGGTCTGCCCCACTGCCAGGTCCTTGGGCCATGGGACCTGCTCTCTCTACTGACCAGGTGTCGGTGGAGCATTGACTCCCCGCCCCTTCCCGCTGTGTGAGCTCCCTGGGGGCCTCAGCCTCCCTGGCTATGCTTCCCACCAGCTTGGGCAGTGATGGTCCCGAGCCCAGGTTCTGGAGTGGGGCTTGGCACTGGCATTTTAAAATCCCTGCACGTGACTGTGGCTGACAGCCGGGGTTGAGGACTGCCAGTCCCATGGAAGAATGCAGGCTCTGGGGCCGTCCCGACAGGCAGCAGCACCCCTCTCTGGGGCAAGGCCTCTGCAGGCTGATGGCTGCCCTCCCATGTCTCAGGCCACCAAGGTGTGTGGCAGGGTGGGCCTGGGCCTCCAGCCTGGCCCCGGGCGCTGGGGAGGGCAGCAGTGGCTCTGTCTCGGGGCAGCACACCCAACCATGAGTGCCGGCCTTGTGCTGGTGGACCTGGAAGCCCGGCCCTGACTGTGCCCACAGGGTGGCAAAGGGACGGGGGTGTCCTTCGTGTCGTTTCCTCCTGCCCTGTTCTGCTCGTAGGAGATTAAAAAACTCAAAGAATTAATGAGCGCCACCGAGAAAGCCCGCCGGGAGAAGTGGATCAGTGAGAAAACCAAGAAGATCAAGGAGGTCACTGTCCGAGGTGGGCCCTCCCCTCCCATGAGCCGGCCAGGTGTGGGGTGGGTGCTGCGGCCAGGGCTTCTTTTGAGAGAGCCATAACTTCAGGCATTCATGTAGTCCGAGACCTTCCTGGGCAGAGGTGAACACTCATGCCCCAACCACCCCCGTCACGGCCTCCGCTGCGGCTTCTGCCGTGACCCGGGGGGCAGGTGGGCTCCACACAGGAGCCTGGCCCAGCCCCCAGCATCTAGGCAGTTGCCTGAAACGAGGGGGCTCAGTGCCTCACTTCCTCAGGGTTGGGCTAGGGGAGATTGGGAGTTTGTGGACGACTGTGGCACGTGGGCCCTGCCACGGGAAGCAGAGTGAGCCACAGGAGGAGGCAGGGGCAGGCAGGCGGATGGGGCAGGAGGCTGGTGGGTGTTGTGGTCTGAAGGGGCCTCGGACCCTTGGGTGATGTGCAGGGCTCCCCGAGGCCTGGTCCTCTCGCTCTGGACACCTGCCAGGGTGCCTGGGAGCCGTCAGTGGTAGCACCAGGAGTGTCAGGAGCCCTGAGCCCCACAGGCTGGGAGAGGCGCCGTGGCCCTGTGGGGGTCTCTTCCCCACCTCGTGGGCGTCAAGACTCAGCTGTGCTTCGGGTTGGATCCAAGGAGGCCCTGGGTGGGCGGGGTCCCCTCTGGGCCTGAGACAGGCTGGTCTTGTGCCAGGGTTGGACTTCCCGGGCCCACCCTAGCTGGACGTGGCCCTAGCTGGTGCCCCGCCCCCAGGTCTGGAGCCCGAGATCCAGAAGCTGATTGCAAGGCACAAGCAGGAAGTGCGGAGGCTCAAGAGCCTGCACGAGGCGGAGCTGCTGCAGTCGGATGAGCGGGCCTCGCAGCGCTGCCTGCGCCAGGCCGAGGAGCTGCGGGAGCAGCTGGAGCGGGAGAAGGAGGCGCTGGGCCAGCAGGAGCGCGAACGTGCTCGGCAGCGGTGGGTGGTGGCCCCAGGCCGGTGGGGCCAGGACCCTCAGGGCGGGGAGTCGGAATCCTCGAAGGCTGGAGTGGAGTTCCCATGTAGAGGTGGGCGAGGGTCTTAGTGCAGCATGCAGGGAGGACGCAGGGCCCTTGGCCCTGGAGTGGCCCTTGGGGGCCCAGCCTCAGCCGGGCCAGTGTCCTCGGGCTTGTGTCTGCAGTTCATGCCCGCCGAGGTCTGCAGGTTCTGCATGGGTGCACGGGTGTTTTCCCAGGGTCAGGGCTGGGAACCCCCACCAGACATCCACTCTTTCACAACTGGCCCCAGAGCAGCAACCCGTGGATAGGCGGCCTCGAGGCCCCTCCAGCTCTGACCTTGGGGCCCAGGGACGGTCTCTCTCATTCACTCCCTTGGCCTGGGGTCTGAGGGGTGACTGCTGCTCTTGCGTCCTGAGCCCTGGGGGCTGGGGACGTGCCCAGTGGTGGTCAGGATCTGCGGGCCACAGGGGGCAGTGGCAGCCCCTCCTGCACTGTCTGCGCCACCAGGACAGCCTGGAAGCCACCCTCTCCTATCCACCCTGTTGCCTGTCGTGGCTGGTCCTCCCCAGATGCAGCTTGGCTGGTCCCCCAGTCTCTCCTCGAAGGTGGGGTCAGGACGAGGCCCTGGCGCGAGCTTGCTCAGGTCACGGAGCCAGGCACCTGGCACCCTCAGGCCGGAGGCAGGGGAGGTGGATAAGGCCCCACGAGGCACCTGCCTCCCGCCCTCCATGCCCGTGGGGCAATGCTGAACAGGGTGAGGCCGGCACACGGGCTGAGGGAAAAGGGGGCCTGGACGCGGCTCCACAGCCACTTCCCAAAGTGCCACGAGGGCCTGGAGCTCAGGGAATTGCTGCGCTTGGCTGATGGGCAAGTTCCTCGTGGCCTTGCCTGCCCCCGGGCGGTGGCTTTGAGGGGCCTTGACTGCCGAGGGGGAGGGGCAGGGCCCCGGAGGGCTGCTCTCCAGCTGTGAGTCAGGCCTGTGGTCGGCCCGTGCCCCTGCGGTGGGTGGGTCCTGGGACCGCCCGTCCCGGCCCCCGAGAGCCAGTCCTGACCGTCCCGCAGGTTCCAGCAGCACCTGGAGCAGGAGCAGTGGGCGCTGCAGCAGCAACGGCAGCGGCTGTACAGTGAGGTGGCTGAGGAGAGGGAGCGGCTGGGCCAGCAGGCAGCCAGGTGCCGCCCGGGGGCACCACGCCCTCTCCCAGGGACCCCTCGCTGGCTGACCCCTCCCCCCCGCCCCCTCACCCGCTGACCTCTCCCATCCCTGACTCCTTACTCGATGACCCCTCACCTGCTGACTCCTCCCTGGCCGCAGGCAGCGGGCGGAGCTGGAAGAGCTGAGGCAGCAGCTGGAGGAGAGCAGCTCTGCACTGACCCGAGCCCTGAGGGCTGAGTTTGAGAAGGGCAGGGAGGAGCAGGAGCGCCGGCACCAGGTCTACCACCGGAGGGCTGTGCTGGGCCTGGCCAGGGGGCTGCACGGGGTGGGACTGACTGGCCTCTTATGTCCGCCCCCCAGATGGAGCTGAATACCCTGAAGCAGCAGCTGGAGCTGGAGAGGCAGGCGTGGGAGGCCGGCCGCACCAGGAAGGAGGTGGGGGCCTGGGCACCCAGGTGGGCAGGGGTTGGGGGCTGCCCTGCGTGGGCAGGAGTTGGGGGCTGCCCCAGGTGGGTTTTGCTGCTGCTGTGGCATCCTGGGGGCTCGTTTCTGGGAGTCACATCTGGCTGCTTGGGGTTGTTGTCTGAACTGACGCTGAGTGTGTTGCTTTCAGCCCATCTTTTGCGTGGGCTCTGGAAGGATCAAGGGTGCCTGGAGCGCATCCTCTGTGGTCCGAGAACAGGCGTTGCCCCTCTCGCTAGGGGCTGCTACACCCCTGCGCCCCACGACCAGCCCACTGACACTCAGATGTACCGAGAGGGACACGCACAACAGGGGCTCCCCCCTTAGCCTCTGGGGCCTTCTGTGGGGGGTGGACTCTGCCACGGTGACAGTCCCACACACATTCTCACCACCCATGCCCGCCGCGAGGCTACAGTCCAGGCTGACCGTGCCCGTCACCTGGTTTCACACCCTGGTGGGCTGGGATGTCACCGAGCAGCCAGGCAGGCTTTGGCAGTGGATGCCTCTGGGCCCAGTAGCATGCTCCCGACGTAGCCCTGTGGGGCCCAGGGCTGGACAGATGAAACTCTGGGAGTTTTCAGAGGCTTCCAGGAGGCTGCCAGCTTAGGCTCTGAATGCCTGGGCTTGGGGGCCCAGGCCCCGCCCTCAGCAACACGCAAGTCCAACTTTCCCATCCCATCTGGTAGCAGAAGGTGGCCTCAGGTTGTCATGGGCTGTGGGTCTCTGAGGGAGGGGACCGTGGGCTGTGCATCATGACGATCTCTGGTACGCCTATGCCCACACTGGGTCCTGACAACAGGACGTAGCGCACCCCTGGACAGGGGTCTGGAGAGGGGGAAGGCCCCTTGCTCCCCTGTGGCTCAGAGCCTGGAGCCCCCCAGGACCCCCTGAGGCTGGCCCTGGCCCCGCGGGCCGGCTCCGGGTGGCAACCCCCAGGCAGCGCATGTCCCCCCAGGAGGCGTGGCTGCTGAACCGGGAACAGGAGCTGAGGGAAGAAATCCGGAAAGGCCGGGACAAGGAGATTGAGCTGGTCATTCACCGGCTGGAGGCCGACATGGCGCTGGCCAAGGAGGAGAGTGAGAAGGCTGCCGAGAGCCGGTAAGGACCCGCCATGGCTGGGTCACCAGCTGGGGAGGCCCACGAGCTGAGGCGCAAGGACCCGTGTGTGACTGGGCTGGAGTGACCCTGCCCTCCCCCCACCTCCAGCATCAAGCGCTTACGGGACAAGTACGAGGCCGAGCTCTCCGAGCTGGAGCAGTCGGAGCGGAAGCTTCAGGAGCGGTGCTCGGAGCTGAAGGGCCAGCTTGGGGAGGCCGAGGGCGAGAATCTGCGTCTGCAGGGCCTTGTGCGGCAGAAGGAGCGGGCGCTGGAGGATGCGCAGGCGGTGAGTGGGCGGGTGTCAGGTGGGCAGTGGGCACCCACAGGCCCCTCCTGCATGCACGCAGCCAGTCGCTGGCAGCCGGCTCACTGCCTTCTGTGCCCACCCAGGTGAACGAGCAGCTTTCTAGCGAGCGCAGCAACCTGGCCCAGGTGATCCGCCAGGAGTTCGAGGACCGGCTGGCAGCCTCTGAGGAGGAGACGCGGCAGGCCAAGGCCGAGCTGGCCACGCTGCAGGCCCGCCAGCAGCTGGAGCTGGAGGAGGTGCACCGGAGGTGGGCGGCGGGGGCTGCAGGGCTGGAGACGGAGGCGGGGCAGGGGAGCGGGCAGGACCTCTGCAGCTCCAAGCCCCAGGAGGCTGTGGCTGAGGAAGGCCAGGAGATGCAGAGACAGGGCCCTGTAGACAGAGGCTGGTGTGGGTTCCATGTTTGGGGCCCAGGAGACCTAGATCTGTTTTCCTCCCTGGTGCTTAGTCTAGGGTGTCGGCCATCCCTGTTGGGGCACCCGAGTGGGTCGGGTCTGGGCCTGGCGAGTTCTCCAGGGAGTCAGCTCCCGGGGCCCTGGGCTGGGTGGACAGGCGCTGAAAGAGCTGGGGCACTGTAAGGTTCCCAGCGAGCTCCCTCCACGGGGGTCCTGCATCCTTCCTGTGCCATCTGCTGCCACAGGCTGAGAGGTGGGTGTGGGCGAGGTGTCCCACCCCATCTGGGTACCAGGCCTCCCCAGGTGTGGCCAGGGTCATACTCCAGTGGCCTGTGTTGGGTCCTGACTCACAGCAGGTGGGTTGCCTGGACAGCTGTCTGGGCCAGCCACAGGAGTCGTGGTCAGCAGGGCTGGGACCAGGCTGACCAGGCGGCTGCCCCGTGCACCCTGTGCACTGCAGGCCACTCTGGGGACATGGGGCGGGGGCCACACTGAAGCCTACCATGTACTACCCACAGGGTGAAGACAGCCCTCGCGAGGAAGGAGGAGGCCGTGAGCAGCCTCCGGACACAACATGAGGTGAGTCCCTGTGGCCAGCCCTGCTGGACCTCGGGGCTGGGAGCAGGCCTGACCCTGTGGGTGTGCTGCAGGCTGCGGTGAAGCGGGCCGACCACCTGGAGGAGCTGCTGGAGCAGCACAGGAGGCCCACGCCAAGTACCAAGTGACCAGGGATGCCGGGAACACTGTCGAAGAACGGAAGGCAGAGGACAGAGGCTGGACGTGGGCCCAGAGGCCCACAGGGACGCCCACCTGCCCCCCACAGAGGCTGGTGGTTGAGATGCCCACGGCTAAGCACCTGTGGCTGCATTTTAACAGTAAAGGAGGCCGTTGTTTTCAGCGCCTTGAGTGACTGCCTTGTCTTCTCTCCTGGGCTAGAGGCTGCCCAAGACCCCCAGAGCAGCCAGGCGTGGGTTTGGCTCTCTTCCTCCCACTCCCCTCCGCAGCCTGAGCAGGCTGACCAGGAAATCACGAAGCTTGGCCATCAGCCCCCCAGCTAGCAGCCCTCAACACTCAGCCAGCAGCCCCCAGCACTCAGCCAGCAGCCCCCCTGCACTCAGCCCTCAGCTCCCCAGCATTCAACCCAACCCCCAAGTTCCTGTTCCCTGCCTTGCCCTGGACCCTGGAAGTCCCAAGCACAGGGAATTCCCTACCCCGTTCCTGGCCAGGCGCAGGAGGAACTCAGCAGAACTCACCCCCTGGGAGGAGCTCCGAGGGCCCCGCCGTGGCCCTGCAGGTGCTGGAAGCCCATGGCTGCCAGCGTGCTCCTATGGCTGGAGAGACTCCAGAGGGACAGGAAGCCCTACCCTCCCCGCTGTCAAGGTGTGACAGTCTGGAGCTCTCAAGAAATGGGGATGGACAGGGCCCACCCATGAGGATGGGGGCACTGGGGAAGGTCCCAGGCAGGAGAGGGTACCACTGGCCCAGAGCATCTCTTCACACCCAGCCTGGTTCTCAGCCCAGGTCAGCTTGGCCTGGTCAGTTCAGAACCTGCCCCAAATCCTCAGGGGGGCAGCCCTCCCTCCACCTCCGTCTACACTGACCAGGAAGTGAGTGTTGGATGCCATCTCACTGGGATGGGAGGTCCAAAGCCGCGCCTGAACGCTTGGTGGCAGACAAGGGTCTCCAAGCAGGCCGCACTATCCTGGGACCGGGCTTTGGGGTCGCTCAGGCTGCCACACCACAGTGTCCCGGCGTCTGCACCGGGTAGACCCATCGCCCCCGAGCCTGTCTTCCTACCTGCAGCATGGCTAGGACCTCCCTGGCCGCAGCAGCTGCCTGGGGTCCTGGGAAGCCCCCTGTGGAACAGAGGTGCTGCTGGCTACCCAGGCCTGCTCCAACACCCTGCCTGAGGCTTGCTTTCCCCCAGGAGGGGCTGGCCAGGCTTAGGTCCTCGTGCCCAGCGCCATCCTGCTGGCCAAGTCACTGCCCTGGACACAAGGCATGTCCTGGTCCTTACGTCTTTATCCTTCCAGGTGGCATCGTCCCTGGTCCCCTTGCGGGCTTCGGTGACCAGGGATGTGAGTGAGATGGGCCTTGTCCTGCATCTGGTGTGGGTCCCCCACCCGGCAGGGGGTGCAGGGCAGTGGGTCCCTCTCGCTCACCACCCCCCAGGTTCCCAGGTCCAGGCCTCGGGGAGCCCAAGCCAGGAGGAGCTGAGGACCTCAGGGGTGAACTAGGAAAACGCCCCTAACAGGGACAGGGCCCAGGCAATGTGGCTTCAGGGGACTGTGTGCAAATCATGCTTGTGGACCTGGGGCGTGGCGGGAGGCCCAAAGGTGGGCATCCGGATGTTGGAATCAGAGCTGGAGGCTCGGCCTGGAGCCGTGTGTGGCACTGGGCTCGGTATCCAGAGCACAGGACAGGGCAGTGCGGGTCCCCGGGGTCGTGGTTGGTCACGCAGAACCACTGCTGGGCCTTCCCCCTTTTGCAGACAGGGCCAGGCCTGTGTGAAGGTGAAACGCACAGCAGGGACAGAGCCTAGGGGGTGGGAGGGGCGGCTTCTGCCATCCCCTAGGTCACTGTGAGCCCTGCTTGTCTTGGGCACTCAGGCTCAGCTCAGGGGCCACCCCACTCCCAGGGCCTGCTCCCGGGCCAGGGTGAGACCCAGGCACCTCTTGGTGAGGCTGCAGAGAGGAGCCGAGGATGACAGCCGTGTCCCTTATGATGAGTTGCTGTTGGCCAGGCCCCATGCTGAGGACAAAGCTCCGGAGGCCTCACCAAAGCCTGTGTGGGGGCAGTGGCCCCCAGGGACGATGGTGACACTGGCTGCAGGGTGCTGAGAGCTGAGTCACTCAGCTGGGCTTTAACTCCAGAGCTTCACCCAAATGTGAGCTCAGCTGGCCAGGCGGGCTCTGAGAACGGGGGCCTGTGGATCTCAAGTCCTGAGCCCCACACCTCCGTCACCGCAGCTGAAGCCCCCAGGAACCGGCTCCCAGGAGCAGTGCAGGGCCAAGCTTTCTGCGGGGAAAGCAAGCTTTCTGTTCTGGCTCACATTCGGGTGCCCTGGCCGCAGAAAAGGTATTTTTATCATTGAAATGGCTGCGAATTACTAAACTAAGTATGTTTACAAGGTCTCCGGCAGGACACACAGGGTGACCTCCACAGAGATGGTGAGAAGAGGCCTGGGACACTCATGGCCAGAAAAGGAGTGAGAAACGGGTGTGGCCTTCAGCTGGGGGCATCCCCGGCTTCCCAGCCCCTGCTTGATGGGTTTTTCATTTGCTCGTTCATTTCTCCTTCATTCCTGAGTCCTTCATTTGTTGGCTCACAAGGACGTGTGGAGGGCCTTTTGCATTTGGGGCCGCCTCTGGATCGTTGCATCTCTTGGATTTTGTTTCTCGTTGTTGTTTTAATTTTAATTTTATTTGTTTATTTTTATTTATTTATTTTTGAGACAGTCTCTTGTTGCCCAGGCTGGAGTGCAGTGGCATGATCTTGGCTCACTGCAACCTCCGCCTCCCGGGTTCAAGCGATTCTCCTGCCTCAGCCTCCCAAGTAGCTGAGACTACAGGCGCCCGCCACCACGCCCAGCTAATTTTTGTATTTTTTAGTAGAGACGGAGTTTCACCATGTTGGCCAGGCTGGTCTCGATCTCTTGACCTCATGATCCACCCGCCTCGGCCTCCCAAAGTGCTGGGATTATAGGCATGAGCCACCGCGCCTGGCCTAATTTTTATTTTTTGAGACAAGGTCTTGCTCTGTCGCCCAAGCTGGAGTGCAGTGGCGCGATTATAGCTCACTGCAGCCTCGAACTCCTAGCCTCCAGTGATCCCCTGGGGCCTCAGCCTCCCAGGTAGCTGGGACTACCTGGTAGTGGGAAACCATGCCCAACTACTTTTGTTTTACTTTTTGAGGACAGTCTCACTATGTTGACCAGATTGGTCTCAAACTCCTGGGTTCAAGTGATCACCCCCACCCCAAAGTGGAATTACAGGTGTGAACCACCATGCCCAGCCTGTTGGGTTTTAATTCAAATTTTAGATGAAGAGACTGGGGCTGCGTATCATTCCTGTCTCTGCTGCCCTCCAGTCACGTGGCCTCACGTGTTGTGCTGATGAGAAAGGTGTCCCTGAGAGGCTGGAACATTGAGGGGAGGGCCTGTCTGCCAGGCGGCTTCACCTGGACAGGGGTGCCTGGGGAAGGGGGCTGAGATGGCGTTTCTCCTCCCTGTGGGGAGTGGAGTGCGGGAGGCTGGGAGTGGGGTGGGAAGGGGGCGGCTCTATGCTCCAGGGGCAGCTATTAGGCCCCAGCCTTCCGGGAAAGGCCCCAGGTCAAACCTGTTGCCCTGAGCCTTCCCGCTGCTTCTGCTCCAGGTAGTTCTAGTGCCCAACAGACAGCAACACAGAGGTGGGCTTCACCCAGCAAGACACTGTGGAGGTCCTCAGGGGCTTGGAGGGGTCTCTGAGTCACGGTGGGGGGCACCCCGAGTCTTACCATTGAGAAAGCTGGGCTCCCTTCCCCCCAGCTAGTTCACTTCCCTGTCTAGGTTGATGGGCAGTTGGGGGTGGGGGGAGGGCTTCGGGGCGGGGGCCAGACCCTAGAAGCACAGATGGACTCTGCCCGGGGTTCATTCCACCCCACCTGGCTCGCCGCCCTCATGGGCTCCATTCTCTCCCTGGCAGAGCCTGCTTCTTTGAGACAGTTCACAGCATCAACCAAATCATCTAAGTCCACGTGCTGTCGATGCCAGGCCTAGAATTTGGGGTACGGCAATTCTCCTGCCTCAGCCTCCCAAGTAGCTGGGACTAGAGGTGCCTGTTACCACACCCAGCCCTCGAGGGGTTTATGTTCCAGCAGGGTAGACGGACAGAAAGCAGGAAACTTAACATTTCACAATGCCCACCTTTATTTCTGTCCCCTCCTGCGAGCTTCCTTTTTTGTTCTTTTCCTAACTTCTTGGGAAGGATGCTTAGATCATTGATTCCCAGGCCCTTTTCCTTTGGAGTCTGTGCGTCTAAGACTGTGAGTTTCCCTCAAGGCACCGTTTGAGCGGCAGCCACAAGTTGACGTGTTGTATTTTCATTCTTCTTTGGTGGGAAACATTTCCAAATTTGCAGGATGGTCCCTTTGAACCATAGGCTGTTTAGAACTGTGCTGCTTTTTTTATCTTTTAAATTTCTAACTTAGCTTCTCTATGGTCAGAGAATGTTCCATAATATTTCAGTCCTTTGACTTGACTGAGTCTCACTTTAGGTCCCAGCATTTGGACAATTTTGGTAAATGCTTTACATATTTAAAAATAATGTGCGTTCTGCAGAGACAGGGGTTCGCCATGTTGGCCAGGCTGGTCTTGAACTCCTGACCTCAGGTGATCCGCCTGCCTCAGCCTCCCAAAGTGCTGGGATTACAGGCATGAGCCACCGCACCCGGCCCCTTCTTTTTATTTTCAAACTTTCTATGGCCTCTGAGCACAGCGCGAAAGCTGCCCCAGATAGTCCAAAACCAGGTTTGGCCGGTGTTGGGCTGGATCTGGCCCTGGGACTGACTTTTGCCAACCCCCTGTCCGGTGGGCTCACTGTGGCTGTGGCTGACGGGGAGGGGAGGGGCTGAGCTCTGGGCTCTGCACTGACGGTGAGGGCAGCCTCCAGTTGGTGAGGTCGGGTCGGGTTCTCTGCTGTTCTTACTCCCACTGGGTAGCCCATAGCAGCTGTAGCCAAAGCCCCTCCTCCCGGACAGGCCCTGGACAGCAGGAGGCCGCCCGGCGCCCTCTCAGTCCCACTGCTGACTGGCAGACGCCCGATGGGGCAGCCTGTACCGCCTGCACTCACCTCTCAGAGCTCCCCTGCTCTGGATCTTAGCACCCCTGCTTTGTTTGCTCATAATAAACGCGTGCATACGCCAATGTCATAGCATATTAGGGGATGGGGAATGCTTTGGGGAAAAGACCTGGTCTAGGGGGATGCAGGATGTTGGCGAGGGTGAGTGAAATATCAAACAGGGCAGGTAAAGACGACCTCATTGGGATTCGACATTTGCAGAAAACATCGAAGAAGAGAGAGTCTGTCTTGCAGCCGGATGTCTAGGGAAGAGCATGCCAGGCTGAGGGCTGGAGGTGCAAAGGCCCCAGGGCAAGGTGGCGCCTGGCTGAGGAGGCAAGGGGGCCACGTGGCTGCATCAGGAGGGGCAGGACCTGGGGGTCTCAGGTCAGAGGGAAAGTGGGAGTCAGAGTGCCTGAGGCCCCTAGAGTCACCCTATGTGAGGGGAGAGCCCTCCAGACACCAAGATGAGGAAGGACCTTCAGAGGGTAGAGGTGGAGAGACCAACCAGGGGGCTGTGGTGGTTGCCCAGGCGAGAGTGACCATGGCCAGGGTGGTGCGGGCAGTGGGCTCTGTGTGTATTTCACGACGGAGCCTGTAGTTACACGCAGGTGGGCTGTGAGGATGGTGTGTGAATCAGCCTCACTCTTGCTGCTGCGACAAATAGACCCTGACATTGCCACACTCGCCCCTGGAATGGCTGTGTTCTCACTCCCGTAAGTCCAGCAAGGGTTCCCCTGATGGGCGGGTGTCTTCCCTTCTGGGGTGAGCCGGGACTCAGGCTCCCAACACCCTCCGTGCCACCAGCCCAGAGGGCCTGGAGTCCTGTGTGGCCAGTGAGCAGCTGGAGGGCAACACCCACACCCACTAATGGCACCAAGGGGACCCAGACCCCTGCCGCTCACAGGACCTGGGGGCTGGGAACTGCCGGGGCTGGAGGCCCTTAAGCCACCAGATGAGGGGGTTCCAGGCAGGTGAGTGTGGGTGGGACAGAGGACCAAGGACTGGGCTGGGGTCCTGCCGGAAGCACTAAGTGGGGAGAGGAGCACCATGGAGGGAGACACGCAGCCAGGAGATAGAAGGGCCCGGCCCGGGGGCCTGAGCAGGCAAGAGATGGAGGTGGAGGGTCTGCTGGGTGCTTTGGCCTGGAACGAGGCCCCTGCCGGGGGCACCCAGGGGCTGCAGGTGTCCCCATACTGCGTTCAGGTATGGACTGGGAGTGCGTGGCCTCAGGCCAGGTCCATTGCAGATTGGGAAGGGGCCCTTCAGGGGTTTGGGCCCAGAGAGCACTGTGCACCCTGCTGACCGGAGGCCCACCCGGATGGAATCTCACTACAGGGTTGCCCTTGGGGGCTGCCCACAGCCAGGTGGGGCTGGGAGATGGGAGAAGACGTCTTCATTCCCACCCTCACACGCCCACCCTGCCCCCCAGCCGTTGTCACCCATGGCCCTGATGCTGCCCCCACCCCAGTTCATACCAGCATCCCCAACAGACACACCAGGCTGCGTCATTCACTTAATGCTGCTTTTCTTCCATTTTCCTTCAAAAGCTGGGTCCACCCTCACGGCTGCCGCCTCTTACCGGCCCCAACGGCTTCTGCCCAGGTGCGTGGTCACCCCGGTTACCCCATGGGAGCCCCTTGGCTGGCCAGGGCTAGTCATGGTGCTACTTCTTCTTTGGAATTTTCTCCTTTTTGATCAATTCAGAAAATTCTAGAGCAGGAGACCAATTTAAAGTAAGTACCCCTGTTTTGTGTCCCCCAGTTCCTGTAGGCCCTTTAACTCTCAGAGGAGGCAGAGGGAGTGTGCCTGGACTACACAGTCCAGGGGGTCCTGTCCCCAAGTCCTTGAGCAGGGACCAGGCCTCCAGCCCATCTGGCCGGGGGCGGCCCCACGCTGGAGCTGTTTGTCCTGGGCCCAGCTGCTTGGTCGTCACAAGTTGACCCCAGCTGGGGACTGGGGGCTTGCAGTGGCCTGGCTCTCTGCAGAGACTCTCAGGAATTCCCACCAGACCCTCTGAGAGCAGGTGCTCATTGATGATCATCTCTCAGTGGGGAAACTGAGGCACGGAGCAGCTGGGGGGCCTGAGTTCTGAGAGGGGTCAGGATGCCTGTCAAGCCTTGTGACCCCCCCGCCACAAGCCAGGTTTGCTGGGGTTTCTAGACCCAGGCAGATGAGAACGGCCGGTGGCTGGGCAAGCGGTGTCTGGAGGCCCAGCCCACCTTGTGTGCCCTCCACCCTCCAGGCCTGTGGCCAGCCACTGGGGTTGTGTGGGGGTGAGATGGCCCAGACCTCAGGGCAGCCATGGAGAGCCTCAAAGACCGTGGGTCCCCCAGAAGATGGCACCCCGAGCTCTGAGACCCCATACCCGCTGGCTCTGCCACAGTTGGCCTTCCCAAAGCCCTCCTGGCCACCTCTCTGCAGTGGGGCCCTTGGCCCAGGGAAGAGCACCTAGACTCCCGGCCCAGACCCCTGAGCCTGGGTTTCCTCATCTGTGAGTTGTGTGCCAGTGCCCTCGGGGCGGGGCCATGGGCAAGGGTGGCGGCCTAGCAGGGGAAGGAGGGTCCTGAGGGTGCCCCGGCTGTGCTGCCCCCACCTTCGTAGTTGATCCTCCCGTCCCCGTGTGTGTCTGCCGCCTGGATCATGGCCTCGGCCTCCTCGTCTGTCAGCGGGGTGGTGGGCCCGCTGCTGGGGATGATGGACAGGATGTACCTGGGGCCAAGGGGGCTCGAGTCAGGGCCAAGGGGCTTCCGGCCAGTGCCCAGTGACTCACGAGCCGTTCGCCCCCCACCTTGTAGGCAAGGGCACTTCGGGCCGGGAGCCTGGGCCTCTGAGCCTCCTGGGCTTCTAGCTGGTTCTGGCCCAGCCCTGCCAGCTGCAAGGCCAGCGGGGACCCGGTGGGGGAAGGCCGGGTCCGCCATGTGGGCATTCGGCGTGGTCTGGGTGGCCTGGGCCCCACCCCTCCGTGGCCGCCAGCCATTACTTGATCTCGTTCCACTCAATGAAGCCACTCTTGTCCTTGTCCAGGGACTGGAAGGCCGTGTGGATGGCGTCGTCCAGCTGGCCCGAGGCGTGGAGCTTGCGGATGTGCTTGAAGAACTTGAGGTAGTTGAAGGACCCTGGGGCAACCAGGCGGGGCTCACGGAGGGGCCCACCTCACTTGAGCTGGGCCTCCAGGGAAGACCCCGCCCTGGGATGGGGGCTGCCGGGTCCTGCACCCCCATGTCCCCGCCCGCCGCAGGTCCTGGTGTCCTGGACCCATCAGCCCCAGAAAAGGGATGAGGTCTCCTGACCACAGCGGGGCTGGACGGGCGGGGGGCCGCGCCGGGCGGGGGCATGCTGTACCGTGGTGTCTCATGTCTGTGGGCAGCAGCTCAATGTCCTTGTCTGATAGGGACGTGCCCATGGCCAAGGCCATCTTCTTCATCTGGGAGGAGAAGTCCTCCTCCATCCTGGTCCTGGGTGGATAGGGAGTCAATTCGTGGGGTGCACGCACGGATTGGGGGTGCTGCTTGGGCCAGAGCAGACGTAGACGCCGCGTGGTGCTGGATCCTGCTGTAAAGTGGGAATGGTGACAGGCGTCACAGTGTTGGGGTCATGCCAGGGCCCCGAGACATGCTGGGATCCCAGCCAGGCAGGTGGGGGTCTGGGCACAGGCAGAGGGGTCAGCGGGAGGGGCCGGGCCATCCTGTGCGCCTCACGGCAGCGCCTTGTGACCTGCTGGGCTCTCAGGTTGCCGTCCCCAGGGGGGGTTGGGTTCTGGGGCTCAGCACAGCAGCTATCTCAGAGCGCAAGGGGAAGCGGGTGTCCTGGGCTTCTTGGCCCTCGTGAAAGTTCACAGGGTGGTAGAGCCTTCTGGAACGCTCTTGCTGCCAGGAGGGGCGGCCTGTGTTCTCGAGTGGGGCTGAGCAGTGGCCAGAGGCATCTCTGCTCTCCTCTGGATAGAGAGGCCATAGGTCAAGGGTTGCAACCCAACCCTGGCGCCCCAGAGGTGTGAGGAGCGCCAGTTGCAGCCCCTGGACCAGGTCCTGCTCCCCAACCCTCGGTGCCTCCAGCTGCCATGTGATGTGGGGAGACGCCTGCCCCTTCACAGGGTTGTGCGAGGAGCCAGGAGGGAAGGGAGATGGTGGGGAATGGGCTTGCCCGCTGCTGTGGGGCTGGAGCTGGGCCCCCACAGCCCCTGCAGTGGCTGATTCCCCCAGCCAGCAGGGTGGTGGTGAGCGGGCATGTGGGGCAGGACTGGGCCTCGGAGGCCCTCAGGACAGGCCCCGCCCCACTTCATTCAGAGCTGGGACTCTGGCTCACCTTCCCCAACCCTGGCATCTTGGGGACCTGTTTTGGAAGAGGGAACACCCACCTACCACTCGGGGCCCCGGGCCCAATGTCACCTCCTTTACAGAGGAGGGGCTGGGCCGAATTCCAGGCTAAATGTGGCCAAGCCAGGAACCAATGTCCCATCTGCCCAGTGCTGGGGGTGCCCCTGGGCTGGGCTCGTTCACCACCCCCAATCCCACTGCTCTCAGGGGTGCCCCCAACGAAGGCAGGGGAGCCCGAGATCCGGGCTGGAGACAGGGTGGGAGGCAGGCCTGGAGCTCCAGGCTGCTGGTTTATTTATAGCTCGTGCATCCGCGGCCCGGGCTGGAGTTTAATGGGATCCCAGTGAGCTGGGATGTCCGGCCGGGGGAGGCTGCGGGACGCCACACAAGCTGTCCTTGGGCCCTGCTCAGATTCTGGGGGCTGCCCTCAGTGCCAGGAAAGGCCCTGCCAAAAGGCCTCTGTTTCCCCACTCCCTTTACCCACCCTCCACAGCTAGAGATCCTGGAGCCTCCAGGCTGGGCTAAGACCCCTCAGACCACACACCGCCCCAGCATTGCTACATCTGGGATGCCCTGCTCCGGGCCATTCCCGACCTTCCATTCTCGGAAGCTGTGGTCTGCCCACAGCAACTAGCCTCTGCCACCCAGTCTCCAAGGGCAGATGCTGAGATGAGAGAGGCCTCTCGGGGGAAGGGGTGATAGAGGCAGTGGGGTCCCTCTGGGTCAGGGGCAGAGTGTGGGGACCAGAGCCGGCTCTGTGTGCCTGCTGGAGTCCGGGGGCCAGAGGCCTTGGACTCGCTGCCCTGCCAGCCCCACCCCATCTCCATCCCCACTTAGAGCCTGGGGGCCTAGGGACAGAGTGAGCAGGTCCAGCTCCCTATGCAGAGGCCCCAGCTCACAGCCGCCTCTTGTAGCCGTGCCCACAGAGGCTCGTGCCAGCACACACGTGCACACATGTGCTCCCCGCAGGACCAGGCACCTGCAGCTGTCTTCCATCCGGGGGCCCCCTTGGGGCTTGTAGTGGTGCTGCTGGCAGGGAGGGCCATTCCTTCTGTTTCCACCCCATTTCCCCACCTCCCCTGGGTCCCCTGGGGTCTCCCAGGGCCACCCTTGTCCTGTGGATGAAGAGAAGGCCTCCAAGTTCCCACCATCCAGCTCGGATAACCTCAGCGGCCAGAGACCCACACCCCCCTCCTTGGCAGGGCTTACCTCTGCCTGGCTTCTTTCGAGAGTTCTGGAAGGTGGGTCAGGCTGGGGTGTGGAGAGGCCCAGGGGCTCCAGCTTTTATACCTGCAAGCCTGTTTACATCTCGGGGCTGCAGCTGTCCTCGCCCCTCCCCGGCACTCCAGCCTGGCACGGGCAGCTCCCAGGGGCTCGCAGGCACTTGGTGTGTCCACACTGGTCTGGGCAGACTGACCCTTAGCAGTGCCTGGCCTCCCCAAACCTGGGGCGGGGTTAGGGAGGAAGAGAGGGCACCAGTGAGCCAGTGAGCAGGTGACCGAGGCCAGCTGGGCAGACAGCAGCTGGAAGCCTGAGGTCAGAGGGGCTGAGGGACCTGCCCAAGGTCATGGTGCTGGAACCCACGCCTCGGGCCTCCAGTGCAGCGGGTTGTACACAGTGGGAGGGGCTGCGGGCGGTGGGGGTGGTGCAGGGAGATTGAGGCTGGGGACCCTGCCCCCCCCAGCTCTGGTGCAGGAAACAGGTTGCAGGGCCAGACATGTGAGTGGGGTTTGAAGGGGCAGCCGAGTGGGTGCTGCGGCCCAGCCTGCGGGCTTGGGCCGGGTGGAAGGGGCACAGCACAGCCTGCAGGCCGGTGGGGGTGGGGAGGCTCCAAGTTCATATGGGACAAAGTTTATCCAAGCCACGTCCTCCTCCCAAACCACCCTCCCCTGGTGGTGAGCAGGGAGGGCCAAGGTGATCCCTGGCTGGCTCTGAATACACCAGGGGCACGGTTACCTTCTGCCAGGGAGGGTGGTGCCAACAGCCCTGCCCCTGTGGGGTGGTCATGCTGGGCACCGCAGGCCTGTGAGGAAGCCAGGGATGGGGCTGTCTGCCGGGGTCGGGGGGGCCTGGCTTTCTACTGGAAGCCACAGGACTGCCCGGGCCTCTTACATAGGCCGTGGTAGCCTCTGCTCATGTTGGAGGTGGGAGGGTATTGTCCTCACTAATGAAGGTGACGGTCATGATATGTGACAGGTGACAATGAATGTAATAACAGTGTCATCTGCCATTGGCGGGGCCCCAGGGGTCTCAGCAGCCTCTTGAGGGAGGCTGCATTATCCTCCTTCTTCAAGAGACCCCAGGAGATGAGGAGACGAATCCAGTCTACACCCGTCCCAGCCAGGTGTAGAGGTCAGGGCCACCTGGAGCCTCAGGTCGGACATCAGGGAGATGTCCAGGCTCAGACAGGGAAGGAGACACTGGTGGGTCCTGCCAGGTCACTTTCCCAAAGGGCTGAGCCCTCCCTGGCCCCAGCAGCAATTAGTGGCCAGTTAAATTCTTGCCCAACTTTGGCCTTTAAAGGCATGTGATTGTTTTAATTAGGGTGATTGAAATATTATCTGTAATAGCTTTTGGATGAGATGAAGCAATCAGGTTTATTACAGAACATTTGGAATATGTAGATGAACACGGTGGAGGTAAAGTCACCTGCAGAACACACGTTTGATGCTGGAGAATGTCCAGGCTCGGTCGATGCCTTTTCCTCCATTTCCTTAATGCTTTTCTTCTTTCTTGCGTGCTTTTTATCATGATAAAATTCACATAGTATAAATTTACCATCTTTGCCTTTTTTTTTTCTTTTTTATTGAGGTGGAGTCTTACTCTATCACCCTATCACCCAGGCTGGAGTGCAATAGTGTGATCTCGGCCCTGCAACCTCCGCCTCCCGGGTTCAAGCAGTTCTCCTGTCTCAAACTCCCAAGTAGCTGGAATTACAGGTGCATGCCGCCACGCCCGGCTAATTTCTGCATTTTTAGTAGAGACTGAGTTTCACCATGGTGACTAGGCTGGTCTTGAACTCCTGACCTCAGGTGATCTGCCTGCCTCAGCCTCCCAAAGTGCTGGGATTACAGGCGTGAGCCACTGTACCCGGCTGCCTTTTTTTTTTTTTTTTTTTTTTGAGATGGAGTTTCAAGCCTGGTGCGGTGGCTCATGCCTGCAATCCCAGCACTTTGGGAGGCCGAGGCGAGTGGATCACCTGAGATCAGGAGTTTCAGACCAGCCTGGCCAACATGGTGAAACCCTGTCTCTACTAAAAATACGGAAATTAGCCAGCGTTGGTGGTGCGAGACTGGAGTCCCAGCTACTTGGGAGGCTGAGGCAGCAGAATCGCTGGAACTTGGGAGGCAGAGGTTGCAGTGAGCTGAGATCGCGCCACCGCACTCCAGCCTGGGTGACAAAAGGAGACTCTGTCTCAAAAAAAAAAAAAAAAAAGTGACTAATACTCCATTGCATGGTTGCACCACATTTTGAGTATTCACTTGCCTGTTCATGGATCCTGGATTTTTCGTCCACCTTTTGGCAATTGTGAATAATGCTGCTATGAAGATGGGTGTACAAATGTCTCCTTGAGACCCTGCTTTCAGTTCTTTTGGGATGATAACCAGAAGTGGAATTGCTGGATGATACTGTCATTCTGATTTAAGTGTTTGAGGAGCTGCCGTAGAGTTTCCACGGCAGCTGCACTGTTTTCCATTCCCACCAACAGCGCACAGGGGCCGATAGCCCCACGTCCTCACCAACACTTGTGATTCTCTGGAGGTTTTTTTTTTTTTTTAATAGCAGCCATCCTCAGGGGTGTGAGGTGGCATCTCATTGTGTTTTGTTTCCTTTTTTTTGTTTTGAGATGGAGATTTGCTCTGTCACCCAGGCTGGAGCGCAGTGGCATGACCTCGGCTCACTGCAACCTCTGCTTTCTGGGTTCAATGATTCTCGTGCCTCAGCCTCCTGAGTAGCTGGGATTACAGGCATGTGCCACCATGCCCGGCTAATTTTTGTATTTTTAGTGGAGACGGGGTTTCACCATGTTGGCCAGGCTGGTCCTGAACTCCTGGCCTCAGGTGATCCGCCCAGTTTGGCCTCCCAAAGCGCTGGGATTACAGGCATGAGCCACCGTGCCCGGCCCTCACTGTGGCTTTGATTTCCATTTCCCTCATGATTAGTGATGGTCGGCATCTTCTCATGGGCTTATTAGGCATTTGATATCTTCTTTGGATAAATGTCTTATTTATTCAAGTCCTTTGCCCATTTTTGAATTGAATTTTGTTTATTTGTGATTAAGTTTTAGGAGTTCTTCATATGTTCTCTCTAAATTTCTGGTTATTCATCTATTTTCAGATGATTTGCAGATATTTTCTGCCATTCTTTGGGTTGCGTTTTTAGCCTGTTGATATTTTCTTTTGACCCACAAATTTTTTTAGTTATCATGAAATCAAAGTTGTCCATTTTTTTCTTCTGTTGCCTGTGCCTTTGCTGTCATATCCAAGAAATCTCTGTCAAATCCCATGCCATGAAGCTTTTGCTCTGTTTTCTTTTAAGAGTTTCATGTTTTACATTTAGGTCTTTGATCCATTTTGAGTTATTTTCATGTATGGTGTTAGGTAAGGGCCCAATTTCATTATTTTGCATGTGGACATCTAGTTTTCCCAGCACTCTTTGTTGAAAGACTGTTTTTTCCCCATTGAATGGTCTTGGCACCCTTGTCAACAATCGTTTGACCATATTATGTGAAGGTTTATTTCTGGGATCTCTGTTCTATTCCACTGGTTTATATGTCTGTCTGTCTGTGGGTGCCATACCATTTTGATTTCTGTAGCTTTGTAGTGAATTTTGAAAACAGGAAGTAGGAGTCTTCCAGCTTTGTTCTTCTTTTTCAAGATTGTTTTGGATATCTTGGGTCTCTTGAGATTCTATATGAATTTTAGGATGGGCTTCCTATTTCTGCAAAAGTCACTGGGATTTAGATAGGGATTGTGTTGACTCTGTAGATCGCTTTGGGAAATACTGACATCTTAACACTATTAAGTCTTTCAATCCATGAACATAGGATTCTATTTATTTTTGTGTTTCTATTTATTTATGTCTTCTTTAATTTCTTTTCAGCCATGTTTTGTAGTTTTCATTGTGCAAGTCTTTCACCTCCTTGGCTAAGTTAATTCCTAAGTATTTTATTCTTTTCAATGGTACTATACATGGAATTGTTTTTGTCTTTTTTGGACAAATTGGATAATCCTTTTCAGGTTATCCATTGGTAGTTTATAGAAATGCAACTGATACTTGGGTGTTGACTTTGTATCTTGCTACTTTGCTGATATCATTAATTAGCTCTAGCAGTTTTTTTGTGGCATATTTAAGATTCTTTACATATAACATCATATCATTTGTGAACAGAGGTAATTTTTTTTTTTTTTTTGAGACGGAGTCTCACTCTGTCACCCAGGCTGGAGTGCAGTGGCGTGATCTCTGCTCACTGCAACCTCCGCCTACCAGGTTCGCACCATTCTCCTGCCTCAGCCTCCTGAGTAGCTGGGACTACAGGTGCCTGCCACCATGCTCGGCTAATTTTTTGTATTTTTAGTAGAGACAGGGTTTCACTGTGTTAGCCAGGATGGTCTCAATCTCCTGACCTTGTGATCCACCCGCCTTGGCCTCCCAAAGTGCTGGGATTACAGGCGTGAGCCACCGCGCCTGGCAAACAGAGGTAATTAGACATTTTTCTTTCTTTTTTTTTTGAGGTGGAGTCTTGCTCTGTTGTGCAGGCTGGAGTGCAGTGGTGTGATCTTGGCTCACTGCAACCTCTGCCTCCCGGGTTCAAGAGATACTCCTGTCTCAGCCTCCTGAGTAGCTGGGACTACAGGCGCGTGCCATCACACCCGGCTAATTTTTGTAATTTTTAGTAGAGATGGGGTTTCACCATGTTGGCCAGGTTGGTCTCAAACTCCTGACCTCAGGTGATCCACCTGCCTTGGCCTCCCAAAGTGCTGGGATTACAGGCATGAGCCACCGCACCCAGCCTTACTTTTTCCTTTCCAATGTGAATACCTTTTATTTCTTTTTCTTGCTTAATTGGTCCACTGGAAACTCTAGTACTATGTTGAACAGGAGTGGCGAGAGTGGACACGCTTTTCTTGATCTTAGAGGAAAAGTTTTCAGCCTTTCACCACTGAGTATGATGTTTGCTGTGAGCTTTTCATGGATGGTTTTTATCACCATGGATGGTTGAGGTAGTTTCCTTCTGTTCATAGCTTGTTGAGCATTTTTATCATGAAAGGGTATTGAATTTTGTCTTTTTCTGCATTGGTTGAGATAATCACGTGTTTTCTGTTCTCCTGAGAATGTGGTGTATCACACTGATCAAATTTTGTAGTTGGCCCATCCTTGCATTCCAGGAATAAATCCCACTTGATTATGGTGTATAATCCTTTCCATATGCTGCTGACTTTAGTTTGCCAGCATTTGGCTGAGGATTTTTGAATCTGTGTTCATGAGAGATATTGGCCTGTACTTTTCTTTCCTTGTAGTCTCTTTGGCTTTGGTGTCAGGGTAATGCTGGCCTCATAGAGTGAGTTAGGAGTGGCTGAATTCAGTTTTTTGGAAAAGTTTGAGAGGAATTGGTGTTTGTTCTTTAAATGTTTGGTGGCATTCGCCAGTGAAACTATCAGGTCCTGGGCCTTTCTTTGATGGGAGACTTTTGATCACTGATTCAATCTTCTTACTCATTACAGATCTATTCAGATTTTCTATTTCTTTGGGACTTAGTCTTGGTAGATAGTGTGTTTCTTGGAATGTGTCCAATTCTCAGTGCTTTCCTATAGAGCAAGATATGATATAGGCCTGGCTTTCCAGCTGTGAGCTTGGGCAAGCCACATAGTCGGTTCTCTCGGGGCATCTGTGTGTAGCATGAGCTCCCACCCCACCTGCTGCTTCATGGGGGCTGTAGGGGAGAATGCGAGGGTCCATGGAGGTGGCCCACTGGGCCTGGCAGCGTCTCCCAGGACATGCAGGTTGGCCAGGGTGTTTGAGAAGCCAGCAGAAGACACCAGACAACCTGGCTTCCTCCAGTGGCCAGGCCTGAGCAGCTGTCTGTCCATGGGTCACTGCAGGGGCCAGGGAACCATGCCAGGGCCCGGCTCATGAAGCTCCTAAAATAAGGGCCCTGGAAGGAGAAGGGATCTCTATGAGGCAGGTGGCTTCTGCGAGCACCTCTCCCCTCGCCGGCATCTCTCATAGGGTAGGGCCTTTGTAGGGCTGTCACCAGGGTGAGACCAGAACAGGTACACATCACCGAGGAGCTCCCCTGGCCACGGGCTGTCTGGAAGGAGACGCTTCACTGTGCATTTGTTTCCTGATACCCCAATAACGACAGTGAAGAAGGCCTCACGCCGCCGCTTCTCCACCTGAAACCACAGGTTTTCCTTCGTGCGGGTTTCTGCCCCTCTGGTTCTTACACAGAGCTGAGATGACTGCAGTATCCGCTTTCTCGGTGTCACATCTTACCACGTCTCCACAACTCTGCAGTTACGATGGGAGATGACTCCGTGTTGTGCCTGGGAGCTGAGGACGGTCCAGCAACTTTTTGTTTTGTTTTGTTTTGTTTTGAGACAGAGTCTCGCTCTGTCGCCCAGGCTGGAGTGCAGTGTCGCGGTCTCGGCTCACTGCAACCTCCACCTCCCGGCTGGGTTCAAGCGATTCTCCTGCCTCAGCCTCCCAGGTAGCTGGGATTACAGGTGCCCACCACCACGCCGGCTAATTTTTGTATTTTCACCATATAGGCCAGGCTGGTCTTGAACTCCTGACCCCAAGTGATCCTCCTGCCTCGGCCTCCCAAAGTGCCGGGATTACAGGCATGAGCTGCCACGCCTGGCCCCAGCAACCTTCTTGACTGGCCGTCTGCTGCTGGACCAGGAGAAGCTTCAGGGTTCTTTTGTCATTAGATATAATGTTGCAGTGAGTGTTTTTGTCCAAGAAGCCCCTCCCTTTCCTTGGCCATGTTCACGTTAGTGGAATGAGCGGGTCAGAAGGTGGAAGAGTCCATGGTCCTGCCATATTCTTCTGTGTGGGGTTCACCCTAAAGCTTTCCCACTGTGTGGGGTTGTCCCGGGTGCTCCCACCCCACACCTAACACTAATAACATTGCAGTCTGTCTCCAGCAAGCAGCCCTGACCTCAGGGTGTGGCCGGATAAACACACTGCAGTCCGTCCACACAATGGAACGTAACTCAGCTGTAGAAAGGCATGTGGCACCAGCAGGCCAGAGTGAGGAGGAACCTTGGGAGGAACATCCCACTGAGGGAAGCGTGGCAGACGCCCCCACATACCATGTGATTCCATTTTTATGAAATGTCCAGAATGGGCCGGTCCATGGGGACTGAACACAGAGTGGTGGGGGCTCAGGAGAAGGGAACGGGCAGGTGCTGTCTGAGGGGCCTGGGGTTTCCTCTGGGGATGGTGAGAATGTTCTGGACCCAGATGGGGGCGCAATGTTGTGAATACAAATGCTACTGAATTGTTCACTTCAAGCCGATTCATTTTATGTTATGTGAATTTTTTCAATAAAAAAGGAAATATGTGGCCGGGCACGGTGGCTCACGCCTGTAATCCCAGCACTTTGGGAGGCTGAGGTGGGCGGATCACGAGGTCAGGAGATCGAGACCATCCTGGCTAACACAGTGAAACCCCGTCTCTACTAAAACTACAAAAAAATTAGCCGGGTGTGGTGGTGGGCGCCTGTAGTCCCAGCTACTTGGGAGGCTGAGGCAGGAGAATGGCGTTAACCCAGGAGGCGGAGCTTGCAGTGAGCCGAGATGGCGTCACTGCACTCCAGCCTAGGTAACAGAGTGAGACTCCATCTCAAAAAAAAGGAAATATGTGGAGTGGGAAATCATGCTTTTAATAAAACGAGACCCAAAGAAACCAGCGTCTGGAAGCATCTGCAGTGTGAGCAGCTCAGGCTGGGGACCTGCCCCTGGCCCGCCTGGGCCACAAGGCCTGGGGAGCCTGGCGTGGGATCTCTGGGCTGGAGGGCGGGCTGGCAGATGCAGTGTTCTCCAAAGCTCCCGGAACCAGCACCTGCCCTGAGCTGACAGATGGCCTGTCCCCTGGGCGGCCCTTTCGGCTTCATTTCTGTTCAGAGCCGCCCCTCCTGGCCTCCAGCCCTGCCCCCAGGTCACTGGCCCCGACTATGGGCTACGCCGGCCTGGAAGGGCCACAAGGACCACTTCATAGCTCTGGATGACAGTATTATGCCCCTTGTCCCCGCACTAGACAGGCACTGCCCCCTTGGGGAGGTTCAGGTCTCACTGACCCCCGCAGGGTTGGCACTGCCCACCTTCCTGCCTGAAACAACTGCGGGGCAAGGGGGAGGCCAGGGCTGGAGGCTAAGAGGCACCAGCTGCCCCTCCTGCCTGAGGGCCCTGCTGCCTCAGCCTGGAAGAGCACCCAGCTCTGTTACCTCCTGGGTGCCTGTGGGTACAGGGCTGGGGCTGGGGCTGGAGGGGCCCAAGCACCCTAGAGATGCCTCTAAGAGGGCCAAGATGGTGGAGGGGCATGTGGCAGAATGGGGGGGTGCCCACTGCAGGGTGAGGCCCAGCCAGGCAGGGGCATCCTTGGGGCTCTGCAGTGCCTACTGTGGTGCCCAGCAGGCAGATTTGGGTGCTGAGTCCCGGCAGCTACACTTGCAGAAACGCTATTATAACTGGCTAATTGGGATTCAGACATCTGCAGGAAGAATTTGGGAAGGTGCTGACCTTGTCCTGACAGCTGCATGTTCCCCACTTTGCCTCCCTCCTCCCTCCCATGCCCTGCACTCCCATCGGGGGTTGAATTGTGTCCCCCCAAAATATGTTCAAGTCCTGACCCTGATACCTGTGAATTGGGACCTCAGTTGGAAGTAGGGTCCTTGCAGCTGTGATCAAGAGGAGGCCAGACTGGAGCAGGGGGTCCTAATGCAATGACTGGGGCCTGATAACGAGAGGAGAGGACGGACACACACACACGCACAGACACACACGCACCTACACATATGCACACACATGCACACACCCCTACATACCAACACAGACACACATATACCAACACACACAGACACACCTATGGATATGCACAGACATGCACACACACCTGTGTACACATACATGCACACATACCAACACACCTACACATATGCAAAGACACATGCACACACACCTACACATGCACACACACCACATATGCACACACATCCACACCAACACACACATGCCTACACATATGCAGACACACAAACCAACACACACCTACACATATGCACACACATACACACCAACACACATGCACACACATGCCAACACACCTACACATATGCACATACACATGCAGACACACCAACACACACACATGCACACACATGTACACATACCAACACCGACACACGTGCCTACACATATGCAGACACACATGCACACACAAACCGATACACACCTACCTCTATGCACATATGCACACACCAACACACGCAACTGAACATGCACACACACATATACCTACCAAGACAGACACACACAGACACACATATACATACCAAGACACACACATCTACACATATGCACAGACACACATGCATACACACACATAGACACGTACACACACACGCACACGACTATGTGACGATGCAGGCAGAGGTTGGGGCTGCGCAGCCACAGGCCCAGGAAGGCCTAGGGCCACCAGTAGCCGGAAGAGGCAGGAAGGACCCTCCCCTGGAGCATCTGGAGGGGGCGACCCCGCCCACACACACACATCTACACATATGCACAGACATATGTGCAGTGGCGCCATCTCGGCTCACTGCAAGTTCCGCCTTCTGGTTTCAAGCAATTCTCCTGCCTCAGCTTCCCTAGTAGCTGGGATTACAGGCGCCTGCCACCATGTCTGGTTAATTTTTGTATTTTTAGTAGATACGGGGCTTCACCATGTTGGCCAGGCTGGTCTCGAACTCCTGACCTCGCGGTCCGCCCCCCTTGGCCTCCCAAAGTGCTGGGATTACAGGCGTGAGCCACTGCGCCCGGCCGATTACTGTTTTTAACAATTTTATTGAGATATAAGTCACATGCCATGAAGTTCACCACTTTAAAGGGTACAGCTTAGTGTTTTAGCATCTTCACCAGGGTGGGCAGCCATCACCTCTAGCTAATTCAGGGAAGTTTCCTCCCCCCAGGAAGACGCCCTGTGCCCCTTCTGCACTGCCCCCACTTGCCCCTCTCCCGGCTCTGGCCCTCCACCTGTGCTCTGTCCCGTGGATTTGTCTGTTCCAGACATTTCATACAAGTGGAATCACACACTCTGTGGCCTTCTGTGTCTTTCACTGAGCATATTTTCATGTGTCATCCATGTGGTAGCATGTGTCATGCATGTTATAGTGTGGTCAGAGCTTTGGTCCTGTGTATGGACCAATACCATTGCATCGTATGGACAGATCACATCCTGTTGATGGTTTATCTGTGGATGGGCATAACTGCTGAGTTTTTGGGTGCCCCCTAAACTTTGCTCCTGAGGTGCGTTCCTCACTCTGGTCTCTAATCCCCAGACCCCCAGGCTCTCTCCTGCCCCTGCCCCCTCTTTTCCACCACACCTGGGCTTCCTGCTGGGTTCTTGGCCTTTTTCCTCTTCGACGGGCAATGCTTCTGCACCGACACTCTCCCAGCCAATCTGGGCTCCTCGGTCAGCTCCTTCTGGGCTCTAGAGAGTCCCAGGGGCGGAGATCATGCCTTCCCCCAGGCCGGGGGATAGCAGACAGCTATGTCTTCAGGGACCTCTTACCCAGAGGTGCTCACTGATCCTGTCCCAGCGTGGGCAAAAGCCAGCACCTGGGGGGCCCCACTAGGGTCACGGTCAGTGGAAGCATCTGAACTCCTGGTTCCAGCGAAATCTCAGAGGGCCCTGTGCTTCCTGGAGAAGGGGTGTCGCTCTGGTTACGTAGGGTGGGAGTGCTGGCTTGGAGCCCAGGGGCAGCTCCTCCCCTGTCCTTCCTGGAGCCCCAAGAAGATCCACAGCTTGAAGCCCCTGAGCTGTGGCCCAGCCACAAGTGTACATGTGTGTGTTCACAGGCAAAACTGAGAGGAGCCAGCCCCTGGTCACAGCAAGCTGTTTCTGGCCCTGGTCATCAAGGCAGGGACACTGAGGGCATGGAAGTTCTGGACAGAAACTCTCCCCAACATGCCAACCAGCAACCACCCACGGCCACTGGCCACCTCCCCCTGCCTAGGTCCAGGTGTCTAGGGCACCTTCCAGGCTGGGCAGAGGAGGGCACTCCCTCCTGAGCTGGGGAGGGGAGGCCCTGACAGGGGACCCAGAGTGGAGACTCATGAGGGTATGCCATACCCTCTGTCCCTCACACTGGAGCACTCCAGGATCACAGCCTGCTGGCACCAACCATCCCTGCCACTGGGTGGGCACTGATCCTCCCAGCCCTCTGGGCTCCCTGAAGACACAGACTGAACGAGGTGGCCCAAGGCCTCTGAGTGCCTCCTGCGGGCAAGGCCCCCTTCAGCCACTCTACCCACGCGGCTTCTTTACCTGCAACGGCAGCCTGGCGGCAGCGCCCCTTAGAACCTTGGCTGGCCACATGATCAGGGCCAGGAAGAAGGCTCTGGGTGCCCTGTCTCCTTCTGCCCCAGGTGCAGTTGGTGTCTTGTCTCCTACAGCCAGGGACCCCTAAGGTCTGAGGGCACAGGGTGGAGGCCCCTTGCTTTGCCTGTTAGGAGGAAACTTCCTACATGAGGGACCCCCTTAGGAAAAGAAGGGTGGGTCCTGGTGCCCATCTGCCCCGTGGCCCAAGCATCCTGTCCTGGTCTCTGCAGGTCCCTCTGCCGGGAACAGGCTCCTTTCTCTCCCTAAAGTCCTAAGAGCCCTGTTGGAGTGGGCGCCTCTCACCTGCTCCACAGCCCCCAACCCCAACTGGGCCTTGCCAAGGGGCTTAGCCATCTGGTCCCAGAATGAGTGAGTGAATGAATGAGTGAGTGAATGAATGAGTGAGTGAATGAATGAGTGGATGAGGGTGCATCAAACTCAACTGCAAGTCTCCAGGACACTTTTTTTGAGACAAGATCTTGTTGTCACCCGGGCTGGAGTGCAGTGGTGCCATCTTGGCTCACTGCGGCCTCTAACTCCCAGGCTCAAGTGATCCTCCCACCTCAGCCTCCCAAGTAGCTGAGACTACAGGTGAGCGCCACCATGCCTGGCTCATTTTTCTAATTTTTGTAGAGAAAGTGTCTTGCTATGTTGCCCAGGCTGGTCTGGAACCCCTGAGCACAAGCCACCCGCCTGCCCTGGCCTCCCAAAGTGCTGGGATTACAGGCATGAGCCACTGGGACCAGCTTCCACTGAACTTTAACTCTCCCGACTCCCACGGGGGCAGGCTGGGGGGACCCTGCCCCGCCCCAACCCTGCAAGGTGGCACTTTGGGCGGGGATGGGGGATCCTGGGAGAAACATAGGGGAAGGGATGGCCCCTCAGCGCCCAGGCCAACCTGCTGCCCTAAGCACCTGGTACAGTCCACGGCAGGTGGAGACTCAGCCAGGTTCTTCCTTCATGGCTGTCGCAGCACGGTACAGGAGCAGGCCTGTGTGCAAAGCCAGCCACCCCCACTCCACCAGCACAGGTGCCACCCAAAGGGCATGGGGTGGGGGGGCGGCTGCCAGCCGCCTCGAAACCTGCAAGTGAGGCGAGGGCCCCTGAGCACCAAGACCCGCCCTGGGTGTGCTCCCGGGTTCCCCCACCTGTCTCCCTGAACCTTTCCACCTAGGAGTACCCCCTCCCCCACCCCGGCGTTCCCTCCGTACCCACTCACGACTTACCATTCACGACTTCCGTTTCCCCCCCCCCCGCCAGCCTCCGTGCCCCCCTCAGCCCCAGGCCGCCGTGCTTCCCGCTCCGGACCATCCCCCCACTCCGTGCCATCCCCGCTCCGTGCACGGCCCCCCGTCCCCCCTCCTCCATGCCTCCCCTCCGTGTCCCCCCTCCAAGCCCCCTTCTGTGTCCCCCACTCCGTGCTCCCCTCTGTCTCCCCCTCCGTGTCCCCCTCTCCGTGCTCCCCCCATGCCACCCCGGCCGCGGAGGGCCCCCCCCTCCCCCGCGCCGCTCCGCGCGCGCTCCCGCCCGCGTTTTCGGACTGCACCAGCGGAGCCCCGCGGCGCCAGGGCCGGGCGGAGCGCCTCGTCTGTCGCCGCCGCCCCCACCGGTGCGGGCTCTGCGGCTGCGGCGGGGGGCGCGGGGCGCGGGGGCCGGCGCGCTCCGCACCTGCGGCGGCCGCTGGGTGATGCGGCGGCTCGGGCCGGGGCCGCGGGCGTCCTGAGCGCAGCGCCCTCCCGGGATGCCCGCCGGCCGCTGGCCCGGCCATGTCGTCGTCCTTCTTCAACCCCAGCTTCGCCTTCAGCTCGCACTTCGACCCCGGTGAGTCCCTGGCGGCCCGGCCTGCGCGCCGCTGCCTCCCTCCGCTGCGGACGTGATGCCCCTGGGCCCCACGGCTCCCGGTTTGCATGGAAATTAACCCTTTCCCCGCCCCGAGCCCAGCAGCAGAAGCAGCCGGACCCCCTGGCGGCCCCAGATCTCGGAGGGGCAGGCCCTGGGCCCCAGCACAAACCGGCCTCCGCCTGTGGGCTGGCGTCCCCCGCGTGGTCGTGACTCCGTGGCTGCCTCCAGGGCACAGGTAACTGGGGCACGGAGGGCCTGCGTGGGCCCCTGGTGTCCAGGAGAGTTGGTCTCAGACTAAGGGCCCTTGGGGGTGTGGGGGGTGTCAGCCAGCTGGGGTTCAGGCTTTCCATGGCCTCTCCTGGGTCCGGGGCCCTGGCGTGGGAGGCTTCTTCCCAGGCTGGGAGCGATTCTCAGAGCCCTGCCCAGCCACCAGCAGCCGGCGGGGGATGTGGGGGGAGCAGGGGCCAGTCCACATTACAGAGCCCAGTGGGCAGAGGCTCAGAAGAGAGGGGCCTTGGTGGGTGCCCAGATCCCCTGACAGTGGGGGCCCGAGGTGACGCTGTCAAGCTGGCTGCAGGGGACCTGAGGCCAGGCCTCTTACCCCGTATGGCCAGTGCACCGGGCAGGGCGAGATTACCCATGGCTGCCTGGCCTCCTGGCTGTGGTGGACAGCTGGGATAGGCAGAGGGGGCTGGGGACAGCTGGAAGCCCCATCTGTCACCAGGAAGCAGTGGGCTTTCTAAAACCTCTGCTTCTCCAGATCCGGCCCCTGCTTGGCCTGAGTGGGAGATAATCCCCCTGCCCTGTGCCATCCATGGCCCCAGGGCCAAGTCCCACCCACACGTCACTGGGGCTCTGGCACCAGGCTGAGCCAGCCCAAACAAAGCCTGTTTGCATGTGACGTGATCTCCTGTGTCTCCTTCCCTGGAGCAGGGCCCAGTGCACGCAGCCTGGCAGGGAGGCACGGGGGTCCCCGGGGCAGATCTCGGTCTGAAGGCATTTGCTCCCTGGAGGAAGGGAGCTGGTGGGAGGTCTGTCTGCTGGGCTTAGGGCTGTGGGTGTCACTTGCTCAGAAATGACTTCCTGTAGTGACCCCTGGGGCTCGGAAGTCCCTGTGGGGTGGGCAGGTGAAGGCTCAGAGCCCAACAGCCACGGCAACAGCTGTAATGTCTCCCCGGCCCAAGGGCAGGGGGTGGAGGAGGCTTGGGGCAGGTCCTCATCACATCTCCATGCCAGGCGTGGCCCACGGTGCTTGGTCCTTTCTGCCCCCAGAACAGAGAGGACCCTCGGCCCATACCCTGCCTCGGGGCCCAGCCTTGTCCTTGGCCATGAGAGGCCCTTTCCCCCGCCTTCGAGCAGCACCGGCTCTGCCCTTCTCTGGGTAAACAGCTGTGATCTGAATAATTCTAATGTGTCCGTTTAATGACTTAGAGGAAAAGAAGTTGTTGGAGGCAAGGGGCGTCTCTCCTCTGCAAGATGCTGGGCCAGAGCTGCAGGCACCTGCTGGGCTCTGGGGCCCACCTACCAGGAGGGGCTGCCCAAGGTGCTGGTGCTGGTGAGGAAGGAGACCCTCCTTCGGATTAAGGGGCTGGGTCTAGGCTCTGCACCAGCCCCCATGAGAGGGTTAGGGAGGAGAGAGGGGTCTCCTGCCCTCCCGCTAAACTTAGCCCAGCCTTCCAAGCCTGGCTGTCCTGTGCTGCAGTCCCTCTGCCTGGCCTTGCCTCTGTGAACCTCGGTTTTCCCATCTATGACATGGGCCGACAGTACCTGTGGCAGGCCCGGGTGGGCTCAGTGCTTGGTGAGCACTTGGCTGTCTGTGCTGGAGTGGTGGTGCTGGGACAGAGACCCCCAGGGCCCAAGCTTCCTACAGCATGTGGCTGGCTCCTTGCCATCCCCGAATTGGAGCGAGCTGGTTCCTTCTGAGGCTGCTTGTGTCTGTGGGGGGGCACCCAGAGGGGAGGGGCCCACGCTTGTGGCTCTGGCAGTTGGCTTGTGTGTCACTCAGCATCTGGGGCAGTGCTAGCACCTGACATGGGGGTCTCACCTCAGTTGCCAGGCCCTGCCCCGCTGCCGGGCCGGCTCCTTGTTCATCGCAGGAACTGGTGCCAGTCTCCATAGAGGTGACGGCAGTTGTGGTGGTACAGGGGGCAGAGACGCCCGATAGTGCAGGGCCTGAGAGTGGAGGCTGTGGGCACAGACTGTGGGCTGCCTGGGCCCCTGACCTTCCGCACCAGGCAGATGCGGGCAGGGCAGGGGGCACCCGGCCCAGGAGCCTGCTTGAGTGCCAGGAAGAGCCGCCTCCTCTGGAGCCCAGCTCTTCCCCCATCTCCCTGACACTCGGGAGCGTGGCTGGGGGATTTCTTGGCAGCTGCAGCCTTCCAGCCTCTGTGCTGTGTGGCCTCGGACTACTCACCCAGCCTCTCTGAGATCCGTTCTGCACATGTGAAATCTTGCTCTGGGGAGACTAGTGTGGGCATGGCGGCCAGGAAAAGCAGGGTGATGGGGGTGACACATGGGCAGGATGGCCGGGTCCAGGCTGGCAGGAAGGGGGTGGCATGGCCTTGAGCGAGCAGAGGTCACCCCTTCTACCTGAGTGCCCCAAGGGAGGGGGCTGGCCTTGTTGCTCACCCTCCCCAGCCTTCACCTTCCCTGGTGCGGCCTCAGGGCGTCATGATTTCTAGTCGTCCTGAGCCCTGGGGCCTGGAGCTGTCCTAGGCTGGAAGTGGGCATGGGGACACCGCCTCGCTCCGGCTTCTGGAGAGGCGCGCTCAGCCTGAGGGTGGGGGTCAAATGCTCTGCACAGTTAGGAGCAGGGGTTTGCCCTGGGGCCACCTCTGGTTTGCTGAGGGGCCCTTCTGTGACTGGCTCTCCATGCCTGTTTTGTCATCTGTAAGGTGGGAATGGCTGTGATGGCCAGGTCTGAAGGGACAGCAGTGGTGCACTGAGCCAAGGGTGGGTACCTGGGCAGTGCCTACCATGGCTGATCCCTGACGCAGAGGTGTCACTGTTGACCAGTGGGCAGGGCTTGGAGTTTGTGGAAGTTCTCGGAACACGTGGCAGCCTGGATTTGCCACCCCCCAACCCCCGCCTCTCCCCTGTCCCTCAGCTCACGCCCTGTCTCCTGCCCAAGGTCTCTCCCTGTGTCTGACCTGAACCAGGCGCCATGGGGGGTTCCTGGGAGAAGTGCCTGTGCCTGGCCACGGTGCTCGCTCTATCAGCATTCATGTGAACCGGACACCTGGCACAGGGCTGGGCAGGCTGGGCCTCAGGATGAGCCTATTGATGGGGAGAGGGCAGAGGAGGCAGCGAGCCCCGGGCCAGGCATGGCCTCAGTGGCAGGGGCAGGGCTGGACTCAGGGGCTCAAGGGGCTGAGCAGGAGGCCATGGGCCTGGGTGGTCCCCGGGAGTCCTCCCCTTGGAAGGTGCCCCACAGCTGACACTGCCCGGGCACCAGGTGTGGAGTCTGTTTGAAGGCAGCTGCTGCTTCAGTCTCCCAGACCACTCAGGCTCAGGCAGCAAGCACCTGCCCTGGGAGGAGTTACCTGTCCTCCTCTCGCCCCCGGGGTCTCAGAGGATGCCCCAGAGGAAGCTGTGCCCATGAGTTCGGCCCATCCCCCTACTTCCTCTCAGGTCTCAGGTCTCCCACCGAGACCCTTAGGCTGCAGGTGTGCAGGCCGAGGTGGGTTCTTGGAGAGGGTCCCATGGGAAGGCTGTGTGGACAGTGGCCTTGGGGAGCGGTCACACGCAGGCCGTGGGCCCTGGGCACGGGTCCGGCTCCCACCTACCAGCATGGGTGCGGGCACTCGGGGAGGGTGTGGGTGTCGGCACTCGGGGAGGGGGTGGGTGTGAGGCCCCACACTCCCAGGCATGGGTCAGGGAGAACATTTCTCTCATTCCGGCACATTCTCCAGGAGGCCAGGCTGTGCGCTTCCCTCCATGGGGTGGTGCAGTGACCCAGAGGACCGGCCCCTGCAGTGGCCACCCTGTGGGCCCGAGTGCCCCAGAGCTGGCTGGGGTGGGCTGGCAGCTGTTGTGTTGTGTGGAACATGCTGGAAGGTCTGCCTTGTGCCACCCTGCATGTTTGGGATGCATCGACTCCCCGCCATGCCCTCTGCCTCCCCGGCTCCCAACCCTGACCCTGCCTCACGGGAGAGTTCTGGCGTGGGCTGGTGTCCTGGGCCGGGCCCTGCTGTGTGACCATGGACAGGTCTCATAACTTCTCTGTGTCTGTTTCACCTCTGAAATGGGGTCCGGCAGCACCCACGCTCCAGGAGGTTCCTGAGAGAACCCGGGGGCCGTCACGGCAGCTCCAGGGCTGGTGACTGTTCACGTCCTCTCTGCACTCACCCACCACCCCGGCCGCCTGGGAACTGTGCTCCTGCCTGTGCCCCCTGGAGGCATGTGCTGAGTGGAATATGTCACCCCAAACCCATGCCCGCCCAGTACCTCAGAATGGGGCCTTATTTAGAACTAGGGTCTTTGCAGCTGTAATCAAGTTAAGATGAGGTCGGACCGGAGTAGGGTGGGCCCTGAATCCAATGACTGGGGCCTGATAGAAAGAGGAGGAGTGGCGTGCACGCGGGAAGGAGGCCACGTGCAGAGGCTGGAGTGATGCAGGCCCAGGAGCACCTGGGGCCGCTGTGCCGGAGAGGCAGGAAGGATCCCGCCAGCGCCTCGAGGGAGTGGCCCTGCCCATGCCGTGCTTTCCTCCTCCACTGTCCAGAACTGTGAGCACATCCATTCCTTGCCGTCTGGGCCAGCAGCCCGTGGTCCCAGGACACACATCTGGGGGTCTCCTTGGGTCTGAGGGGTGAGCACAGCTGCCTCGAGACATCAGGAGCCTCTGACTCCATCCTGAGAAGAGTTATCCTTGGAAGAAAATGAGGCCACGTGCTAGCCCCCAGCCTCAGAACCCTCCAGGGCGCTTGGCTGGGTGTGAGGAGGAAGCAGGCCGGGGCCACAGCTGCGTGGCATCCTCTGCCTCCTCCTCGGTCCACGGGGGAGGCAGAGGGTCCACGGAGCACCTCGGTGTCTCCTCGGATGTGGTGTCGGCGGTGAGCCTGGGACCACGCTGTTCTGCTGTCACCGGCCTCCTGTCTCCAGCTCACGGGGTTCTTCCGGGGTAGGCTTTTCTCGAGGGCCACCTGACCCCTCTGTGCACGCCAGGGCAAGGCTGACGGGAGGCCCACTCGACCACTCCTGGGTGGGAGCCTGATGCAAAGCACCTGCCGTGGGGCCTCGGCCTGCGGTCCTGTCCCTGGTGGCACAGATCCAGGGGCCCAGGAGCCCGTGTCCGTGGTGGGGAGACTCCCGTCCCCTCCGCAGGCCACAGTGACAGGAGGGCTTTGGCGTCTGGGCCCCCCTGGGCCTTGCCCTGCCTTTCACAGAGGAACAAGCGCCCGCGGGACCGGCGGCCTTGGCCTCCCCGCCCCCCCGCAGAGGAAGCCGGCAGAGGAAATGAGGGCAGCGGACGGGGCCGGAGCCAGTTCCCAGGCACCTCTGAGAACTGTCACGGGAGGCGGCGTCCTCGCCGGGTCTCCAGCCTCCCTCCGCAGGGACCGGGGCCTGGGGTCAGGGGGCTGCGGCCTTGGGTGGGGCTGGGGCGGGCTGGGGTCCTCCCGGGGGTCACTCTGGGGTTACAGCCACGGTCAGAGCCACGCGGGAGCGACACCCAGAGCCTGGTACGTGGGGGTTTCTGGGAGGATGCGGGCTGTGCTCCCACTGCCAGCCTGGGGGTGGGGGCCGTGGCCAGGAGACTCCTGCTCCTGCAGGGACCCTGCCAGCGGAGGTGGCCGTGCCAGAGCAGGCAGGGCCTCTGCAGTGGGCGATTCTGGGCAGCCGGGGCCACCTGCCCCAGGGGGAGTGAGGGGCAGGATGCTACCCCGAGCCAGGGCTGCTCAAGGCCACCTCTCACGGCGGGGCGTGGCCAGCCTATCCCCATCTCACCCTCGGGGAGGGTGTGGGGTCCCTGCTGCTGAGGGACAGGAATCTGGCTCTACCCACCTGCCAGGGTCCCCAGGAAGACCCCTCCCTGTCCCTGGTATCGGGTAGCCCTGGCCAGCTGGCCTGGGGGAGCCAGGCTGGGGGGCAGGGGAGCTGGTCCGGGACCAGGGCTCTGCCGAGTCACCTCTGTGCCAAGGCCACGGTTTGAGGCTGTGGCTTGAGGCCGTTGTGGGATGGAGCTGGGGATGCCGTCCTCGGTGTGAGGATCCTCCGACGAGGCCCTGGTGCTCGGTGGGGCCCCTCTGGCTTCCCTTCTGCTCTGCTTCTGGGAATTCTTAGTGACTCTGAACAAGGGGCCTTGGGTTCCCTTGGTACTTGGTCCTGCGGATTCTGCAGCCGGTGGGGCTTGCTTAGGGTTTGGGCTCCGCTGTGAGGCCCACGTGGAATTTCCTCGAACCCCCTGCGAAAAAGGCGTGTGGCTTCCTAGTGACCACGGCACACACAAGTGCGCTCTGACCTCCGGGGTGCGGGTCCGGGGCTTCCCCGCATTGGATTTACCCGCGCGGCAGCACGCCCAGCCCCCGAGAGTCCCCGCCACTGCCCCCAGGACTGCTACCTGGCCGGTCACTCGCAGGCCGCCGGCGCCCTCCCAGCTGCCCCATGTTGGGGATCTCGCTCGCTCTCTGTGAATGATGCTCAGTTGTGGGCTGTCCCGTGGGCTGCTATCGTGGACGCTGGAGTGAGGGCCCCTTTACTGAGAGGTAACTCACATACCAAGGACCCACCTGTGTCAAATGAGCAGCTGGGGCTTTCCTGCATTCCCAAGAGTGCAGCCATGGCACGGCTAGCTGTGGAGCATCCCTGCCCCTGACAGAAGCCCCATGCCCGAGGGCATCACTCCCCATCCCCTGCCCCCAGCCCTGGCAGCCACCGATCTGTCTCGGTCTCTGGGCCCCTGGCCTGGACGTCTGTCTCATAAGCAGGGTCCTGTGGCCTTGTCCTCTTTGGGCCCTGAGGTTTTCGCTGTGTGTATAGCGGCCCCAGGGATCAGGGGTGCTGGTGTGTGACTGTGGGGCACTGTCCAGGGAGCTTCCAGGAGGTGGTGCCATTTTGCCCCCATCCCCATGGACGAACGCCTCCATGGCTTCCCCTCCCGCCAGTGCTGGCTGCTGTTTTTATAACGCCCGGGCTCGTGAGCATGTGGGGGCTGCCCATGGTGGTCTTGTCTGCCTTTCTGTGGCGAAAGATGTCAGGAGCCTTTCCAGGTCCTGCCCAGCTCTTCTGAGCCCCTCAAGCGAGTGCCCATTGGAGGTATTTTTTGGTGGTTTGTACCTGGTGTCGGGCAGCCCTGGCCAGCTGGCCTGTGGGAGCCAGGCTCGGGGCAGTGGGCAGGTCCTGGACACAAGGCCTCAGGTCTGTGCGCAGTGAGCAGGTGGCCTGCTGCTTCACTTCCCGTGACCCTGTGCAGGGCTGAGCACCAGCAGCTTCCACCCTGAAATGGGCCGAGGTGAGAGCACTTGCGGCAGGAGCCGGCACACGCCCCGCTTTCCTTCCCAGGGAGCTGGGTGCAGACACTGACCAGCACACCGCCAGGCTCAGGCACCTTCTCTCCCTGGGAAGCTGCCTGGAATCTCTGTGGCCCAGAGGCAGGTGTCCCTGAAAGCAGCTCCTGGCCCCAGGGATGAATGACGGGGAGGACGGACCCTGCTCGGACCCTGGCTCTGGAGGCTGGGCCCCGCCCTGCTCTCTGCCGCGGGGTCTGGCGAGATGCTTGGCTGCTGCTGGAGCCTGAACTAGCGCGTCAGACTGTTTTATTTTTCCTTCTGTGACGGGCGGCCCTGCAAGTCTTGTCTAGAAATACCCGTGGCCGGCATGCATCCGCGACGCCCGGCCGCCCTGGCCATGGACCTGCCCGTTTCCTCCTTGGCAAGCCTGAGCCCAGCAGCCCCCTGCTGCTGCCCAGCCAGCACTGAGGGAGGGACTCAGTCCGTGCAGGTCTGTAGGGGGCCAGCTGGATGCCCGGCTGTGTCAGGGCCGGGGTCCTGAGACGCACAGGAGGGTAGGCCCCCACGAAGAGCGGGACCGAGGGCCAAGGTGTTGGGGGACAGTGTGCGTCGAGCAGAGACAGGCCAGGAGCGAAGAGATGGGGGCTGTGGGACCTTAGCTGGAGCTGCCTGCCCCTTGGAGGCTTCTCCACTGTCAGGGATCAGCCTCCTGGGGAACCGGGGGCATTCCAGGTGCCCTTCCCACCCTTGGACCAGCCTTGGGGTAGGCCCTGGGGCATCTGATGCTGATGCAGGCTGGGCCTGGGCTGTGTGTTGTGTCAACAGAGGGGACATTCCTTGTGAGTGTCCAGCTGGTGGAACTCACTTCCGTCCCTGGGCTGGCCTGGGCTGGGCACCCATGTTTGATTGCAGGGTTGGCTGTCGAGGGGCAGGAGAGGCGGACTTAGAGATGCTGGGGTGGTAACCCCCGGGAACTGTGCGGGGGTTCCCTGCAGCAGAGAGTAGGGCTGGTCCTAGCACTGGGGGAGGGCCGGATGCCCACCTTGGGGCTGCCAGCGTGTGCGGCAGGCATGTGCGTGGAGGGGTACGTGTGCGTCTATGAGCAAGTGCAGCCCCAGGTTGGAGGCGAGCGTGTGCATGGGCTGGTGCGGTGCCCGCGGTGTCGGATGGACCCGGCCCGGGCCCGTGGACCTTGCCATGTCCTGGGCTTGTCCCGGAAGCTTACATTTTATGTGGCCTCTCCTAAAAATAACCGTGGCTGGCCTGCATCCTCCTTATCCGTGGACATTCGGGCTCCCCTCTCTTGGCGGGGGCGGTGTCTTGTGACTTACAGCCCCTGCCCTGTCCTCACCTGCCACCCAGAATCCCACGCGGCAGATGGTGCCCACATCTGTCTGGTCTCGGGAGTGACTGTGGGGATGGTTCAGGGCTGGGCACGATGCCGCCACCAGGGCCTGTGGGGGCACCGTTGCTGTCCCAGAGGCTCCTCCTGCCCTCTCTCCCCTGTGTCGGGAGGCCTGTGGGGTCTTGCCGTACCCCGCCCAGGGCCCTGCTTCTGAGTTGGGGAGGGGGTCCTCAGTTTCGTGCCTGACTGGCGATCAGGGCCGAGGAGGGGTCTGCTGGACTGGGCTCTCTGTAGCAGGAGCTGATTGAATCCCAAAAGACACAATCCCAAGTGCCATCATCCTGAGTGTGGAAATCCCAAAAGGTCAAAATTCCAAAAACCGAATTCAGGAAAAAAATGATTTAAAAGATTCTTTAGAAGACATTTAGTCTGGGCGCGGTGGCTCACACCTGTAATCCCAGCACTTTGGGAGGCCAAGGCAGGCGGATCACCAGGTCAGGAGTTTGAGACCAGCCTGGCCAACATAGTGAAACCCTGTTTCTACTAAAAATACAAAAAATTAGGCGGGTGTGGTGGCTGGCGCCTGTAGTCCCAGCTCCTCGGGAGGCTGAGGCAGGAGAATGGCATGAACCCGGGAGGCGGAGCTTGCAGTGAGCCGAGAAGCACCACTGCACTCCAGCCTGGGCGACAGAGCAAGACTCTGTCTCAAAAACAAAACAAAACAAAAAACATTTATTTGCATTTGAAAAGGGATTTATTTGAAAAACATAAAAACTCAATAAAAATAAAAACTTCAGAGGCCACTTCACACAATAACACAGGCCATAGTAACATACATTGTAACATAGTAACATACATTGTAACATGGTAACATACATTGTAACATAGTAACATACATTGTAACATGGTAACATACATTGTAACATGATAACATACATTGTAACAGTAACATACATTGTAACATGATAACATACATTGTAACATAGTAACATACATTGTAACATAGTAACATACATTGTAACATACATTGTAACATACATTGTAACATAGTAACATACATTATAACATGGTAACATACATTGTTGCGGAAACCCTCAGGCTGCTCAGGTTACATACAGTTATGAGCAGATGAACTGTGCTCATAAATAAATGGGGAGCTCACACCTGTAATCCCAGCACTTTGGGAGGCCGAGGCAAGAGGATTGCTTGAGCCCAGGAGTTCAAGGCCAGCTTGGGCAACACGAGACCGCATCTCTACAAAAAATAAAAAATTAGCCAGGCATGGTGGTACACACCTGTAGCCCCAGCTACTGGGAAGGCTGAAGTGAGATGACTGCTTGAGCCCAGGAGTTCGAGGCTGCAGTGAGCTGTGATGGCACCGCTGCACTCCAGCCTGGGTGACAGAGTGAGACCTTATTAAAAAAAAAAAGAAATATTATAGGTCGGGCGCGCTGGCTCATGCCTGCAATCCCAGCACTTTGGGAGGCCGAGGTGGATGGATCACAAGGTCAGGAGTTCGAGACCAGCCTGGCCAAGATGGTGAAACCCTGTCTGTACTAAAAATACAAAAATTAGCCAGGCATGGTGGCGGGCATCTGTAATCCAGCTGCTCGGGAGGCTGAGGCAGGAGAATCACTTGAATCCGGGAGGCGGAGGTTGCAGTGAGCCAAGATCACGCACTGCACTCCAACTTGGGCGACAGAGTGAGACTGCGTCTCAAAAAATAATAATAATAATAATAATAGGTAAAATGTATTAAAAAGGGAGACATATGAAGCCGTGCTACTATGGTGGGTGAGCATGTGCACCTGGCCACATCACTGCGTTCGTCTGAAATACTGTGACGATGACTTAAGTCTCTTGACAAGATCCGTCAGAAACCTTGATGGTCACCGCCACACGTGCAGTCGCCCACAGAGCCAGGGTCTTGAGAAATTTTATCTTGCCCAAATGCGAATGTACGAACAGGACATCTCTTCATTTTTTGAGGAAGTTCAAGGTTTCCGTGCAGAGCGCAGCGCCGTGGTGATGCACATCCGTGGAGTCAAACACGCAAAAAGTGCAAAGATGAATGAGAACCCTCCAAAGGTCTCCACGCAGTTCACACCTCCAGCACTGGAAATGATTTGGAGATGAAGCACAGAGCACAGCGAGCTGTAAGAAGTAATGCTGACCATTTAAAATAGTGGGAAAGGGCCGAGCGCAGTGGCTCACACCTGTCATCCCAGCAGTTTGGGAGGCCGAGGCAGGCAGATCACCTGAGGTCAGGAGTTTGAGACCAGCCTGGCCAACATGTTGAAACCCCGTCTCTACTAAAAATACAAAAATTAGCCGGGTGTGATGGCGCAAGTCTGTAATCCCAGCTACTTGGGAGGCTGAGGCAGGAGAATTGCTTGAACCTGGGAGGTGGAGGTTGCAGTGAGCCGAGATTGTGCCATTGCACTCCAGCCTGGGCGACAGAGCGAGACTCTGACTCAAAAAATAAGTAAATAAAATAGTAGGAAAGGCTGGGTGTGGTGGTTCACGCCTGTAATTCCAGCACTTTGGGAGGCCAAGGTGGGTGGATCACCTGAGCTCAGGAGTTTGAGACCACCCTGGCCAATATGGTGAAACCCATCTCTACTAAAATCCAAAAATTAGCAGGGCATGGTGGTGGGCGCCTGTAATCCCAGTTACCTGGGAGGCTAAGGCAGGAGAATTGCTTGAACCCGGGAGGCGGAGGTTGCAGTGAGCTGAAATTGTGCCACTGTGCTCCAGCCTGGGTGACAGAGCAAGACTCCATCTCAAAAAAAAAAAAAAAAAAAGAAAGAAAAAACTAAGAAAAAAGAAAATTGGATTTATGAAAAAGGGTATATGGCAGGGCCAGGTGACGGGCAGTTGCACAGAGACAGTCCCTAAGAGCTGGCTGCCTCTCACTACCACATGGTGAGGCTGTGCGTTTCGACGAGTAGCTGCTTTTTTTCTCGTAGGCTGTGGCTCTCCTTGGAGAAGACGCTCACATTCATCTTCTACATGGCACTGCTCTGTTTTGTTTTGTTTTGTTTTTTGAGATGGAGTTTCACTCTTGTTGCCCAGGCTGGAGTGCAGTGATGTGATCTCAGCTCGGCTCACTGCAGCCTCCGCCTCCCAGGTTCAAGCAATTCTCCTGCCTCAGCCTCCTGAGTAGCTGGTATTACAGGTGCCCGCCACCACGCTGGGTTAATTTTTGTATTTTTAGTGGAGACGGGGTTTCACCATGTTGGCCAGGATGGTCTCGAACTCCTGACCTCAGGTGGTCCACCTGCCTCAGCCTCCCAAAGTGCTGGGATTACAGGCGTGAGCTGTCACTGCTCTTTTTGAAATTCTTCTGTGATTCAGCCCGTACTGCATGAGCATTCCTATTAGATTCTCCTGTCTTCTGTGCCACGCTTCTGTGTTGTTTGGGGTACGGGAGGTCCATTGCGCATGGGCCTCATACACAGACCGCAGATTTGGCGGAAATAGTGCTGGTGACGGAGCAACAACACCATCACAAAGCATCCTCTCATCCTGCCATACGCACGAGTATTTTCGAGCCAGTCAGTAACTTCCCCGGCTTCTTAGGGCAAATGCAGCTGTTAATTCCCTGAACGCTCCGGGGTGTCATCAGCTGGGAGGAACACCCACGCAGGCAAATGACGCATCTTTAAACGGAAGTTCCTGTCTCATCTGAATTTTCCGCCCAGTGTGTTGGGCTGAACAGAAAAGACAAACTTTATTGGTGACATCTTCAAATTGACTGTTAGAAGCCTTGATCACACCTAATTCCAAATCTGTCATGGTTTGGGGACTCTATTGAAATCCATTTTCTTCCACAAAGTCCACCACATCTTCAAATAAATGTTGATAAGGTGCTGTACTTTTCCCAGTTGTTAATACAGAAACAAGCCAGGAAAGCTCTGGAATTTCCTAATCCAACAGGGGCATGAATTGTATATAGCTGATAAAAATCAGTGGGGATGGAGGCCAGGTGCGGTGGCTCATGCCTATAATCCCAGCACTTTGGGAGGCCGAGGCAGGCGGATCACCTGAGGTCGGGAGTTCAAGACCAGCCTGGCCAACATGGTGAAACCCTGTCTCTACAAAAATACAAATATTAGCTGAGCGTGGTGGTGGACGCTTGTAATCCTTGCTACTCGGGAGACTGAGGCGAGAGAATCATGTGAACCTGGGAGGCAGAGGTTTCAGTGAACCGAGATCACACCATTGCATTCCATCCTGGGTGACAGAGCGAGACTTGGTCTCAAAAAAAAAAAAAAAATTCAGCAGGGCTGGTTTTGAAGGTGCCATCCATTAGGCAAAGTGAAGCATGCACTGGTTTTCTGTTAGATTTAATACTAAATATTAGAATCCATCTTCTCTGGTGATCAGATCCCCAAGGATAGCTCAGCTCACCGCCGAGTGTGCTTTGTAACAGGAAGGAGTATTGGTGTCAGCAAGCGTCTGTTTCTGAGGTTGCTGACCTGGTTGAATTCTTCTTCTTCTCTGACAAAGGACTTTTGTTGTGGTTTGTTGTTTTCTTGAGACAGGGTTTTGCTCTGTGGCCCAAGCTGGAGTGCACTGGTGCAATGGTGGCTCACTGCAGCCTTGACCTCCTGGGCTTAAGCGATCCTCCCGCCTCAGCCTCCCAACAAGCTGGGACCACAGGTTCGAGTCACACTGCTGGATGATTCTTAAATTTTTGTAGGGACGGGGTCTCATTATGTTGTCCAGGTGGGTGACAAACTCCTGGGCTCAAGTGATCCTCCTGTCTCAACCTCCCAAAGCTCTGGGATTACAGGTGTGAGCCACCACTCCCGGCCAAAGGATTTTTTATTTTTATTTTTTTTGAGACTGAGTCATGCTTTCTTCTCAGGTTGGAGTACGGTGGCACAATCTTGGCTCCCTGCAATCTCTGCCTCCTGGGTTCAAACGATTCTTCTGCCTCAGTCTCCCAAGTAGCTGGGATTACAGGCAAGTGCCACCACGCCCTGCTAATATTTTTTGTATTTTTAGTAGAGATGGGGTTTCACCATGTTGGCCAGGCTGGTCTCGAACTTCCGACCTCAAGTGATCCGCCCACCTCAGCCTCCCAAAGTGCTGGGATGACAGGCGGGAGCCACTGTGCCCGCCCCAAAGGCTGTTTTTTTGAAGGCAAGCGTGGCACTGCCTGTGAGGGGTTGGAAGTCTCACGTGATTGAATAATTTGGTGGGGAGATTTGTATTTTTTGCCTGTGTTTTCACTTCTTCTATGATTAAGTTGACACCCAAATCGAAGGCCACCCTTGTCAGCCTGGCCACCATGTGCATCTCCCTTGAGCACACTTAATTTCCAAATAAAGACAACCTCAGGGTCCCAGCTCTGCCTAACACGATGCAACCCTCTGGTGACTGTGATTTTGGGGATTTTAGATTTCAGGGATTTCAGCATATTCTGGATGATGGTGTTGAGACGGTGTCTTTTGGGATTATGATCCAAGCCCCTCCTTAATCACTCCCAGGGCAGTTCCAGCTCTTGGGGTCAGGGTGTCCTTTGGACACAGCCTTTGTCCTGGGAGGCTGGGGGCAGATGGGCCCAAGTGACCAGCCAGATGGGGGAGGCCGGGCCTCTGAAGAACTGGGTCGCGTGGGGGCCTGGCGTCAGGTGGCCTGCTGCCCCTCGGATGCGTCTGAGCCACAAGTGTGTGCACGCGTCCCCGGCCACGGTCCCCCCAGCCCCAGGAGCCTTGCGTCATAGAAAAGTTAATGCTTGATCCCAGGCACAGGGTCTGTCCTTTCATTTCTGGGGGATGTGGGGGAGGAGGGGTGAGGGGGGAGACAGGAGGGGTCGGTGGGGGAGACAGGTGGGGCTGGGCCTGGGTTCTGTGCAGGTGGGGCTTGGCTGACACCCGGCTTCCGTGTCTCCACCTGGAAAAGTGACTCTGTGTCTCTGCTTAGGAATTCCGTTCCTCAGAATGTTCTGTGTCTGGGCGCCTGTGCAAACCTTTGCAGGGAAATCCTGTTCCCCAGCCCACAAAGTTCTGTCTGCCTCACAGTGGTTCGTAGGGGGGCACAGAGTACCCCTTCCTCCCTTCTCCTGTCCCAGGAACCCCAAGAATCTTACTACTTCAGCCTGCAACTGAGAGGTAGGGGTATTCGTAACAGACAATGGGGACCACTCTGGGCTTCCCAGGGACACTGGCCTGACCCCTGGACATGCTGACTCCCCCAGTACCGTCTGCCCTTGACTCAGCGGCACGCCTGCCAGGGTTGCGCCAGTTCCTTCCTGCACGGGATCCTGTTTGCATCACCAGACGGGGGAAAGGGGACCCTGGTGCCAGGAGGTCCACAGATGCCCTGCCGAGGCCCACCTGCTGGCCACCCAGGCAGAGAGGCCCCTGTCTGTCTGCCTTAGGGGCCAGAGCCCGCTTCCAGCCTGCTGAGCACCCCTTGTGCCGCACCTTTCCACGTGGCAGTGCCAGGGGGAGCCTCAGGTCCCCAGAGACATTGGATGAGGAATGAGCTCTTCATGGTGTGAGCAGTGGAGGGTTCTGGCTGTGATAGGGGAGTTCCCCAGGACAGCCTGTTGTGGAGACAGTCCCTGTTCTGGGAGGATCTGGGCGGCTTCCCAGAGGGGGCATCCCTGGTGGCAGAGCACGAAGGAGGTCTGGGGGAATGGGCAGTGAGCTGCCGGGGGTACTGAGGAGTAGGATGGGGGAAGCATTGGGATCAGGGGGAGCCCTAGGATGGGGTGGGAGCACTAGGATGGGGGAGTCCTAGGATTGGGGGGGAGCACTAGAATGTGGGAGTGGGGCGCCTGTCCCCACCCAGCGTTGACAGAGGGATGTCAAACTGTTCACTTAAAAAAATGTATTGAGGTATAATTCACATAACACAAAATAACCATCTTACAGCAAACAGCTCAGGGGCTTGTAGAACATTCACCAAGGTGTGGAAACCACCACTGCTTCTAGTTCCAGAACATTCTCATCAGCCCAGAAGGAAGCCCCGCACCCATCAGTGGTCCCTCCCCATCCCCCTCCCCTCAGCCACCCACGCACTTTCTGTGTCTGGATTTGCCTGTCTGGACACCGAGTATCCACAGAGCTGTGTGCTGTCCCCGCCAGAGGCACCAGGCTGGTCCGCAGTGGTCCCACGGCAGCATGAGGACTCACTTGTTATTTCCCATTAAAAAAATCATGGCCCTCCTCATGGGTCAGCTGCTCACCTTCCTCAGGGGCTTGAGCTGTCGGACCAGAGGGACATGCCCCTCCAGGTAGACTGGGGAAACTGAGGCACCGGGCATTTTGAGGCTGGGCTGATGGGGGCTGACTGCCGTTGCAGCGGGGGTTCCTGAGTACCCTGTGCCTTGGGCCCTGCCTCCGAAGAAACCCTGGACAAGCAGAGAGCCCGGACAGGCGTGAGCAGGGGGCAGAGCTCATGGGGGCACAGGCTCCAGGCACCCAGGGCTGTTGTGAGCCCACGGCCATGGGAGCCAAGCCCAGGGTGGGCTGGGGGTGCCGCGGGCAGTGCTTTTAGAAGTGGCTGTGATCTAGGTCAGGAATGGCCATGGTGGGTGACGCTGCAGATCCCCGGGGAGGCGTGAGCAGGGTCCTCCTGGGCTAGTGCCTTGGGGTGGAGGTTGGAGGCCTGTGAGGGGCTGGAGGATGTGGAGAGAAGACAAGGGATTGGAGGTTGGGTTTCCTCAGGGGGCTGGGGTGTGAGGGTGGGGGAAGGGGTTAGGTTTCCCACAGGCCGGGGAGGGCAGGAGGCAGGACCGCATGGGGAACTAGCCTCAGCTGTGTGTGGTTGGGAAACTCCAGGGCAGTCCGATGGAGGTGTTGGGTGTGGGCGGTGGCCACTGGGCCTGGTGACGGGGCTGGAGGCTGTGGTGGTGGGTGATGTGCTGGGGTCAGGGAAGGGAACCTGCACCAGCTCAGGGGAGGAGGGTCCAGCCCGGGATGGGTGGGCTGCGGACAATGGAGGGGGTGCCCAGAAGCTGGAGGAGGCTGGCGGGGCTGCCCCGGCCCCGGAATGCAGCTCTCGGGATGGCCATCCCTTTTGCTCACCAGTCATGGGACGCATTCAACCCAGAGCTCGGCCAGGGTGCTCCCAGGACAGAGCCTGGGTCGCTGCCCCATCACTGGCCTGGCCAAGGCACCTCCACCCCCGGTCTCCGTGTCTCCCTCACCTGGGGACACCTCGCCAACTGCCCAACTGGGGGCTATTCCCAAGCTCCTCACTAGCAGGGTCATCTGCTCCTTGGACACTCGGGTAGGCCCCGCTGGCTCAGAGCAGGACTGTGGACACAGGCAAGGGTGTGTGCGTGAGTGTGCGCGTGAGTGTGTGCATATGCGAATCTCCATGAGTGAGCGTGAGTGGGAGCGTGTGCATTTGTGTGTGTGCATGTGTCTGAGAGCACGTGTGTGTGTGTGTGCAAGTGTGTGCCCGTGTGTCTGTATGCTCCTTCCCTCCCTTGCCCCAGGTGTGCCGCAGGCACCTCAGGGCGTTGGTGTCCCCTCCCACACTGTATCCAGTGCCTTCCATTGGGGGAACCCCCGGGGCTCATCCCCAGGTACCTCATCCCGGAGCCATGTGTGGCTTCAAGTCCAGCCGGTCGTTCTAGAGGCTGGTACTGGTCCAGCGGACGTTCCCTGTGAGCTGGCCTGGGCTGTGGTCTTGAGCAGGAAGGGTCCCTGTGGACGGGGGTGGGCTCCTCCAAGGACCACATCAGGCGCTTTGCAAGATGCCGGGGGTGTTGGGACAGCATGTCAGGGTGGAGGAGCAAGTGGGAGGCTGAGCGTGGTGGGGGCAGCAGAGAGTGGACGGAGACCCCAGGGCAGGTGGCCATTCTGCGTCCAGCGCGGCTCTGTAAGGGCAGCAGTGATGGGATCAGGTTTGAGTGATAATCAAATACAATCATACATCGTCTGATTCTAAATGCAGTGCATGCTTGTTGTAGAAAACGTGCAAGTACAGGATGCAACCAGCTGGATTTCTACCTCCCAAGACAAACTCTTCACGCTTTGGGGTATTTTTTCCCAGCTTTCTTCTGTTCTTTTTTTTTTTTTTTTTTTTTTTTTGACAAAGTTGTGATCAGGATTTGTAAATAGTTATATGTCCTGCTTGTTTCTACCCTTACTGAGGGTAGAAGGAAGAGAACCAAACGGCGCATGGTGACCGTGTGTAATTTCACTAATTCTAACATCTGTATATGAGACGTCAAAGCTCATCAAATATGTATATGCACATCTGTCTATACACCAGGCCCTACAGTCACGATGACACGTTTCCCTCATGCCCTGGTCCTGGGAGTCCTGCACGTCCTGCTTCTTTTCCTTAGCATAACGTCATTGATATCTTCCCGTTTGTTTAAAACACCTTCTTTTCTTTGAGACAGGGTCTTGCTCCATCACCCAGGCTCGAGTGCAGTGGCATGACCTCAGCTCACTGCAACCTCCACACCTGGGCTTAAGCGATCCTCCGACCTCAGCCTCCGGAGTAGCTGGGACCACAGGTGTGTGCCACTATGCCTGGCTAATTTTATTTATTTATTTTTTAAATGGGGTTTCGCCATGCTGGCCAGGCTAGTCTCAAACTCTTAAGTTCAAGCAATCCGCCAGTCTTGGCATCCTGGGATTACAGATGTTAGCCACCTTACCAGGCCTAAAACATAGTCTTAAATTCACTTTTTATGGCTTATTTTGCAGATATACCATTGTTTTTATTTCATCATTCTTTCACTGTTGAACATTTAGGCTCTTTTTTACTTTTTTTTTTTTTTTTTGAGATGGAGTCTCGCTCTGTCACCCAGGCTGGAGTGCAGTGGTGAGATCTCAGCTCACTGCAACCTCTGCCTTCCGGGTTCAAGCGATTCTCCTGCCTCAGCCTCCCGAGTAGCTGGGACTACAGGTACCTGCCACCACGCCTGGCTAATTTTTGTATTTTTAGTAGAGACAAGGTTTCACCGTGTTAGCCAGGATGGTCTCGATCTCCCGACTTCGTGATCTGTCTGCCTCGGCCTCCCAGAGTGCTGAGATTACAGGCGGGAGCCACCAGGCCTGGCCTCTTTTTTGCTCTTATAAATACCACTGCAATGAACATCTTTGTGCAAATAGCTTTTTCCGTCTGCGGCGTTCACTTTCTCATTCCTTACTTTATTTTTATTCTGGATGCGTGTGCCCTCTAGGTTATTTTCTTAGTGTAAATTTCCAGACATGGAATTACTTGGCTGGAGAGAAGGCAGGTCCACAGGCTGTTCTGATTTAACATCCACCAAACGGCCTGGGCAGCCGGTTCTGATTTACTGGCTTCTACAAACTCCCGCTGTCTGGAAACTGGACATGTTATAATTTTGCATTTCTTTATGATCAAGGCTGAACATTTTCTCACGGATTGGGCAGTTTGGTTTTTTGTTGTTATTTGTTTTGAGACAGCGTCTTGCTCTGTCATCCAGGCTGGAGTGCAGTGGTGCGATCTGGGCGGCTCACTACAACCTCTACCTCTTGGGTTCAAGCCATTCTCCTGCCTCAGCCTCCCGAGTAGCTGGGACTACAGGCACCTGCCACCATGCCCGGCTAATTTTTGTATTTTTAGTAGAGACAAGGTTTCGCCATGTTGGCCAGGCTGGTCTCAAACTCCTGACCTCAAGTGATCCACCCACCTCGGCCTCCCAAAGTGCTGGGATTATAGGTGTGAGCCACCGTGCCCTGCCGGGTTGGGCAATTTGTATTTCCTCATTTGTGAGCTGACTTCACGTAGTTTGCTTGTTTGTGGTTTTTGTTTTTGGGACAGGGTCTCTCTCTGTCACCCAGGCTGCGGTCCAGTGGCTCAATCTTGGCTCACTGCAACCTCCGCCTCCTGGGCTCAAGTGATCCTCCCACCTCGGCCTCCTGAGTAGCTGGGACCACAGGTGTGCATCACCACGCCCAGCTAATTTTTTCTTTTTTTTTTTTTTTTAATATGGAGTCTCGCTCTCTTGCCTAGGCTGGAGTACAATGGTGTGATCTTGGCTCACTGCAACCTCCACCTCCTGAGTTCAAGTCATTCTCCTGCCTCAGCCTCCCAAGTAGCTGGGATTACAGGTGTCCGCCACCACGCCCGGCCAATTTTTGTATTTTTTTGTAGAGAAGAGATTTGGCCATGTTGCCCAGGCTGGTCTCGAACTCCTCACCTCGAGTGATCCGCCTGCCTCGGCCTCCCAAAGTGCTGGGATTGTGGGTGTGAGCCACCGCGCTCAGTCTTGTTTATGTTTGGGGTCTTAACGTATTTGTTATTTTTTACTGATTGTGTGCTCTGTGTAGTCATGACATCAGCTCTTCGACATATTTTCTGTAAATTGCTTTTTTCGGTTCGCTGTGTGCCTTTAATTTGAGGGCTTTTATCGAACACCCTTTTTTTTTTTTTTTTTTTTTGAGATGGAGTTTTGCTCTCGTTGCCAAGGCTGGAGTGCAATGGCACGATTTCCGCTCACTGCAACCTCCGCCTCCCAGGTTCAAGCAATTCTCCTGTCTCAGCCTCCCGAGTAGCTAGGATTACAGAAGCATGCCACCACGCCTGGCTAATTTGTGTATTTTTAGTAGAGACGGGGTTTCATCATATTGGTCAGGCTGGCCTCAAAGTCCTGACCTCAGGTGATCTGCCCACCTCAGCCTCCCAAAGTGCTGGGATTACAGGCGTGAGCCACTGTGCCCAGCCGGAACAGACATTTTTACGGAGCCAAAGCCTTCAATATTTTCTTTTGCGATCCCTTCCATTGCTTTTAGCTTACAAATCCTTCTCCATTCAGAAATCTAATATTTACCTATTTTCTTTTAAGATGCTGTAATCTATCTTAGAATCATTTAATCTGAAGTTATGCAGTCAGGCTATTTTTTTCTTTTTTCTTTTTCTTTTTCTTTTTTTTTTTTTTTTGATGGAGTCTCACTCTATCGATAGCCCAGGCAGGAGTACAGTGGCACAATCTTGACTCACTGCATTTTCCACCTTGGGAGTTCAAGCGATTTTCCCGCCTCAGCCTCCTGAGTAGCTGGGATTACAGGCACCTGCCACCACACCTGGCTAATTTGTGTGTTTTTAGTAGAGGCGGAGTTTCACCATGTTGGCCAGGATGGTCTCGAACTCCTGACCTCAAGTGATCCACTCACCTCGGCCTCCCAAAGTGTTGGGATTACAGGCGTGAGCCACCGCGCCCGGCCTGAAGTCAGGCTTTTCATGGAGTGTGGAATCCTCTGCGTGGCCAGGCCCAGATTTTGGTGGGTTTGTGCCCCAGCACTGTGAGGTTCTAATTATTGTAGCTTTTGACGCTGGAAGGGCAGATTTCCTGTCTGTGCTTTCTTTTTCCACGCTGTTAGCTTCTTTCACCCGGGAGCTTCATCTAAGGCAGTGTCTTTAATGGGCACCAGCACGCTGGACTTCGTAGCTTGTGATTCACAGGAGCGAGCTGGGCTCTCAGACTCTGCCACACTCTCCGGTGTGGATTTGATGAAGACAGAAGCTTTAGTAACAGTGAAGGCGAACTCCTCCCACGCTGGAAATGTGAATGGCCGGGGGTGCGGCACTGAGAGTGGGTGGGCGGCTCTCAAGGGAGCCCTGTGGGCTCCTGCGGGCCCCCTGCCCGGCCCCCTTGCCCCTCCATTGTCCCAGCTGCAGCGGCCCCGCCTGGGGGTGCCTCCAGGGGCCACTGTGTCCTCTCGGCCACCCACAGGCCTGCTCTTCCCTGATGATGTGGCCACCCTCTCCCCAGGGTCCTGGCTACCTTGCCCCAGGTGTGAACACCCGACCAGCACAGAGCGATGGGGAGGGCAGTGTGGGGCTGGGACAAGGGGCCTTGACCTTTACCCCCAGGCTCCTATCTGCAGCTTTGCTGATCCTGATCCATTTGTTTGTGTGATTTGGGGACATTTTGGGGGCATTTTTGGGAGGTGTGGGCCAGGCTGGGTCTGTGCAAGAGACGCTGGCTGTTGGTGCCACAAAAGGTGAAAGAGGCTGCCTCGGGGAGGGGAGTGAGCCCCAAGTTCCTGGAGGGGTGCACTTAGCCACTTAGCAGGAAGCTTCCTGAAGGGCCGAGCGGGGACAGGGGTGGGGGCAGAGAGCCACACCTTATGTGCTGGCCACCCTGGCCACCCGTCCCTGCAGGAAGGCAGCTTGGGTGGAGGAAGCATGCAGGGGCAACCCTGGGCACCGTGCTCACCCTGGGTGCACCTGCTGTTGTGGGGGGAATGGCTGGGAGCCTTGGAACCTCAGACTGAGCTAGCATGTGGGGGTCACGCCCGCACCCACGGGGCATGCATGCCAGGCACACCCGACGGGTGAGCAGAGCCTGGAGCCCCGGGCAGGCAGGGCCCAAGGTTCCAGAAGAGGCAGTGTGGGTGGAGAGAGTGGAGGCCTCGCCTTACCCCGTGGGGATCACACCCCATGGCCACCCACCGTGGGGCCCCTGGACTCCACACAGTCCTGGCCTCATCAGGGGTGGGGATTGCTAACTGTGGGGCGACGTGCTGAGGAGAGAGGCTGTGAAGCCAGAGGGGTCGAGGAGGCTGGAGGACCAGGTGTGGCCACGGGAGGCGGGGCTGCATGGCTGGGGGAATTGGGGCTGCGTGGACACGGGGGGTGGGGGCTGCATGGCTGGGGGAAGTGAGGCTGCGTGGACACGGGAGGCAGGGGCTGCGTGGACACAAGGGGTGGGGGCTGCATGGCCCCAGGCAGAGCTGGATGGGGTTGAGGGGAAGTGCATTTGGACCCAACACAGAAAACTTACTAGCTCTTGGCTTTGACCAGGGCCACCCTGTGCTGCAGTGAGCACCCGGTCCTAGGGACAGCCCTGTAGAAGCTGGGCCAGGTCAGGTGACGTGTCCTGGGACTCCAGGGTCCCGCACAGGCTGCCTGGGACCTGGGGCTGCTGCAGGCGGCTTCCGCCTGGGACGTGTGCACGTTGCGGGGGTGGGGGCTCATCGAGCCAGGTGTGGCCAAGGGCTTGGGCTGTGGGGCCACTCTCAGGCTCAGCCAGGCCACTCTCGGAACTCTCCCGTGGCCTTCGAGGGAAGGCCGTGTGCCGGCAACGCTGCGGACGGCAGCACCCCAAGCTGGGATCCCCCAGCTCTGTGCTGAGTAGGCGCCATCCTGGACCACGCCTGTGTTTTGAGCTCAGGCCACGCTGTGCCTGGAGCTGGCCTCCCTGTTCCTCTGTGTGTGGCCCAGAGTCCCAGGAGCCTCCTGTCCTTTCCACTGCGTGTGTAAAATGGCTGAGAGTGCCACCTGGTGGGCGTGAGGGTCACGCCGATGATGCGTCCACACCTCCGTGGATAGGGTGGTTACAAGTCAAGTGGACTTTGGGGGACGGGGACAGGGAGGCTGGCTGGCTGGGGCGGGGGTGGGGCTGGGTCCTTACTGCTCAGGGAGGCTCACAGGTGAGAAGCCACTCCCAGGAGGGTGGGACTGACTCAAAGCCGGCAGCCTGTTGTGGGGGTGTCTCCACCCCAAGCACCTCCTTCTCTTCCCTGCTCTTGGTCCCCTGCCAGCTCCCTGTGGCTGGCTCTGCCTCTTCCCACCCCAACCTCTCAGCAGAGCCAATGCTCCAGAGCTGGACAATGGCCAAATAGACATTAACTTTGAAACTGGAGGCCAAGGCGGGAGGATTGATTGAACCCAGGAGTTTGAGACCAGCCTGGACAACATAGTGAGACCTGTCTCTACAAAAAAATGTAAAAATTAGCGGGTGTGGTGGTGCAAGGCTGTGGTCTCAGCTACTTGGGAGGCTAAGGTGGGAGGATTATTTGAGCCCAGGAGTTTGAGGCTGCCATGAGCCGTGATTGCACCACTGCGCTCCAGCCTGGGTGACAGAGCAAGATTCTGTCTCAAAAAAAAAAAGAAAAGAAAAAAGAAAAAAAAGAGCGGGCCTGGTAGCTCATGCCTGTAATCCCAGCATTTTGGGAGGCCAAGGTGGGTGGATCACCTGAAGTCAGGAGTTTGAGACCAGCCTGGCTAACATAGTGAAACCCCATTTCTACTAAAAATACAAAAATTAGCCGAGGGTGATGGTGGCAGGTGCCTGTAATCCCAGCTACTTGGGGGGCTGAGGTGGGAGAATCACTTGAACTGGGGAGGTGGAGGTTGCAGTGAGCTGAGATCATGCCACTGCACTCTAGCCTGGGTGACAGAGTGAGACTCTATCAAGGAAGGAAGGAAGGAAGGAAAGGAAGGAAGGAAGGAAGGAAGGAAGGAAGGAAGGAGAGGGAGAAAGAGAGAGAAAAAAGAAAGAAAGAAAAAAAGTAAGTAACTGCTGGCACTAGAGGCCTCTAGGGTTAGCCTGGGCAGAGTCCTTGAAGCTGACCTGGACCTGCCCCCAGCGCGTCCAGCCACGTGTGCACAGCAGATGTACCCTCACCACCCCACCTTGGGACCAGCTGGTGCCAGGCCTGAGCCACT